>NC_000011.10:60282649-60585680 GCF_000001405.40 Homo sapiens | reverse complement strand
AGGGGTAAATCCCACTTGGTCATGATGAATGATCTTTCTGATGTATTGTTGAATTTGGTTTGCTATTATTTTGTTGAGGATTTTTGCATCAATATTCATCAGATTGGCCTGTAGTTTTTTTTTTCTTTTTATTTTTTTGATGTGTCCTTGTCTGGTTTTGGTATTAGGGTTTTACTAGCCTTATAGAATGACTTTGGAAGTATTCCCTTCTCCTCTGTTTTTTTGAAACAGTTTGAGTAGAATTGAGTAGAATCTTTAAATGTTTGGTAGAATTCATCAGTTAAGCTATCGGTCCCAGGTTTTTCTTTACTGAGAGACTTTTTACTATGGCTTTGACCTCATTACTTGTTATTGGTCTGTTCAGGTTTTGGGTTTCTTTATGGTTCAATCTCGGTAGGTTGTATGTATCTTGGAATTTGTTCATTTCTTCTAGATTCTCCAATTTATTGGCATATAGTTGCTCATAGTAGCCACTAATGATCTTTTGAATTTCTGCAACATCAGTTGTAATGTCTCCTTTTTAATTTGAGATTTTATTTATTTGAATCTTCTCTCTTTTTTTCCTGGTTAGTCTGTCTAAACATTTGTCAATTTTGTTAAACTTTGCAAAATACCAACTACCTGTTTCATTGATTTTTTTTTTTCCCGAGATGGAGTCTTGCTCTGTGGCCCAGGCTGGAGTGCAGTGGCATGATCTCGGCTCAGCCTCCCGAGTAGCTGGGACTACAGGTGCCCGCCACAATGCCTGGCTAATTTTTTGTATTTTTAGTAGAGGCAAGGTTTCACCGTGGTAGGCAGGATGGTCTCGATCTCCTGACCTCGTGATCTACCCACTTCAGCCTCCCAAAGTGCTGGGATTACAGACATGAGCCACCGCGCCCGACCTGCCCTTAGACTTTCCATCATGAGACGATGCAGCATGAAGGCCCTCACAAGATGCCAGCATCTTGATATTAGAGTCCCCATCCCGAAGAACTGTGAGAAGTACATTTGTTTTCTTTTATAAATTACTTAGCCTGTGATGTTCTATTACAGCAACACAAAATGGACTAAGACAGAACCTATATTTTTGGCACCTCTAAATTGAATTAAGGCCCCATTTTTCTTGTCTGAATCACTGCAGTAGCCTCTTCTAACTCCTCTAATCTAATCTCTTATTACTCATAGAGTGATAGTATTAAAACAAACCTAATCATAGCACTGTCCTCAGTCAGAATATTGTCTAGGGCTGTCCAATAGAAATATAATGCAAGCAACATATGTAATTGTAAGTTTCCAAGTGCCATATTAAGAAAACTAAAAAGAAATATATACAACTTATTTTAATAATATATTTTCTATAAGTTCACATATCCAAAATTATTTCGAGACAGAATCACTATAAAATAATTATATATTTTACATTTTAAAATGTATACTAAGTTTTGAAATCTTATATGTATTTTATCTTTACAGCACTTCTCAGGGCAGTTTAGTTGCATTTTCCAGGTTCAGTAGGTACATGTGACTATTGTATTGGACAGTGCTGCTCTAGTCCTTAGTTATCTCTTCTTTTCTATGTTTATTTATTTCTTTGGTGATCTCATCTAGTCTCATTACTAGATGCCAATGACTCTTTATTCTATTTTTTAAAGATTTCTTACTTTTTTAAGCTTTTTTGTCATTACATTTATTATTTTTAAAAAATTTATATAGGTTTTTGGGAACAGGTGGTATTTGGTTACATGAGTAAATTCTTTAGCGGTGACTTGTGAGATTTTGGTGCACCCATCACCTGAGCAGTATACACTGAACCCAATTTGTAGTCTTTTATCCCTCACCCTCTCCCACCCTTTCCCCTGAGTCCCCAAAGTCCACTGTATCATTCTTATGCCCTTGCAGCCTCATAGCTTAGCTCCCACTTATGGGTGAGAACATACAATGTTTGGTTTTTCATTCCTGAGTTACTTCACTTAAAATAGTAGTCTCCAGTTCCATCCAGGTTGTTGTGAATGCCATTAATTTGTTGCTTTTTATGGCTGAGTAGTATTCCATTGTAAATGTATACCACAGCTTCTTTATCTACTTGTAGATTGATGGACATTTGGGCTGGTTCCATATTTTTTCAATTGCAAATTGTGCTGCTATAAACATGTGGGTGCAAGTATCTTTTTTGTATGACCTTTTTTTTTCCTCTGAGTAGATACCCAGCAGTGGGATTACTGGATCAAATCGTAGTTCTACTTTTAGTTCTTTAAGAACTCTCCACACTGTTTTCCATAATGGTTGTATTAGTTTACATTCCCCCACCAGCATAGAAGTGTTCCCTTTTCACTGCATCCATGCCAACATCTATTTTTTTTAATTTTTTTATTATGGCCATTCTTGCAGGAGTAAGGTGGTATCACATTGTGGTTTTGATTTGCATTTCCCTGATCATTAGTGATGTTGAGCATTTTTTCATATGTTTATTGGCCATTTGTATATCTTCTTTTGAGAATTGTGTATTCATGTCCTTAGCCCACTTTTTGATGGGACTGTTTGATTTTTTCTTGCTAATTTGTTTGAGTTTCTTGTAGATTCTGGATATTAGTCCTGTGTCAGATGTGTAGATTGTGAAGATTTTCTCCCACTCTGTGGGTTGTCTGTTTACTCTGATGTTTACTCTGCTGACTGTTCCTGTTGCTGTGCAGAAGCTCTTTAGTTTAATTAAATCCCACCTATTTATCTTTGTTTTCGTTGCATTTGCTTTTGGGTTCTTGGTCATGAAGTCTTTGCCCAAGCCAATGTCTAGAAGGGTTCTTCCGATGTTATCTTCTATATATTTTTTTTTAGATTTAAGTCCTTGATCCATGTTGAGTTGATTTTTGAATAAGGTGAGAGATGAGGGTCCAGTTTCATTCTCCTATATGTGGCTTGCCAATTCTCTCAGCACCATTTGTTAAATAGGGTGTCCTTTCCCCACTTTATGTTTTTGTTTGCTTTGTCAAAGATACACCAACTGTAAGTATTTGGCTTTATTTCTGGGTTCTCTATTCTGTTCCACTGGTCTATGTGCCTATTTTTATACCAGTGCCATGCTGTTTGGGCTTTATAGTATAGTTTGAAGTTGGGTAATATGATGCTTCCAGATCTGTTGTTTTTGCTTAATCTTGCTTTAGCTATGTAGGCTTTTTTTTTTTTTTTTTGGTTCCATATGAACTGTAGGATTGTTTTTTTCCAGTTCTGTGAGGAACGATGGTAGTATTTTGATGGGAATTGTGCTGAATTTGTAGATTGCTTTTGGCAGTATGGCCATTTTCAAAATACTGATTCTACCCAGCAAATGAGCATGGGATGTTTCTATTTATTTCTGTCATCTATGATTTCTTTTAGTGGTGTTTTGTAGTTTTCATTGTAGAGGTCTTTCAACTCCTTAGTTAGGTGTACTCCTAAATATTTTATTTTTTTTGCAGCTATTGTAAAAGGGGTTGAGTTCTTCATTTGTTTCTCAGCTTGGTTGCTGTTGGTGTATAGCAGAGCTACTGATTTGTGTACATTAATTTTATATCCTGAAACTTTGCTGAATTCATTTACCAGTTTTAAGAGTTTTTTGGATGAGTCATTAGGGTTTTCTGGATATACAACTGTATCATTAGGAAACAGCAAGAGTTTGACTTCCTCTTTATTGATTTGGATGCCTTTTATTTCTTTCTCTTGTCTGATTGCTCTGGCTAGGACTTCCAGCACTATGTTGAATAGAAGTGGTGAGAGTGAGCATCCTTGTCTTGTTCCAGTTCTCAGAGGGAATGCTTTCAACTTTTCCCCATTCAGTATTATGTTGGCTGTAGATTTGTTAGATGGCTTTTATTACATTGAGGTATGTCCCTTGTATGCCAATTTTGCTGAGGGTTTTAATAATAAAGTGATGCTGGATTTTGTCAAATGCTTTTTCTGCATCTATTGAGATGATCATGTGATTTTTGTTTTTAATTCTGTTTATGTGGCGTATCACATTTATTGACTTGAGTATGTTAAAACACCCCTGCCTTCCTGGTGTGAAACCCACTTGATCATGGTGGATTACTTTTTTGATATGCTGTTGGATTTGGTTAGCTAGTATTTTGTTAAGGATTTTTGCATTTATGTTCATCAGGGATATTTGTCTGTAGTTTTCTTTTTTTGTTATGTCCTTTTCCTGGTTTTGGTATTGGGGTGATACTGGCCTCATAGAATGATTTAGGGAGGATTCCCTCTTTCTCTGTCTTTTGGAGTTGTGTCAGTAGGATTGGTACCAATTCTTCTTTGAAGGTCTGATAGAATTCTGCTGTGAATCCAACTGGTCCTGGGCTTTTTTTTTGTTAGTAATTTTTAATTACCATTTTAATCTTGCTGCTTGTTTTTGGTATGTTCAGAGCTTCTATATCTTCCTGGTTTAATCTAAGAGGGTAGTAAATTTCCAGAAATTTTTCCATCTCCTCTAGGTTTTCTAATTTATGTGCACAAGGTGTTCATAGTAGCCTTGAGTTAACTTTTGTATTTCTGTGGTTTCAGTTGTAATATCTCCCATTTCATTTCTAATTGAGCTTATTTGGATCATCTCTCTTTTCTTGGTTACTCTTGCTAATGGTCTATCAATTTTATTTACCTTTTCAAAGAGCCAGCTCTTTGTTTCATTTATCTTTTGCATTGCTTTTTTCCCCCAATTTCATTTTGTTCTGCTCTAATCTTGGCTATTTCTTTTCTTCTGCTGGGTTTGTGTTTGGTTTGTTCTTGTTTCTCTAGTTCCTTGAGGTGTGACCTTAGATTGTCTATTTGTGCTCTTTCAGACTTTTTGATGTAGGCATGTAAGGGTATGAACTTTTTTCTTAGTACTGCCTTTGCTGTATCCCAGAGGTTTTGATAGTTTGTGTCACTATTATTCAGTTCAAAGAATTTTGTAATTTCCATTGTGATTTCATTGTTGACCCAATGATCATTCAGGAGCAGGTTATTTAATTTCCATGTATTTGCATGGTTTTGAAGGTCCCTTTTGGAGTTGATTTCCAATTTTATTCCACGTGGTCTGAGAGAATACTTGATATTATTTCAGTTTTCCTAAATTTATTGAGACCTGTTTTGTGGCCTATCATTTGGTCTATCTTGGAGAAAGTTCCATGTGCTGATGAATAGAATGCATATTCTGCAGTTGTTGGGTACAATGGTTTTGTAAATATCTGTTAAGTCAATTTCTTCCAGGGTATAGTTTAAATCAATAGTTTCTTTGTCGATTTTCTGTCTTGATGACCTGTCTAGTGCTGCCAGTGGAGTATTGAAGTCCCCCCTATTATTGTGTTGCTATCTCATTTCTTAGGTCTAGTAGTAATTGTTTTATAAATTTGGGAGCTCCAGCATTAGGTGCGTATATATTTAGGACTGTGATATTTTCTTGTTGGACAAGGCCTTTTATTATTATATAAGGTCTATCTTTGTCTTTTTTAACTGCTGTTCCTTTGAAGTTTGTTTTGTCTCATAGAGGAATAGTTACTCCTGCTAGCTTTTGGTGTCCATTTGCATGGAACATCTTTTTCTACCCCTTTCCTTTAAGTTTATGTGATTCCTTATGTGTTAGGTGAGTCTCTTGAAGGCAGCAGATACTTGGTTGGTGAAGTCTTGTCCTTTCTGCAAGTCTGTATCTTTTATTCTAATTCTGTCTTCTGAACTCTACATTCCATGTCCAACAGGCTACTTGACATCTCCAGTTGAATATTAAATAAATACTTCAAACTCAACATTTTCAAAGCAAACTCATTGTCTTCCTCTGAAAACCAGTTCTGTACACAGTCTTCCCTGTATCAGTTGATGTCAAGTCATTCCTTCTATTAGCTTGAACAAAAACCCTGGCATTATCTTTAACTTCTTTCACACTCCATACCCAATCCATCAGGATATTAAATTGGCTCTACCTCAACATATATCTACATCATTACTTTCACCACCTTCACTACTAACAACTTTGTTTGAGTCTCACCTGGACTTTTGAAGTAGCTTTCTAAAAAGTCTCTTTGGACCCCTTCATTCTCTTTTCAACACAGAAACCAAAGTGATTCCTTTAAAACCTAAGCCAGATTATTTAACTCTGTTTATGAAACACTATAATAACTCCAATTTCACTAACAGTAAAAGCTAAAATCTTTACAATGGCTTACATAGCCCTATATTAACCGGCGCCCCATTATTTTTTCTAACTTGTTTTCTACTACTATTGTGCTTGCTCACTCTGTTCCAGAAATACTGACTACATTTTTCTAGGAACCTTCATTGAAGAATTCATTCTAACTGTTCTCCTGAGATGTTCTTTCCCAGCATATCCTTGTGGTCAAAACCATCACTTTTTCAAGTCTTTGCTCAAATGTCACTATGGTAGTTTGAACTGTTGGTCACAATTTTTTACTTTTAGGTAATAATAATATATTTTCATACTCTTGCTGTGATCTCATGGTGCTTAGATTATGCTTCCCTGCTCTTTAATTTAGGACTTGATCATTTTATTTGTTTTAGCTGGGATTTTAACAAACATGACCCAAGCCAAAGCTTGAAATGGTCTTGTGTGATTAGGATTGTCCTCTTGTGTTCTTGCTTTTCATTGTGAGAAGAATATGCCTCTAGTAGTCACTAGTCTAAAGGCAATAAGATACATATGGAGTGGATCTGGACCTGTCCTATAGCTTGAAACCAGGCCAAGAGCAGTTGAATCTCTGCCAAGTCTGCATGAGTAAAAAATAAATGCTTGTAATTGTATGCCACTGGGTTTTTGGTGGTTTATTATATAACAATAGATCAGTAATAGAGTCACTTTTTCAAGGAGCCCTACCTCAACCATCCAATTTTAGATGATAACCTACATCCCTTTGCCACTTTCCCAAAAATTCCAGTCCCCCTTAGCCTACTCTTTTTCTTTCTGCTTCTATGGCCTTATCATCTTCTAATATACTACACCATGCTAGAATAAAAGCTCCATAAGAAGTGGGATCTTTGTTTTGTTTGCTAATGTATCTCAGGCACCTAAAACAGTGCCTGACACATCATAGTACTCAATAAGTACTGGTTGAGTGATCAAACTCCAAATGTGATATTATAATAAACTTTACTCAGGATTTTGTAGGAAACATGGCACATCAACCACCATAATATCTTCTTCATGATATCCCCTTTAAAGACAATGGCACATCACTCATCATACTATCAGTCACAATAAAATTCAATTTCAAAATCTCTGTTCAATTTTACCAAATACTTCTTGAATACAACACAAAGATTTTATGCTTCTTTCCCTACACAAATTGTATATATCCCACTATTTCCTCAGCAGTTATGCTCTCTCATTTTTTATTTGCCCCACTGGCAAAATAAATACCATATGGGCAGTTGAATAGTCACCAACCATTTTCTGTTTTCCCAAAATGCCCCTTGGGCATCTTATCATTTTTCTCCATATCCTAGAAGAATGTAAAATGTAGCCTTTTAACAAAATAGACTCTTATTATTAAAGAATATCACTGATAAGAATCTAAGTTTTTTCATATTGGTATATTATTTTCAACCAGGTAAAATGAGTTCCTTGAGAATAGAGATTGTGCATTTTTAGTGTTCAGTCTCTGGCACACTGCTTGACTGATAAACAGTCATTACATGTAACGAATAAATTAATGAATAACAATCAGAAATTTGATTATTTACCACAAGCAAGGATGACCAAAATGGGTATGCCGTTAGTAATGCAAGAGGAATATATGTGGCTCCAAATGCAGTAGTTTGTGTGAGTAACAAATACATCCAGAGCAGTCCCAGGCAGTGAAGAAGTATGCCAGTCATTACTTGTATCACCTAGAAGAAAATAACACTATCACTAATTATTATTTTAGTTCAACCTTTGAAAGGAATACACATCAAGAAAAAGCCATGATGAAGACAGAAGGTGATGACCTAACAGAATTTTAAATTTCTCAACATTCAACTCAGATAAGGAAAGTTTATTATTTCAGAGCAGTTTGTAGATATAATGACTATGTACCTGTATGGTCAAGAATTCTTGACCTAGGTCAACAATCTTATCCTGAATATACAGCTTTTATGTTCTACAGGCAACTAGACTTGGTATTTCTGACCTTCCCTAGATTTCTCTTATTTTACCAAAGCTGATTTTTGGACTTTGGTTCCTTTTGTTCTTCCCACCTCCATAACATCTATAACTGATAGTCCTGGGTCCTTTATAAGAGGGTCCTTTCAAAAGGATAGTGAGCCTTTGGGATCCTTGGTTTTCTGTCACTCTTCCAAGGGGCTATTTCCTGATGTGGAGGTCTCAGATAATTTGTACCCACAGAAGTTATAGGCCAGCTATGACAGTTTCTGAGCCATAGGAGGAGGACAATTCTAAGTTGTATGAAGAGCCCTCTAACGTATCACTGTAGGGCCTTCCAGTTGGTTTTCAGGTAGATATTTCTCAGGGGTGCTTTTGTTCTGCCACAGCTGAATGAACCAACATTCCGACTCTCCCTACCTACACCCCCAGGTAAGCGCAGTGGTTAAGTTTGAAAAAGCTGAAGGAGCAGGATTGGAGTTCATAACTTAGCATCTTTTGCCATACTGCAACCATATTTTCACAATGTCTGGGGATTCCTGACATATTTTTCTCACAGATTTTCTTAAAACACTGGACATCTCTACTTGAAGTTTGCAATGAGCTTCTGTTCTGGTGTGTGATTCTGGGGAGAGCCAAGAAGTGGCTAATTAATGAAAATACTATTTTCACTTACAGATTAACCCCTAGGCAACACAAAACTATGCATTTAGAGGTACTTCAGGCAGGCTGTGGCAGGAAGCAAGGGGAAACTGGAATGGATAGGACTTTTCCCACTGATTGACATGCTGTGCACATTTCATCTCCTTGCTTGGCATGGAAAACGATGACTTTCTCTGAAGTCTGAGTTTAGTGAAGGATGTAGAATTTAAAAATAACTTTATTTTTTAAGTAATTACAAATTCATAGGAATTTTCAAAACTAGTATGGACAGGTCCTTGTGTCCTGAATCCAGATTTTCAGAATGGCACCATCTTACATAACTATATGACGATATCAAAGTTAGGAAAATAACCTTGATATAGTGTGTGTGTATAGTTATGTGTCATTTGAGCACATAAGCATATTTGCATAATCACAACCATAATCAGGATACAGAACTATTCTATCACCATGAAGATATCCCTCATGCTATATCTTTATTGTCCCAACAATGCTGAACTTCTGGTAGTCACTAATTTGTTTTTCTTATCCTCACTATTATCATTTTGATAATGTCAAATAAATGGAATAATTCAGTATGTTCATTTTGTGATTGGCTTTTTTGTTGTTGTCCAGCAAAATACCTTTGAGATCCATCAAGTTGTTATGTGTAATAATGTAGTTCACTCCTTTTTAATTTCTGAGTAGTAGTCTACGGTATGAACAACTAGAGTTTATTCAGCTCTTGAGGGGGTATTTTGATAGTTTCCACTTTGGGAGCTATTACAAATAAAGATGCTATGAATAGTCATGTGTAAATTCTGCAGACATCAGTTTTCAGTTGTCCAAGATAAATACCCTGGAGCTCACTTGCTAAATTTAATGTTAAGTGTATGTTTAGTATTTAAATAAGATGTCAAACTATTTTCGAGAGTGATTGTATCATTTTTATATTCTCATTGGCAATGTAAGAGAGATCCAGTTTCTCTGCATCATCTCCAGCATTTGGTATTGTCACAATTTCTTATTTTAGTTGTTCTAATAGGTTTGTAGTGATATCTCATTGTGGTTTTAATTTGCATTTCTCTGGTGGCTAATGATGTTGAGCATCTTTCTATATGCTTATGCCGTCTGTATATCTTCTTCAGTGAAATGTCTTTTCACGTCTTTTGCTGGTTTTAAAGTTGGATCATTTGTGTATTTTCTGCTGTTGAGTTTTAAGGATTTTAAGAAGGATATTCTTAGACACAAATCCTTTGTCAGAGATGTGGTTAGCAAGTATTTTCTCCTACTCTGTAGCTTGTCATTCCATCTTCCTAACAAGGGTATTTCACAAAACAAAACTTAATTTTGGTGAAGTAAAATGTATTGATTTGTGTCTTTTGTGGATGGATCATGTTTTTAAGGTCATGTTAAAGAGCTCTAGAGTCCTAGGTACTAAATATTTTCTCCTATGCTTTCTTCTAAAAGTGTTATAGTTTTATATTTAAACATATTATTCATTTTGAATTAATTTTTGTATAAGGTAGGAGACTTTAATTTGAGGTTCTTTTCTTTTATTTTTTGCCACTGGTTATCCAGTTAGTCCAACACCATTTTTAGAGATGACTATACTTCCTCCGTTGAATTACTTTTATAAAAAATCAGTCAACCGTACTTGTATGAGTCTACTCATGGATTCTGTGTTCTGTTCCATTTATCCATGTATCTGTTGCTACACCAATACCACACAGTCTTAATATCTGTAGTTATATGTATTAAAATCAGGTAGTATGTTTCCTTTCACTTCATTCTTCTTTAAAAAATTTTAGCTATTCTAGCTTCTCAACCTTTCCATAGAAATTTTAGATAATCTTATTTAAATCTACAAAAAATGTTTCCAGGATTTTGATAGGAATTGTGCTAAATCTATATGTCAATTTTGGGACAATTAATATTTTTACTATGTTGAGATTTTCAGCCACAAATATAAATGGCTTTTCATTTATGTAACCTACTTGGAATTGTTTTATTTTATTTAATTTATTTTTTTTTCAGAGGTGAAGTTTTGCTCTTGTCAACCAGGCTGGAATTCAGTGGCATGATCTTGGCTCACTGCAACCTTTGCCTCCCAGATTCAAGCAATCCTCCTGCCTCAGCCTCCTGAGTAGCTGGGATTACAGGCACATGCCACCACGCCAGGCTAATTTTTGTATTTTTAGTAGAGATGGGGTTTTACCAGGTTGGTCAGGCTTGTCTTGAACTCCTGACCTCAGGTGATCCACCCACCTCAGCCTCCTGAATTCTTTTATTAGTATTAGATAATTTTCAAAATATAAGTCCTGTACATATTTTGCTAAATTTATACCTAAGTATTTAATTGTTTGAGTGATTTTAAATAATATTGTTTTAAATTTTGTTGTCCATATGTTCATTGCTATTATATAAAAATATAATTAATTTTGTATGTTGATCATTAATCTTGTATCCTGTGACCTTGCTGAACTCACTTATTAGTTCCAGGAGTCCTTTTCTTTTTTATTGCATGGGATTTTCTACACAGATCATCATGTCATCTGCAAACAGGGATATTTTTATTTTCTCCTTTACAATCTGTATGCTTTTTATGTTTCTTTTTTTATCTTATTGATCTGTGCTAAGACTTCTAGTACTGTGCTAGTAAGCATGGTGAGAGATGGTATCTTTGCACTGTTACCAATCTTAGGGGAAAATAATTCAATTTTTAAAGATGAAATATAATGTTAGCTGTAAGTTTTTTTGTAGGTGTTCTTTATCAGGTTGTGGAAGTTCTCCTACATTTCTATTATTCTAAGAGCTTTCTAAAATATCATGAATGGGTGTTAAATTTTGTCAAATGTGGTTTATTTTGCATCAACTGACATGATCATGTGATTTTCCTTCTTTAGCCTATTAATATGATGGGTTACATTGATTGCTTCTTGAGTACTAAACCAGCTGTGTATATCTGGAATAAGTTTCACTTAGTCATGGTGGAAAATTATTTTTAAGTATTGCTGAATTATATTTCCTAATACTTCATAAATGATGTTTTTGTCTATATTCTGAAGGATATGGATCTATAGTTTTCTTCTTTTGTACTATCTTTGTCTTATTTGATTTTGGTATCAGAATAATATTGGCTTCTTCAAATAAGTTGGGAAATGTTTCATTCTCTTCTGTTTTTTTGAAAAATATTGAGAAAAACTGGTGTTGAATATTCTAAGAACATCTGGTAGAATTCTTTGGTGAAATCAGGCCTGGAGATGTCTTTTTCAGGAGTTTTAAAATTACAAATTTTATTTTTCTAACAATTATAGGGCCATTAAAATGATCTATTTCATATTGAGTTGTAGTTTGTGCTTTTTGGGAAAATTTGTTCATTTTATCAAAGTTGTCAAATTTGTGTCTATAGAGTTACTGATAGTAGTCTCTTAATATTATTTTGAGATATAAATTATCTGTAGTAATATACTCTATTTTATTTCTGAGTTTGATAATTTTTGTCTTCTCTTTCTTTTTCTTGATCAGTTTTGCTAGATGTTTGTTGATTTTGATGATCTTTTAAAAGAATCAACTATTTGTTGTACTGATTTTCTCTACTTTTTAAATTTTAATTTTATTGACTTATCTTTATTATTTTCTCCTGATTTATTTGGGTTTATTTTGCTCTTCCTTTTCTAGTTTTTTTTAGGTGAGAGTTTGGAGTATTTATTTGACAATTTTCTTGTCTTAATAATAGGGAATCCTTTCCCCATTTCTTGTTTTTGTCAGGTTTGTCAAAGATCAGATGGTTGTAGATATGCAGCATTATTTCTGAGGGCTCTGCTCTGTTCCATTGGTCTATATCTCTGTTTTGGTACCAGTACCATGCTGTTTTGGTGACTGTAGCCTTGTAGTATAGTTTGAAGTCAGGTAGCATGATACCTCCAGCTTTGTTCTTTTGGCTTAGGATTGACTTGGCAATGCAGGCTCTTTTTTTACTGGGTATATACCCAAAGGATTATAAATCATGCTGCTATAAAGACACATGCACACATATGTTTATTGTGGCACTATTCACAATAGCAAAGACTTGGAACCAAGCCAAATGTCCAATAATGATAGACTGGATTAAGAAAATGTGGCACATATACACCATGGAATACTATGCAGCCATAAAAAATGATGAGTTCATGTCCTTTGTAGGGACATGGATGAAGCTGGAAACCATCATTCTTAGCAAACTATGGCAAGGACAAAAATACCAAACACCACATGTTCTCACTCATAGGTGGGAATTGAACAATGAGAACACATGGACACAGGAAGGGGAACATCACACACTGGGGCCTGTTGTGGGGTGGGGGATGGGGGAGGGATAGCATTAGGAGATATACCTTATGTTAAATGACGAGTTAATGGGTGCAGCACACCAACATGTCACATGTATACATATGTAACTAACCTGCACGTTGTGCACATGTACCCTAAAACTTAAAGTATAATAATAAAAAAAAAAAAAGAAAGAAAAGGTACTATAGGAAAACTCATCAAGAAGGATGAAGAGATCTGGATGGGGCTTTGGGGCTCAATAGAAAGACACAGGGGCTCTTGGAGACCTCCCTGTGCTATGTGGCACTGGTTTTTTCATGTTCAGCAAATTGACTCTATAGAAAAAAATTTCCATCTTCAGAGTGACTGAAATGAAAAATGGACATTAAATTGTATTACTAAAAATTCATAAAACTAAATACATGTAAAATAAATTTAAGTAATTAAATGATAAAATGATTTGTTTGAGTTTGTACTTTTGAAGTTACCAAAACTTGAAAGTAAACCTTTTAGGATACTGTATACTTTGAAATACCTTCTCCTAGTCTGTGGCTTGCCTTTTCACTTTCTAAATAGTGTCCTTTAATAGATGTTCCTGATTTTAATGTATACCATTTTATCAATATTATCCCCCATGATCAGTGCTCTCTGTATCTATTTTAGGAAATCTTTAGCTGCTCCAAGATGATGATGATAATCACCTATGCTAAAATCTAGAAGCCTATTGTATTATCCTTTTCAATTGTGGTAAGATATACTTAGCATATTATTTATCATTTAAACCATTTGTATGTATACAATTCAGTGGTATTAAATACATTCACAATGCTGTGTACCAATCATCACTATCTATAACCAAAACTTTTTCATCATCCCAACAAGATGAAATACTCCCCATTAAGCAGTATCTTCCCTTCTCCTCTTCTTCCGTCTCCTTGTAACCTCTATTTTGCTTTCTGGCTGTATGAATTTGCCTATTCTAGATACCTCATGTAAGTGGAATTATACAACATTTGTCTTTCTGTGCCTGGCTTATTTAACTAAGCATAACATTTTCAAGGTTTGCTTTCAAGGTGTTGAACGCATTAGAATTTCATTCATTTGTAAGACAATAATATTTTATTGCATACATATATAACACATTTTGTTTATTCATTCATCTGATGATGGCCATTTGGATTGTTTCCATTTTTTGGCTATCATGAATAATGTTGACATTGACTTAGTGTACCAATATCTGTTTGAGTCCTTGCTTTTGGTTCTTTGGAGGTATATACCTAGAAGTGGAATTGCTGGAAGATATGGTAATGTTATGTGTAACTTTTTTAGGAACCACCACACTGTTTTCCACAGAGGCTCTAACATTTCACATTCCCACCAGCAGACGCAAGGTTCCAATTTCTCCACATCCTCACCAACACTTGTTTCCTTCCTTCCTTCCTTCCTTTTTTCTTTCTTTCCTTCCTCCCTCCCTCCTTTCCTTTTTTAGTGATGGCTGTCCCAATGGGTATGAAGTGGTATCTCATTGTGGTTTTGATTTTTCAGTTCCCTAATGGTTAGTGATGCTGAACATCTTTTCATGTGGTTATTAGTCATTGTCTATGTTCTTTAGAGAAATGTCTATTCAAGTTCTTTGCCCACTTTGAAAATTTTTTGTTATTATTAAGTTATAGGAGTTCTTTATATATTCTGGATATTAATTCCTTGTCAGATATATGATTTGCAACTATTTTCCCACTCTGTAGATTGTCTTTTCACTCTTTTGAGTGTTTTTTGATGCACAGAAGTTCTTAATTTTGATTAAGTCGAATTTATCTCTTTTTGCTTTTGCTGCTTTGTGCCTTTGGTGTCATATCTATGAAATTATTGCCAAATCCAGTCTTGTAAATATTTTCCGCACTCTTTCCTTCTAAGCATTTTATAGTTTTGTCTTTTGTTTAAGTTTAGATGTTAAGTTTCTCTTCAGTTAATTTTTGTATATGGTATAAAGGGTCCAACTTGATTCTTTTGCATATAGATATCCAATTTTCCCACAGCATTTGTTGAGAATACTGTCCCTTCCCCATTCAGTGGTCCTGACATTCTTGACAAAAATCTATTGACCATATATGCAAGACTTTATTTCTGGGCTCTCAATTTTTTTCAATATGTCTGTATGTTTGTCTTCATGCCATTACCATACTTTTAATAACTGTAGCTTTGCTACAGTTTTTGGAGTCAGGAAGTGTGAGTCCTCCAACATTATTGTTCTTTCCCAAGATCATTTTGGCCTGTAATTCCAAATGAATTTGAAGAACTTATTTTCCATTCTTGCAAAAAGGCTGTTGGGATTTTGATAGAAATTGCATCGAATCTATATATTGCTTTGGGTAACAGTATTAATGTCTTAGCAATGTTAAGACTTTCTATCCATGAACACATATGTCTTTACATTTATTTAGATCTCCTTTAATTACTTTCAGCAATATTTTCTAGTTTTTAGCATACAAGTCTTTCACCTCCTTGGTTTGTTTTATTCCTAAGTATTTAGTTTTTTATATGCTATTGTAAATGGTATTGCTTTCTTGATTTCCTTTTTGGATTGTTCATTACTGGTATATAAAAACATAACTAATTTTTGCGTGTTGATCTTATACCTTGCTACTTTGATAAATGCTTTTACTAGCTGTTATATGGATTCTTTTTTATTTTCTATGTAGAAGATAATGTTATCTACTGACAGAGAGAGCTTTGCCACTTTCTTTTCAATTTAGATGCCTTTTGTTTCTTTTTTTTTTTTTTTTGTCTAACTGCTCTAGCTAGATCTTCCAGTACAATGTCAAATAGCAGAGGTGGAAGAGGGCATCCTTGTCTTGTTCCTGATCTTAGAGAGAAGTCTTTCAGTCTTTTACCATAGATAATCATATTATCTGTATTCATTCATAAATATCCTTTATAGTGTTCAGAAATTTTTCCTCTATTCCTAGTTTTCTGAGTTTTTATCATGCAAGGTGTTGAATTTTGTTATATGCTTTTCCTGCAACAATTGAGATAATCATATCATTTTATTCCCCTTTGTTTTATTAATTTGATATATTACACTGATTGATTTTCTTATATTGAACCACCCTTGCATTTCTAGGATAAATCTAACTTGGTCATTTTAAATAATTCTGTTTCTTTGTAAATAATATGCTGTTGGGTTTCACTTGCTAATATTTTGTTGATTGTATTATCTTTAACAATTAGATCTATAATCTGCCTGGAACTCATTCATTTTTATGAATTTATTGAAAGTTATAAGTACATTTTATCCCATTGTAAGACAATTTATTGAAAACTATACTTTATACAGCTCTGAACTGTTCTTGTTATAAATTGTCTAAAAATGTGTACATCTGTTTTTGAACTCTATTCTGTTTTGTTGGCATATTTTACACATGCACTGTCTTAATAACTGGGACAGTTATTAAATCTCTCAATTGCTAGGACTCTGACAATAGGCTCTATAGGTGGCTTCTCCAGTTCTGCAGTCTCAGTGTAGTTATACTTGTAATATGGCCCCTCATGGCTCCCCCAGAAACAGAGTGTCTCAAGAAACTAGTAGCTTTAGAATAAGTCTTGATATTTGGTAGCATGAGTTCTCCAACTTTATTCTTCTTCAACATAAACTTGGACATTCTTGTCTCATTTAATTTCCACATACATTTAGAATGAGTTTTGTGTCTAAACTCTTATTTTAAGTTCAGGAGTACCTGTGCAGGTTTGTTATATAGGTAAACTTGTGTCATGGGGGTTTGTTGAACAGATTATTTCATCATGCAGGTATTAAACCTGATACTCATTAGTTATTTTTCCTGGTCCTCTCTCTACTCCCGCCCTTCACCCTTGGATAGGCCCCAGTGTCTGTCATTTCCCTCTATGTGTCCATGTATTCTCTCAGCTTGTTAATTTTGGTGATATTCAGTTGATGGATAGGTTGGTCTGAAGGGTCTGAGAGGACCTCACTCATGCCTGATATACTGGCAAGTAAGGCTGGCTGAACTGAGACTCTGATAAAAGCCACTGCAGGTGGCTTCTACAGCAGGGCAGTGTCAATGTAGCTGGACTTCCTGTATAGCAGCTCAGGGGTCCCAGAGAGAGTGCTCTAAGGTATAGAGAATGGAAGCTGTGTCCTTTTGAAGCGTGGGCCTAGAAAGTCACAGTATCATTTCTCCTATATTCTGTGAGTCAAAATGTTCAAAGTCCACTTAGATTCAAGAGAAAGGGACCTAGACTTGACTTTTTCTGTGGTCAAGGAGTGTCAAAGAGTTTATGATCACTTCTAATTTGCCACAGGAAGGATTGATATCTTTAAAATTTGAGCCGTCTAATTTGTAATATGACTTGCCCCTATATTAGATCTTTGAATTATTTTAATATTATATATACATAAATACAGACACACCTTGGAGATATTGTGGGTTTAGTTCTAGATCACCACAATAAAGCAAATATTGCAATAAAGTGAATCACAGTAATTTTTTGGTTTTTCCATGCATATAAAAGTTATTAGGGCTGGATGCAATGGCTCATACCTGTAACCCCAGCACTTTGGGAGGCTGAGGTGGGCAGATCACCTGATGTCAAGAGTTCGAGACCAGCCTGGCCAATATGGTGAAACCCGTCTCTACTAAAAATAGAAAAAAATTAGCTGGGTGTGGAAGTGTGCACCTGTAGTCCCAGCTACTAGGGAGGCTGAGGCAGGAGAATCGCTTAAACCCAAGAGGCGGAGGTTGCAGTGAGCCAAGATTGTGCCACTGCACTCCAGCCTCGGTGACAAAGTGAGACTCCATCTGAAAAAAAGTTATTAGACTATTAGACTGTAGTCTATTAAGTGTACAACAGTATTGTATTTAAAACTGGACATATCTTAATTAAAATACTTTATTGTTAAAAATGCCAGTGATCATCTGAGACTTCAGTGAGTCATAATCTTTTGTTGGTAGAGGGTCTTGCCTTGATGTTAATGGCTGCTGACTTCTCAGGGTGGTGGTTGCTAAAGGTTGGGATGGCTGTAGTGATTTCCTAAAATAAGACAAGGAAGTTTGTCATGATGATTGACTCTTCCTTTCTTGAAAGACTTCTCTGTAGCATGTGATGCTGTTTGATAGTATTTTACTCACAGAACTTGTTTCAAAATTGAAGTCAATCCTCTTCAGCTCTGCCACCGCTTTATCAACTAAGTATGTGTAGTATTCTAAATCCTTTGTTGTCATTTCAACAGTGCTCATAGCATCTGCAGCAGGAGTAGATTTCATCTCAGAAAACCACTTTCTTTGCTCATTCATAAGAAGCAACTCCTCCTGTAATCCCAGCACTTTGAGAAGCCGAGGTGGGCGGATCATGAGGTCAGGAGATCAAGACCAGCCCGGCTAACACGGTGAAATCCCATCTCTACTAAAAATAAAAAAAATTAGCCTGGTGTGGTGGTGGGCACCTGTAGTCCCAGCTACTCAGGAGGCTGAGGCAGGAGAATCGCTTGAACCCAGGAGACGGAGGTTGCAGTGAACTGAGATCGCGCCACTGCACTCCAGACTGGGTGACAAAACAAGACTCCACCTCAAAAAAAAAAAAAAAAAAAAAAAAAAGAAGCAACTCCTTATGCAATCAAGTTTTATGAGATTGCAGCAATTCTGTCACATTCAGGCTCCACTTCTGATTCTAGTTTGCTTGCTATCTCCACCGCATCTGCAGTTACTTCCTCTACTGAAGTCTTAAACCTCTCAAACTCATCCATGAGGCTTGGTCTTCATTTCTTCTAAATTCTTCTTAATGTTGATATTTTGACCTCTTTCCATGAATCAAAAATGTTCTTAATGGCATCTAGAAGGGTGAATTCTTTCCAGAAGGTTTTCCCGGATTCACTTTGCCCAGGCCCATTAGAAGAATCACCATCTATTGCAGCTATAGTCCTAAAAAAGTATTTCTTAAATAATAAGACTTGAAAGTCAGAATTACTCCTTGCTCCATTGGCTGCAGAATAGGTATTGTGTTAAAATCATGAAATGGTTAATATCCTATAGAGCAATAGGAGGAAAAGGAGGAAAAGGAAAAGTCATGAAAAAACTTTATCTCCTTGTATATCTCCATCAGAACTCTTGGGTGAGTAGGTGCATTGTCAATGAGCAGTAATATTTTTAAAGTGTTTTTTTTTTGGCACAGTAGATTTCAACACTGGGCTCAAAATATTTAGTAAACATGCTGTAAACAGATGTGCTGTTATCCAGGTGTTATTCATATGCTGTTCCATTTATAGGGCGCAGGCAGAGTAGACTTGGCATTATTCTTAAAGGCTTAGGATTTTTGCATGGTAAATGAGCATTAAAGAGCACTCAACTTAATTAAAAGTGGATATCCAAGTTATAGGTATATTTAAAAAGGTCTTTATGTTTTTCTTTTCTTGGATCTTGTTTTGCTGGAAAAAGGTTTTGTTCTCAGTTGTCTAAATTCTTTTTCTCCATTTTGTCTTTCCACTCGATACACACATGAGAGGCCTTAAGATAACTCCTGGGGTCATTGGACTCCTTGGGAAAAACGGCGAAGGCACCACTCACCCTGTTTTGGGAAGAAATCAGTTTTCATCATGGAACCCCAGGAATTAAAAGTGGATTGATCTCTCTCAAAATCTATTTTGCCTCCCAGTCGTGCCTGTTTATTAGACCCTAGAAGCTGCATGTTTTCCTAGCCCTGTCTCTTAAAGGGCTCCACCCAGAGACCAATAATCCAATTAGGAGATTAGCAAATGAAAAATCTTATGGATGCTGGATTTCTTCTGCCTGTCTGTGTAGTTATATATGTATTGTATGTGTGATGTCTATTAAAAAATTGCTAATTAATTGGCCTAAAGGAAGATAAGCACTTGGATCAAATATTTTTTAAAAGGGAAGATAAAAGCTGTGGTACATTTTAGTTCACATGACTTTAATCTTTGAGAAATAAAAGCAGCCTTAAAGATTTTTGGTGAAATGCAGATGTAGTCAAAATATAAATAGGCAAACTAAATTATTTGGGTCAGATATGAGGTTTGCTTCCCATTTCATGGATAAGGTCATGCTAGTATCCATGGTGCAAAATGAGGACTAGGGAATTCAAAGGCTACTGACAGCAGAGGAGATAGGGTAAGAGCAAATATTCCCTTCCCCACCCCCTCCCCATTAACATGGGCAAAAGCTGCTTTGACACCCATGGAGGGCACCCTATCACGGTTGCCAGGACTTGGGGATACAAGGACAGAGGAAAGAAAGAGGAATGTCTCACTTTCCCTCCCTGATATACCCTGGGCATTGACTAGGAAGAGAAAGTAACCAGGGACACCTGCTCCCCTCTTTCTAGATGAGTAGTCATTCATCTTCAGTCTGTACCCCTTTCAAATGCATCCTGAACCTGTAGGACTCCTCTGAAAAAAATACCTTATTTTTTCCTTTTTCTTTCCCTTTCTCTCTTCACTGATACATAATTGTGTCTCCATGTGTCTGGAATTTATTCCTTCTGGTGGGTTCTTGGTCTCACTGACTTCAAGAATGAAGCCACGGACCCTCACGGTGAGCGTTACAGCTCTTCAAGATGGTGTGTCCAGAGTTTGTTCCTTCAGATGTTCAGAGGTGTCCATAGTTTCTTCCTTCCAGTGGATTTGTGGTCTCACTGACTTCAGGAGTGAAGCTGGAGACCTTCACAGTGAGTGTTACAGCTCTTAAAGGTGGCATGTCCAGAGTTTTTTATTCCTCCCCATGGGTTCATGGTCTCGCTGACTTTAGGAATGAAGCCACAGACCCTCACGGTGAGTGTTACAGCTCATAAAGGTAGTGCGGACCCAAAGAGTGAGCAGCAGCAAGATTTATTGTGAAGAGCGAAAGAACAAAGCTTCCACAGCATGGAGGGGGACCCAAGCGGGTTGCCACTGCTGGCCGGAGTGGCCAGCTTTTATTCCCTTATTTTTCCCTGCCCACGCCCTGCTGATTGGTCCATTTTACAGAGTGCTGATTGGTGCATTTACAGTCCTTTAGCTAGACACAGAGTGCTGATTGGTGCATTTACAATCCTTTAGCTAGACACAGAGTGCTGATTGGTGTGTTTTTACAGAGTGCCGATTGGTGCGTTAACAATCCTTTAGACACAGACCGCTGATTGGTGCATTTACAATCCTCTAGCTAGACAGAAAAGTTCTCCAAGTCCCCATGTGACCCAGGAAGTCCAGCTGGCTTCACTTCTCATCCATACTATGGAACACTCCCCTCAGATGCATTCTCCAAACTGGGAAGAATTAATTTCTCAAACCTTAAACCAATTGGCTTAGGATTGGGCTCAGGGGAAGGGACCCAGAAGCCTCACATGCTAGCAAAAGGGCAAAAGTTTTTTTTTTCTTTTTCTTTTTTTACCAGTCGGGTTTTTGGCCTCCCTCTCCCTGTGCAAACTAATAAAAGATCTCAGGATCTCTGAGCTGTCCTTACCCACCCCTTGTTTCATTTTGATATGTGTTTCTTAATAACCCTGTTTGTCTCTTCTTGCCTTCAGGCCATCAATCTCCACATGGTCATGCAACCAGAACCTCCAACAATGGCCCCTTTAACAACGACCCTTAGATAGGCCTCTGAGGGAGATCTGACTGCCATTTTCCCGAACAGCGCCCACTGTTGGAAGCAGCAGTTAAGATCGGTCTTCATCCTTACCCGTATCCTTATTCTAATGGCAGCTAGATGTACTTCATTAAAGGGGATAATGAGACAGCCAAATGCTTAGGCAGATTAAAAAAAAAAGGTCCCTGGAGAATCTCCCACCTGCCCCAGAAGTGTTTACATCAGATGCTTTTGTGCAGATGGGGAAACCTGCCCAGGGCTTGTCTGGGCATGCCCACAGCGGACTGGAGGCCGACATGTACACTGGGGGAAGTAGGTGGAGCCACGGGGAATTCAGGCCTTATGCAGGAGAGGAGCCTGCTCTCTTCAGTTCCTGTGTGGTGGCCCAGTATCCAATCTGTGAGGTCAGTGGCCTGTTAGCAGTACTCCATCTCACTTTGCTGAGTTTTTTTTTCTTTTTTTTCTCTTTTCACCCAGTAAAATCTTGTTCTACTCACCCTTCAATGTGTTTGCATGCCTAAATTTTCCTGGTTTAGTGACAAGAACCCAGTTTTAGCTGAACTAAGGAGCAAGATTCTGCAACACTTTTTACAGTTGATGGATGATTCAATTTTTTCCAGTTTTCTATTTTTGAATAAAGTTACTAGAAACATTCTAAACATTTTTTTGTTCAAATATGGACTAATTTCTGTTATACCTAGGAATATATACCTAGGAATGTGATTGCTGAGTCATGGGCATACTTTTAATTGGCTATAGTTGATTCTGCTAAACAGCTTCCTAAAAATATCAATTTATGCTTCCCTCATACACAATATGAGACTTGCACATATTGCTAATACTTGATGTTTTTATTTTTTGTAATTTTATATTTTAGCATATTTGTAGTAGAGTTGTATTTGAGGTTTTTCATTTCCTTTAATGCTAGTGATGTTGAGCACATTCTTATATGACTATTGGATACTTGGTGATCCTCATTTGAGAAGTACCTATTCACATTTTATATCCAATTTTATGTTAGTCTGTTTCTTAGTACTTAGTAGGATTTCTTTATATATTCTTTTTTTTTTTTTTTTTTTTTTTTTTGAGAGAGGGTCTCACTCTGTTGTCCAGGCTAGAGTGTAGTGGTGCAATCCTGGATCACTTTAGACTCAACCTCCTGGGCTCAAGAGATCCTCTCACTTCAGCCTCCAGAGTAGCTGGGGCTACAGGCATGAGCCATCATGCCCAGCTAATTTTTAATTTTTTTGTAGAGATAGGGTTTGGCCATGTTGCCCAGGCTTGTCTCCAACACCTGGACTCAAGTGATATGAATGAACTTCCATTTGCAATTGCTACAAAGAGAATAAAATACCTAGGAATACAGCTAACAAGGGAAGTGAAGAATGTCTTCAAGGGGAGCTACAAACTACTGCTCAAGGAAGTTAGAGAGAACACAAACAAATAAGAAAACATTCCATGCTCATGGATAGGAAGAATCAATAACGTGAAAATGATCATACTGCTCAAAGTAATTTACAGATTCAATGCTATTTCAGTTAAACTACCATTGACATTCTTCACAGGATTAGAAAAAAACTATTTTAAAATTTTTGCTAAGCAAAAAGAACACAACTGGAGATGTCATGGTACCTGACTTCAAACTATACTAGAAGGCTACAGTAGCCAAAACAGTATGGTACTGGTACAAAAACAGACATGTAGAGCAATGGAACAAAATAGAGAACTCAGAAATAAGACTGCACACCTAGAACCACCTGATCTTCAACAAACCTGACAAAAACAAGCAATGGGGAAAACATTCCCTCTTTAATAAATGGTGCTAGGAGAACTGCCTAGCCATATGCAGAAAATTGAAACAGGACCCCTTCCTTAGACCTTATAGAAAAATTAACTCGAGATGGATTAAAGACTTAAATGTAAAATCCAAAGCTGTAAAGGTCCTAGAAGAGACTCTAGGCAATACCATTCAGGACATAGGCAAGTGCAAAAATTTTATGGTGAAAATGCCAAAAGCAATTGCAACAAAAGCAAAAATTGACAAAACAGACATACTTAAACTAAAGAACTTCTGCATACCAAAAGAAACTATCATGAGGCCAGGTGCGGTGGCTTATGCCTGTAATCCCAGCTCTTGGGAGGCTGAGGCAGGTGGATCATGAGGTTGGGAGTTCAAGACCAACATGGCCAAGATGGCGAAACACTGTCTTTACTAAAAATACAAAAATTAGCTGGGCGTGGTGGTGGGCACCTGTAATCCCAGCTACTTGGGTGGCTGAGGCAGAGAATTACTTGAACCCAGGGACTAGAGGTTGCAGTTAGCTGAGATCACACCACTGCACTACACTACAGCCTGGGTGACAGAGACTCCGTCTCCCAAAAAAAAAAAAAAAAAAAAAAAAGAAAAAGAAAGAAAGAAACTATGATCAGAGCGAACAGACAACCTACAGAATGGGAGAAGATTTTTGCAATCTACCCATCTGACAAAGATCTAATATTCAGAGTCTACCATGAACTTAAACAAATGTACAAGAAAAAAAACAGGCAATCCCATTAAAAACTGGGCAAAGGACATGAACAGACAGTTCTCAAAAGAAGACATTCATGTGGCCAACAAGCATACGAAAAAAGCTCAACTTCACTGATTATTAGAGAAATGCAAGCCAAACCACAGGAAGATACCATCTCATGCAAGTCAGAATGGCAATTATTTAAAAAAATCAAGAAATAACAGATGCTGGAGAGGATGCAGAGAAAAGAAATGCTTTCACAGTTTTGGTGGGAGTATAAATTAGTTCAACCATTATGGAAGACAGTGTGGCAAATCCTCAAAGATATAGGATTTGCCTCATTTGACTCAGCAATTGCATTACTGGGTCTATTGCATTTTTCACTTCATTTATTGTATTTTTCAGCTCCAAAATTTGTTGTTTAAAATAATTTTAATCTCTCTGTTAAGTGTATTCATTTGATCATTTATTATTTTCCTTATTTCACTGAATTGTTTATCTGTTTTTTCTTGAAGTTTGCTGAGCTTTCTTAAAGCAATTATTTTAAATGGTCTGTGAGGCAGTTTATACATCTTTATTTCTTTGGGGTCAGCTACTGGGAGACTGTGTTATTTTGGTAGTATGTCTACTTAGTTGTTCATGTTCTTTACTGCCTTATGTTGATTTCTGTGCATTTGTAGAGCAGTCACCTATACTAGAATTTACAGACTAGTTTTTGTTGTATAAACACCTTTTCCTATGGGTAAAAAGGAGGTGCAAGAGTGTTTGCTAGGTGGGATGCAACAGCAGTTCTGGCATCACTGAGTGCACAGCTGTGCAGTCTCTTTGCAGCTCTGTCAGCTGGGTTTGGTACTGACAAAGATTACATGGATCCTCAGCATGCAACAGTGGGGATGTTTGTTGCAGTAGTGTGAGTTGTTGGGGTTTATGGTGGTAGTAGCTGCTAAGGTCTTCTTGATCCTGATGTTGTAGTGATGGAAGTTCTCTTGACACTGGATCCTACTTGCAAGCCCAAATGGCATTGGCACTGATGTCTGCTGAGTGGTACCTGTGGAGTGGCCATAGAAATGAAGCCTGAAATGTTGGGATTCACTCAGGATGGTGGCAGAAATATTAACGGGAAATATTAGGAAAAGTTATAAGAAATAGTCACAAACCTTTTGGAAGGCCGAAAGGTTACATAGCTTGTAATAATTGAACAGGCTGAAGGCAACCAGTTCTTACCTTAGAGCATTAGGTCATAGGGTAAATACTAGGGACAATAGAGGCTTCCCCAGTTAAGTCTGTTTACCCTACTTCCATTAACTAACCTTTGAGCCAGATGACCCTCTTGGGGGGAGGTCGACCAGGGATATTGCCCCCTAATAGTGTTTAGATGGCAGTACCTGAGCTTTAATCATTCCTAGAACTACTCTCTTAACCATGTTAATTATCCACAAGTGTGTCGACTCAGAGCTTTTGTTATTTATTGTATACTAAATAAATGCCTGGAGTGCGAACTGCTCAGGGCTGGCCGCAGTGACAAACCCCTCTTGGTGTGCAGGCAGTCGGACACTCAGCAGGACTGGCAAAAGAGATTATCTGTGTATCAGTGTAGGTTTTATTCATCTGTTGTTTGGGTCAGGGTCTGCGGGTGGACCCCCATAGCTAATGCCCTCCAGTGAGGAGCAATATCTCACTGAAGCACTGGTACTTGTGGAGGGTCTATGAATCCTGAATCTGAGGTGGTACTGGCATTGGTGGCTTGGGCACTGGCACCCTTGCTGTCTTGTTGGTAACAGTATGCAATGCATAGGTGCTTGTGAAGCAACTGTGGAGCTGAGCAGAGACATATGCAGAGATACAGGGCTCAGGTGCCCAGTTCTGTATGGTGGCTGTTGCCTGGAATATGGTCACATTCAAAGAGACCCTGGCTTCAGGGTCTGGAATATGAACTAGATTGCTATGGCAATGGCTTTGGTGTCTGATATGTGGGTATGTGCAGTGCAGCCCTAGATCCCAAGTCTGGAGTGTGGGCACTTGCAGGGCGGCTGCTACTCAAGGGTTGAGGGTTGGGAAAGATAGCGGTTCCATTCCTTTAGGGGCTCAACAGAGGCTGCCTTTGGAGGGGAAAGTGGTGTACAGCTGCATCTTTCTCTCTGAGGTTCCCCTGCAAGAATGACTGTTAGTTGTCTCTTGGATGTAAAAAGTAAAAAAGTAAAAGATGCCAGTGTTTTCTGTGGAGCAGGCCACTGGGGATGATGGTGGTTCCTGTACATGGCTGATACTAATAGTCTCTGCATTTCATTTTTGTTCCTAGCCATCTCTAGTTATCACAAATATACTGATCTCACCAGCAATCCTTTCTGTGTGAATATTCTCTATTTTGTGTGCTCTATTGCGTTGCTGCAGATTTTTTCTTGGTCCCTTGAGTCTTCTCAGGGTGATTTTGGTTTGTGGGTAGACATCTATATATGTTTTTTGTTTATGTATGTGTGTTTGCGGTGGGGCAGGTCAGCACGGATGAAGGCTGGTATCTCCTACTCTGTCATCTTGATGACATTACTCAGTCATTTCTTGTTTTACGTTGACAGAATTTCAGACATTGTGTATGAAAATTTGTAGTGATAACTTGATGCTCTGGGTGATATTATATTCCTCCTGAAATGATTTATTTTTGTTTTTGGTAGAATGTTAGTTTTGGTGAAGCTCACTTTAATATCATGTGATTGACCTGATTTGAGTCGGAGTATCCTTCTATTAGAGGTAGAGCCTATTTTCGTTCAACTTTACTGTTAGGATACAGCCCTTTTAAGGATCACAGCAGTAAGTCCTGGGTGTTTATAGTTACTCTTTACAATCTTTTGAGAGTAATGAAAGCTCTTCTCCACTTCTTAACCTCTAATTTGATGTTTGTGATTTAGAAAATGCCTCTGGGCAAAATGTTGTGCCAAAAGCCTGGGTTATCTCTTGGTTCCACTCTGGAAGCATGTCTCCTTAAATCCCAGATCTCCAGCCTTCAAACAAATGATATTTTTAAAAATTGGCTTCCTTTTGTTGTTCTTTGTAGGAGGCTTTGATTGCAGGAAGCTAGTCCTTAACTGCTGGAAATTGACACCCTTTTATTTCCATATTTAAAAATTAAAACATTTAAAAACATTTTTAATGTTATATCATAGTTGTACATATTTTTGAAGTACATGTGATATTTTGATACATGTAAACAGTGTGTAATAAAATCAGGGTAATTAGGATGTTCATACATCAATAATTTATCTTTTCTTTGTTAGGAACATTACATTTCTTCTAGCTATTTGAAATATATAGTAAACTATTGTTCACTTTAATTTCCCTACTGTACTATCAAATACCAGAACTTATTCCTTCTATCTAATTGTATTTTTTACCTATTAATGAAACTCTCTTCATCACCCCCTCCTCCCTTCTTTTTCCAGCCTCTGCTAAACACTGTTCTATTCTCTACCTCAATGAGATAAACTTTTTTAGCTTCCACATATGAGTGAGAACATTCAGTATTTGTTTTTTGGTGCCTGGCTTATTTCCCTTAACGTAATGACCTCCAGTTCTTCCATGTTGTTGCAAGTGACAAAACTTCACTCTTTTTTATGGCTAAATAATATTCCATTTTGTATACATACCACATTTTAAAATTCATTTATCCATTAATGGACACTTTGGTTGATTCCATATCTTTGCTATTATGAAAAGTGCTGCAATAAAGATGAGAGAATAGATATTTCTTTCATACACTAATTTCCTTTCTTTTGGATATATACCCAGCAGTGGGATTGCTGGATCATATGGTAGTTCTATTTTTAGTTTTTTGAGGAACCTCCTTAATGTCTTCCATAATGGTTGTATTATTTCACATTCTTTCCAATGATGTACAGGCATTCCCCTTTCTCTGCATTCCCACCAACATTTGTTATTTTTTGTCTTTTTGATAATAGCCATTCTAACTAGGGTGAGATGATAGCTCATTGTGATTTTGACTTTTATTTCCCTGATTATTAGTAATGTTGAGCATTTTAAAAATATGCCTGTTGAGTATTTGTATGTCTTCTCTTGAGGAATGTCTATTTAGGTCTTTTAACCATTTTTAAATTAGATTAGTTGGGCTTTCTGCTATTGAGTTGCTCAAGTTCCTTATATATTCTGGTTATTAATCCCCTGTGTGGAAGAAGAGACTGTGAATATTTTCTCCTAGTGTGCAGATTGTTGATTGTTTCCTGTGTTGTGCAGAAGCTTTTTAGTTTGATGTAATCTTATTTGTCTATTTTTGCTTTGGTTGTCTGTGCTTTTGAAGTCTTACCCAAAAAACTTTGCCCAGACCAAGGTCCTGTAGTGTTTTCCCCCCAATGTTTTCTTCTACTAGTTTCAGAGTTTGAGGACTTATATTTAAATATTTAATCTATTTTGAGTTGCTTTTTTGCACATGGTGAGAGGCGGATCTAGTTTCATTCCGCTGCATATGGATATTGATTTTTCTGAGCATCATTTATTAAAGAGAATGTCCTCTTCCCATTGTGTATTCTTGGCATCCTGGTTGAAAATGAGTTGGCTGTAAGTGTATGGATTTATTTCTGGATTCACTATTTTGTTCCATTGGTCTCTGTATCTATTTTCATGCCAGTACGATGCTGTTTTGGTTACTATACTTTTGTAGTAGAATTTAAAATCATGTAGTGTGATGCCTCCAACTTTGTTCTTTTTGCTCAGGATTACTTTAGCTATTCAGGATATTTTGTAGTTTCATATGAATTTTTGGATTTTTTTCTATTTATGTGAAAAATGTCATTGGTATTTTGTTAGGGATTGCATTGAGTCTGTAGATTTCTTTGGGTAGTATAGACGTCTTAACAATATTAATCATTTTAATCCATGATTATGAGATATCTTATTATCTTTTGTGTTCTCTTACATTTCTTTCATTAGAGTTTTATAGTTTTCCTTGTACAGATCTTTCACTTCTTTGGTTAAATTTATTCCTAGGTATTTTTTTTTAAATTGTAGCTATTGTAAATGGGATTGCTTTCTTTTTTTTATTATACTTTAATTTCCAGGATACATGTGCACAACGTGCAGCTTTGTTACATATGTATGCATGTGCCATGTTGGTGTGCTGCACCCATTAACCCGTCATTTATATTAGGGATTTCTGCTAATGCTATCCCTTCCCGAGCCCCCCACCCCATGACAGGCCCCGGCGTGTGATGTTCCCCACCCTGTGTCCATGTGTTCTCATTGTTCAATTCCCACCTATGAGTGAGATCATGCGGTGTTTGGCTTTCTGTCCTTGTGATAGTTTGCTCAGAATGATGGTTTCCAGCTTCATCCATGTCCCTACGAAGGACCTGAACTCATCCTTTTTTATGGCTGCATAGTATTCCATGGTACATATGTGCCACATTTTCTTAATCATCTATCATTGATGGACATTTGGGTTGGTTCCAAGTCTTTGCTATTGTGAATAGTGCTGCAATAAACATATGTGTGCATGTGTCTTTATAGTAGCATGATTTATAATCCTTTGGGTATATACCCAGTAATGGGATGGCTGGGTCAAATGGTATTTCTAGTTCTAGATCCTTGAGGAATTGCCACACTGTCTTCCGCAATGGTTGAACTAGTTTACACTCCCACCAACAGTGTAAAAGTGTTCCTGTTTCTCCACATCCTCTCCAGCACCTGTTGTTTCCTGACTTTTTAATGATCGCCATTCTAACTGGTGTGAGATGGTATCTCATTGTGGTTTTGATTTGCATTTCTCTGATGGCCAGTGATGATGAGCATTTTTTCATGTGTCTTTTGGCTGCATAAATGTCTTCTTTTGAGAAGTGTCTGTTCATATCCTTCACCCACTTTTTGATGGGGTTGTTTGATTTTTTCTTGTAAATTTGTTTAAGTTCTTTGTAGATTCTGGATATTAGCCCTTTGTCAGATGGGTAGATTGCAAAAATTTTCTCCCATTCTGTAGGTTGCCTGTTCACTCTGATGGTAGTTTCTTTTGCTGTGCAGAAGCTCTTTAGTTTAATTAGATCCCATTTGTCAATTTTGTCTTTTGTTGCCATTGCTTTTGGTGTTTTAGACATAAGTCCTTGCCCATGCCTGTGTCCTGAATGGTATTGCCTAGGTTTTCTTCTAGGGTTTTTATGGTTTCAGGTCTAACATTTAAGTCTTTAATCCATCTTGAATTAATTTTAGTATAAGGTGTGAGGAGGGGATCCAGTTTCAGCTTTCTACATATGGCTAGCCAGTTTTCCCAGCACCATTTATTAAATAGGGAATCCTTTCCCCATTTCTTGTTTTTGTCAGGTTTGTCAAAGATCACATGGTTGTAGATGTGTGGTATTATTTCTGAGGGCTCTGTTCTGTTCCATTGATCTATATCTCTGTTTTGGTACCAGTACCATGCTGTTTTGGTGACTGTAGCCTTGTAGTATAGTTTGAAGTCAGGTAGCGTGATGCTTCCAGCTTTGTTCTTTGGCTTAGGATTGACTTGGCAATACGGGCTCTTTTTTGGTTCCATATGAACTTTAAAGTAGTTTTTTCCAATTCGGTGAAGAAAGTCATTGGTAGCTTGATGGGGATGGCATTGAATCTATAAATTACCTTGGCAGAATGGCCATTTTCACAATATTGATTCTTCCTATCCATCAGCATGGAAGGTTCTTCCATTTGTTTGTATCCTCTTTTATTTCCTTGAGCAGTGGTTTGTAGTTCTCCTTGAAGAGGTCCTTCACATCTCTTGTAAGTTGGATTCCTAGGTATTTTATTCTCTTTGAAGCAGTTGTGAATGGGAGTTCACTCATGATTTGGCTGTCTGTCTGTTATTGGTGTATAGGAATGCTTGTGATTTTTGCAGATTGATTTTGTGTCCTGAGACTTTACTGAAGTTGCTTATCAGCTTAAGGAGATTTTGGGCTGAGATGATGGGGTTTTCTAAATATACAATCATGTCATCTGCAAACAGGGACAATTTGACTTCCTCTTTTCCTAATCGAATACCCTTTATTTCTTTATCCTGCCTAATTGCCCTGGCCAGAACTTCTAACACTATGTTGAATAGGAGTGGTGAGAGAGGGCATCCCTGTGTTGTACCAGTTTTCAAAGGGAATGCTTCCAGTTTTTTCCCATTCAGTATGATACTGGCTGTGGTTTTGTCATAAATAGCTCTTATTATTTTGAGATACGTCCCATCAATATCTAGTTTATTGAGAGTTTTTAGCATGAAGGGCTGTTGAATTTTGTCGAAGGCCTTTTCTGCATGTATTGAGATAATCATGTGGTTTTTTGTCTTTGGTTCTGTTTATATGATGGATTACTTTTATTGATTTGTGTATATTGAACCAGCCTTGCGTCCCAGGGATGAAGCCAACTTGATCGTGATGGATAAGCTTTTTGATGTGCTCCTGGATTCAGTTTGCCAGTATTTTATTGAGGATTTCTGCATTGATGTTCATCAGGGAGATTGGTCTAAAATTCTCTTTTCTTGTTGTGTCTCTGCCAGGCTTTGGTATGAGGATGATGCTGGCCTCATAAAATGAGTTAGGGAGGATTCACTCTTTTTTTATTGATTGGAATAGTTTCAGAAGGAATGGTACCAGCTCCTCTTTGTACCTCTGGTAGAATTCGGCTGTGAATCCGTCTGGTCCTGGACTTTTTATGGTTGGTAGGCTATTAATTATTGCCTCAATTTCGGAGCTTGGTGTTAGTCTATTCAGGGATTTAACTTCTTCCTGATTTAGTGTTGGGAGGGTGTATGTGTCCAGGAATTTATCCATTTCTTCTAGATTTTCTAGTTTATTTGCATAGAAGTGTTTATAGTATTCTCTGATGGTAGTTTGTATTTCTGTGGGATCAGTTTGTATTTCTGTGGGATCAGTGGTGATATCCCATTTATCATTTTTTATTGCATCTATTTGATTCTTCTCTCTTTTCTTCTTTATCAGTCCTGCTAGTGGTCTATCAATTTTGTTGATCTTTTCAAAAAACCAGCTCCTTGATTCATTGATTTTTTTGAAGGATTTTCTGTGTCTCTATCTCCTTCCATTCTGCTCGTCTCAGTTTTTCTTGCCTTCTGCTAGCTTTTGAATGTGTTTGCTCTTGCTTCTCTAGTTCTTTTAATTGTGATGTTAGGGTGTTGATTTTAGATATTTCCTGCTTTCTCTTGTGGACACTTAGTACTATAAATTTCCCTCTACATGCTGCTTTAAATGTGTCCCAGAGATTCTGGTAAGTTGTGTCTTTGTTCTCGTTGGTTTCAAAGAACATCTTTATTTCTGCCTTCATTTCGTTATGTACCCAGTAGTCATTCAGGAGCAGGTTGTTCAGTTTCCATGTAGTTGTGCGGTTTTGAGTGAGTTTCTTAATCCTGAGTTCTAGTTTGATTGCACTGTGGTCTGAGAGACAGTTTGTTATAATTTCTGTTCTTTTACATTTGCTGAGGAGCGCTTTACTTCCAACTATGTGGTCAACTTTGGAATAAGTTCAATGTGGTGCTGAGAAAAATGTATATTCTGTTGATTTAGGGTGGAGAGTTTGGTAGATGTCTATTAGGTCCACTTGGTGCACAGCTGTATTCAATTCCTGGATATCCTTGTTAACTTTCTGTCTCATTGATCTGTCTAATGTTGACAGTGGGGTGTTAAAGTCTCCCATTATTATTGTGTGGGAGTCAAAGTCTCTTTGTAGGTCTCCAAGGACTTGCTTTATGAATCTGGGTGCTCCTGTATTGGGTGCATATGTATTTAGGATAGTTAGCTCTTGTTGAATTGATCCCTTTACCATTATGTAATGGCTTTATCTCTTTTGATCTTTGTTGGTTTAAAGTCTGTTTTATCAGAGACTAGGATTGCAATCCCTGCTTTTTTTGTTTTCCATTCGCTTGGTAGATCTTCCTCCATCCTTTTATTTTGAGCCTCTATATGTCTCTGCACATGAGATGGGTTTCCTGAATACAGCACATTGATAGGTCTTGACTCTATCCAATTTGCCAGTCTGCATCTCTTAATTGGGGCATTTATCCCATTTGCATTTAAGGTTAATATTGTTATGTGTGAATTTGACCCTGTCATTATGATGTTAGCTGGTTATTATGCCCGTTAGTTGATACAGTTTCTTCCTAGCATCCATGGTCTTTACAAATTGGCATGTTTTCACAGTGGCTGGTACCAGTTGTTCCTTTCCATGGTTAGTGCTTCCTTCAGGACCTCTTGTAAGGCAGGCCTGGTGGTGACAAAATCTCTCAGCATTTGCTTGTCTGTAAAGGCTTTTATTTCTCCTTCACTTATGAAGCCTAGTTTGGCTGGATATGAAATTCTGGGTTGAAAATTCCTTTCTTTAAGAATGTTAAATATTGGCCCCCACTCTCTTCTGGCTTGTAGAGTTTCTGCCGAGAGCCCATCTTAGTCTGATGGGCTTCCCTTTGTGGGTAACCTGACCTTTCTCTCTGGCTGCCCTCAACATTTTTTCCTTCATTTCAGCCTTGGTGAATTTGACAATTATGTGTCTTGGGGTTGCTCTTCTTGAGGAATATCTTTGTGGCGTTCTCTGTATTTCCTGAATTTGGATGTTGGCCTGCCTTGCTTGGTTGTGGACTTTCTCCCAGATAATATCCTGAAGAGTGTTTTCCAATTTGGTTCCATTCTCCCCATCACTTTCAGATACACCAGTCAAACGTAGATTTGGTCTTTTCACATAGTCCCATATTTCTTGGAGGCTTTGTTTGTTTCTTTTTACTCTTTTTTCTCTCAACTTCTCTTCTCGCTTCATTTCATTAATTTGATCTTCAATCACTGATACCCTTTCTTCCACTTGATCAAATTGGCGAGGTAATTCTCGTGCCATGGTTTTCAGCTCCATCAGGTCATTTAAGGTCTTCTCTACACTGTTTATTCTAGTTAGCCATTCGTCTAATCTTTTTTCAAGGTTTTTAGCTTCCTTGCGATGGGTTCGAACATCCTCCTTTAGCTCAGAGGTTTATTATTATTAATCTTCTGAAGCCTACTTCTGTCAACTTGTTGAAGTCATTCTCCATCCAGCTTTGTTCTGTTGCTGGCAAGGAGCTGCGATCCTTTGGAAGAGAAGAGGCGCTTTGATTTTTAGAATTTTCAGCTTTTCTGCTCTGGTTTCTCCCTATCTTTTTGGTTTTATCTACCTTTGGTCTTTGATGATGGTGACCTACAGATGGGATTTTGGTGTGGATGTCCTTTTTGTTGATGTTATTCCTTTCTGTTTGTTAGTTTTCCTTCTAACAGTCAGGACCCTCAGCTGCAGGTCTGTTGGAGTTTACTGGAGGTCCACTCCAGATCCTGTTTGCCTGGGTATCACCAGCAGAGGCTGCAGAACAGCAAACGTTGCAGAACAGCAAATGTTGCTGCCTGATCTTCCTCTGGAAGCTTCATCTCAGAGGGCACCCCACTGTATGAGGTGCCTAACTGGGAAGTGTCTCCCAGTTAGGCTACTCGGGGGTCAGGGACCCACTTGAGGAGGCAGTCTATCTGTTCTCAGATGTCAAACTCCATTCTTGGAGAACAACTGCTCTCTTCAAAGCTGTCAGACAGGGACATTTAAGTCTGCAGAAGTTTCTGCTGCCTTTTGTTCAGCTATGCCCTGCCCCCAGAAGTGGAGTCTACAGAGGCAGGCAGGCCTCATTGAGCTGCAGTGGGCTCCACCCAGTTCGAGCTTCCAGGTTGCTGTTTTTACCTAGTCAAGCCTCAGCAATGGCAGATGCCCCTCCCCCCAGCCTCGCTGCCACCTGTCAGTTCAATCTCGGACTGCTATGCTAGCAGTGAGCAAGGTTTCATGGGCATGGGACCTGCCAAGCCAGGAGCGGGATATAATCTGGTGTGCTGTTTGTTATGACTGTTGGAAAACCGCAGTATTAGGGCAGGAGTGTCCCAATTTTCCAGGTACAGTCTGTCATGGCTTCTCTTGGCTAGGAAAGGGAATTCCCTGACCCCTTGCACTTCCCAGGTGAGGCGATGCCCTGCCCTGCTTCGGCTCACACTCCATGGGCTGCACCTACTGTCCAACAAGTCCTGGTGAGATGAACCCAGTACCTCAGTTGGAAATGCAGAAATCACCCGTCTTCTGCATCGCTCATGCTGGGAGCTGTAGACTGGAGCTGTTCCTATTTGGCCATCTTGGAAAGATCTCGGGATCACTTTCTTGATTTATTTTTTGGATTGATTGCTGTTTGCATGTAGAAACACTATTGATTTTTTGTATGTGTTGATTTTATATCCTGCAAATTTACTGAATTCGTTTATCAGTCCTGTGAGTTTTTTCATGGAGTATTTATATTTTTCTAAATATAGGATCATGTCATCTGGAAAAAAAGATAATTTGACTTCTTCCTTTCCAATCTGGGTGCCCTTTATTTCTTTCTCTTGCCTAATTGCTCTGGCTAGCAATTCCAGTACTATTTTGAATACAAGTGGTGAAAATGGGCATCTTTGCCTTGTTACAGATCTCAGTGGGAAGGCTTTCAGTTTTTCTTTGTTCAGTATGAGATTAGCTGTGGGCTTGTCATATGTGTCCTTTATCATGTGCAGGTATGTTCCTTCTATACCAGTTTGTTGAGGGTTTTTATCATGAAGGGATGTTGAATTTTACTGAATGTTTTTTAAGCCTGTATTGAAATGATCATATAGTTTTTGTCCTTTATTCTGTTGATACGATTGAGCACATATACTGATTTGTACATGTTGAACCATTTTTGCATCTCTAGGTTTAATTCCAATAGATCATGATAAATAATCTCTCTTAGTATGTTGTTCAGATTGCTAGTATTTTGTTGAGGATTTTTGCATCTATGTTCATTAGGGATATTGGCCTGTAGTTTTTGTTGTGTTCTTGTTCGGTTTTGGTATCAGAGTAATTCTAGCCTTATAAATGAGTTGAATACTATTCTCTCCTCTTTAATTTTTTGAAATTTAAAATTTTAGTAGAGTTGATATTAGTTCTTCTTCCAATGTTTGGTAGACTTTAACAGTGAATCTGTCAGATCCTGGGCTTTTCTTTGATGGGAGACTGATTATAACTGCTTTGATCTTGTTACTCATTATTGGTATGTTCAGATTTTCTATTTCTTCATAGTTCAATCTTGGTAGGTTGTATGTGTCCAGAAATTTATCCATTTCTTCTAGATTATCCAAGTTATTGGCACATAGTTGCTCATAATAGTCTCTAATGATCCTTTGTACTTCTTTGGTTTCAGTTGTAATGTTTCCTTTTTCTTCTCCAATTTTATTCATTTGGGGCTTCTCTTTTTTATTCTCCTTTTTATTCTAACTAAAGATTTGCCAATTTTGTTTTATCTTTTCAAAATTCAACTTTTCATTTTGCTGATCTTTTGTATTGTTTTTTGGTCTCAATTTCACTTATTTCTGCTCTGATCTTCTAAAAATGTCTTTCTACTAATTTCAGGGTGGTTTATTCTTGCTTTTATAGTTTCTTGAGGTGCACTGTTAGGTTGCTTATTTGAAATTTATTTAATGTAGCTATTTATTCGTATAAACTTCCCTCTTAGTACACTTTTTCTGTATCCCATAGATGCTGGTGTGTTTTGTTTCCATTTTCATTTGTTTCAAAAGTATTTAAAATTCCTTCTTAATTTCTTCCTTGACCCATTGGTTGTTTGAGGATATATTGTTTAATTTTCATGTATTTGTACAGTTTCCCAAGTTTCACTTGTTCTTGATTTCTAGTTTTATTCCATTGTGGTCGGAAAAGACACCTGATACAATTTTTACTTTTTTGAATTTGTTGAGACTTATTTTGTTGCTAAAATATGGTCTATCCTGGAGGTTATTCCATTTGCTGATGAGAAGAATGTGTATTCTGCAGCAGTTGGGTAGAATGTTCTCTAAATGTCTGTTAGGTCGAATTCATGTGTAGTTTAACTACAATATTTCTTTGTTGATATTCTGCATGGATGATCTGTCCACCACCAAAAGTGTGTTGTTGAAGTCCCTAACTATTATTGTATTATAGTATATCTCTCATTTCAAATCTGTTAATATTTGCTGATATATTTGGGTGCTCTGGTGTTGGGTGCATACATATTTACTATTGTTATCTCCTATTGTTGAAGTGACCCCTTTATCAATTATACAATGGCCTTTTTGCCTTTTTGTATAATTTTTTTATTTTTTATTATTTTTTTAATTTTATTATTATTATACTTTTAAGTTTTAGGGTACATGTGCACAATGTGCAGGTTAGTTACATATGTATACATGTGCCATGCTGGTGTGCTGCACCCATTATCTCGTCATTTAGCATTAGGTATATCTCCTAATGCTATCCCTCTCCCCTCCCCCCACCCCACAACAGTCCCCAGAGTGTGATGTTCCCCTTCCTGTGTCCATGTGTTCTCATTGTTCAATTCCCACCTATGAGTGAGAACATGCGGTGTTTGGTTTTTTGTCCTTGTGATAGTTTACTGAGAATGATGATTTCCAATTTCATCCATGTCCCTACAAAGGACATGAACTCATCATTTTTTATGGCTGCATATATTCCATGGTGTATATGTGCCACATTTTCTTAATCCAGTCTATCATTGTTGGACATTTGGGTTGGTTCCAAGTCTTTGCTATTGTGAATAGTGCCGCAATAAACATGCGTGTGCATGTGTCTTTATAGCAGCATGATTTATAGTCCTTTGGGTATATACCCAGTAATGGGATGGCTGGGTCAAATGGTATTTCTAGTTCTAGATCCCTGAGGAATCGCCACACTGACTTCCACAATGGTTGAACTAGTTTACAGTCCCACCAACAGTGTAAAAGTGTTCCTGTTTCTTCACATCCTCTCCAGCACCTGTTGTTTCCTGACTTTTTAATGATTGCCATTCTAACTGGTGTGAGATGGTATCTCATTGTGATTTTGATTAGCATTTCTCTGATGGCCAGTGATGGTGAGCATTTTTTCATATGTTTTCATGTGTTTTTCATGTGTTTTCATAATTTTTGACTTAAAGTCTATTTTATATTATCTAAGCATAGCTACTCCTGTTCATGTTTGGTTTGCCTTTGCATGGGATATCTTTTTCCATCCCTTCACTTTCAATCTGCATGCATCTTTATAAGTGAAGTGAATTTCTTATATGCAGCATATAGTTGGGTTCTGTTTTTAATTCATGCAGCCACTCTTTGTCTTTTAATTGGATAATTTAATTTACTTAATAACAGTGTTATTATTGATAGGTAAGTCCTTACTACTGCCATTTTGCTACTTGTTTTATAGTTGTTGTGTAACTTTTCTCTTCCTTTCATACTGTTTTCCTTTGTATGTAAGTGGTTTTCTCTGGTAGCATTGTTTTAATTCATTGCTTTTAATTTTTAGGATATCAGTGATAGGTTTTTACTCTGTGGTTTCCATGACGCTTATATAAAGCATCTTATAGCCATAGCAAGTTGTTTAAAACTGTCACCAACTGAACTGATTGCACATAACATGAAGAAAAAAACAACCCTGTACACATTAACTTCCTTCTCTCCCCACATTTTGAATTTTTGAAGTCACAATTTACTGTGTAAAAAATAATGCTGGTTTAAAATAGTTGTATTTTATACCTTCAGGATTTCTGTTTCATTTTAATTATTTTAATCTCTCTTAAAATTTCTATGATAAATATTGCCTATTTAAAATAGGCAATATTTTTATTTTTAATAGTTTAAAATATTCTTATTTTTAATAGTTTTGTCTTTTAGTCTTCTTACTAAAGATATAAATGGTTTAAACACCACAATCACAATAACAGTGTAACAATCACCTTAGCATTCTATTCTTTGGGTTTGAAGAACTTCCATTAGCACTTCTTGTTGGACAGGTCTAGTAACAATATGTTTCCTCAGCTTTTGTTTGTCTGTTAAAGCTTTTTCTTTCTCCTTCGTTTCTGAAGGATAGCTTTGTTGGGTACAGTGTTCTTGTCTGGCATTTTCTTTAGCACTCTGGATATATTGTTTTACTCCCTCCTGGCCTGTAAAATTTCTGCTAAGAAGTCTGCTGCTGCCACGTGTATTGGATCTCCCTTATATTTTCTTTCTTTTCTCTTGCTGCTTTTTGAATCCTCTCTTTGTCTTTTACCTTTTAGTGTTTTTGTATGTCTTGGGGTGTTCCTATTTGTGTTGAATCTGATTGATGACCTTTAACCTTTCTGCACCTGGATATTTATATCTTTCTTCAGGTTTAGAAAGTTTATGTTATTGTTTATTTGAATAAGCTTTCTACCCCTTTGCCTTTTTCAATTCCCTCTTTAACTCCAATAACCTGAATATGTTCTCCTTTAATGTTGTCTCATAGGTCCTGTAAGCTTTCTTTATTCTTTTTCATTCTTTTTTCTCCTGACTGTATATTTTCAAATAATCTGTCTTTGAGCTCACTGATTATACTGTTTGATCACTTCTGCTGTTTATGCTCACTATTGCGTTTTTCATTTCATTCATTGTATTTTATACCTTCAGGATTTCTGTTTGATTTTAATTATTTCAATCTCTCTTAAAATTTCTATGATAAATTTCTAAATGGATTCTCTATGTTCCTTAAAGTTCATTGAGCTTCCCTACAGCAGCTTTTTTGAATTCTTTGTATGAGAGATCACACATCTCCATCATTTTAAGTTTGGTCTCTGCTGCCTTATTTTGTCCATTTGTTGAGGTCATATTTCCCTAAATGTTATTGATGCTTGTGGAAGTGTGACAATATCCCTGCATTGAGGGATTAGGTATTTATTTCATTCTTCACAGACTGGCTTTGTTTATGCCTGTCCTTTAGAGGGATTTCCAGGGATTCTAAGCTGACTTACTGTTGTTTTCCCAAAGCCTGTGACCACTGCAGCTGTCTCAGCATTATAAGACACCCTAAGCCCAGGCTTACTGTGAACCTCTTGAAGGCTTCAAGGTTGACACAGTTTTCTGACCCAGATGGACCTGGGAAAGACTCAAGAAGGGTACTGGGGTTGTGTGAAAATGCTGAATGACTGTCCCAGTGGCCCAGATAGGCACATACCTCCTAGCAAGTCTCTGTACAGGTGGGCTGTGTCCCCAAGTGCAGCAAGAGTAGCAAAAGGCCTGGGCCCTTTTGGGAGCTGCTGTGAGAAGGAGGCTAGTGAGCCCATGTCAGTTCAGATAAGCATGCATCATCCGGCAGATTCCTGCACAAGTGGGCTAGTTTCTTGACTGCTACAGGAAGGGCCAGAGCTGAGATTGGTCCCCTTCAAGATCTGCTGTGAAACAGAGGCTGGCATGCTGGTATAGCTACCTTACTGTAGCAGGAGAGTTTTGAGCTGAGATTGGGCCCACTTGGGATTTTCAGTGAGACAGAGGATGAGGAGGTCAATCTCAGTGTAGAGGGGTACATGCCACCCAGCAAGTTCCTGCACAGATAGGATAGTTCCTCACCTCTGCAGTGAGAGGGGCCAGAGCTGAGATTGGGCCCCTCAGGATCTGCTGTGTGATAAAGGTTATAGAGCCCAGTCTTGTTGGCTCAGAGGGCACATGTCTCACAGGAGGACCCTGCAAAAATGGGATAGTTCCTTGACTGCAGCAGAAGGGACTGGAGCTGAGACTGGGCTCCTTTGGGATCTCCTATGTGATGTAGGATGGAAAGCCCATCTTGTTGGCCCAGACAGGTACTCATTTCCCAGCAGATCTCAGCACAGATGGGATAGTTTCTCAACTGCAGTGAGAGGCACTGGAGCTGAGAGTGGACCCCCTTGGGATATGCTGTGGGACAGAGGTTGGCAAGCCCATCACGGAGGCTCAGATTTCCGGGTTACAAGAGATGAGTGAGTCTCCCTTTGGGGTTCTTGTGTGAGTAGCTCTGAGCTGGGATCTCAGCTAAGGAAGGCGGAAGCAGAGCCACAGTGCACTTTTCAGGGTCCCTGCCAAGATCAATGTCAGCAGGCAGACAAGCCTTTCCACCAAGCCATTGGTGTGCATGATTCCTTCTAGAACCCTTGGCAGATGGTTTTGGTTGTAAGCTCAAAGCCAAATGAGACTTTAAACAAGCCCCTTCAAGGACTAGGACATTACTGGGCTTGAATCTACAAGAAATCTTGGCAAATCAGCCACTCGGGTGTTGGTCTGCACTCTAAAAATGATTCTCCTGGGTCTTGGGCTCCACTGGGTATTTGACAAACTGCTACCTGAATCCCGAGGCTCCTGCAGAGAGACTTTTGACTTGGAATGGGTACAGAATTGTTGTTGTTCTGGGAGATATGATTAGGTTATTTTCTAGTCTGCCATCGTGGTGACGTCACCCCTCAATATTTTTAATTACCATCAAAATCAATCAGTTTATAGCTGATCTTTCCTCTGTCTCCAGATTTGTATTTTCAACTGTTTAATTGACGTCTCTACTTTGATGTTCTCTAGTTATCTCAAACTCAACTTATCCTAATAGAATTGATCATTTTTTCCAATTCTGTTATGTCTTATATGCTTTATATCACTGTAGGTTTTATCTAATCCAGAAACTAGGGGATTATTTTAGATTCCTTCACACTTCATGTTTAATCAGCCAGTCAGGCTAAAACTTACCACTTTTCACTGCTTCTCTGAATCACTACAATAATTATCCATTTTTCCCTCCCACAATCTAGTTGCTTTAATCAAATTTATACTTTCTAATGCATTTTCCCATATTTCATACTTTTTTCAATGTAAATCCAAGCCTATAATTTTCCTGTTGAACTACTTGCCAATGGCCTCTTACTGTCTGCAAGATTTAGTTCAATACTTTAGTATTAACTCTTTGATGATTTGACTTCTTTATTATCTGGCCTCCCCCGATCTCTCCAGCTTTCATTCTTGACTTCCTCCTCCCTGTCATTAAATTTTAATATATTTATTTTAGCTGTGATCTCTCCCACATTTCTAATAACCTAAAGTCTTCTATTCAAAATGTCTTCCTACCTTTCTGTTTGGTAAACTACTAATCCCCTGCTCAGGGGTCTTTCATAAAGCTTTATTACTCTTATTTCACATCTGAAGGATTATTTCTTCTGTCTTATTTCTACTTTTTTATACTCTGTTTATATGTCATACATAGTCTTAACTTGGTAGCTGTTTGTTTCCTCCCCTAAAATAAGTCTCCTTGTCATCAGGTACCTTATTAATTGTTGATACTCCAGAGCTTAAGATATTATTCATTGGCATACAGTAGACAATCTGAAAAAAAATGAGATAAGTGCTGAAATTCTTAGAATCAAGTAACCTTAGTTTGCAGTGTTAGATAACAATTAGTGAAACATCTTTCTGAAGTAATATTCCATATTAGAAGAGAGGGTGAATTGAATTCAGAACCGATTTCTAGAAAATTCTCCTTATTGTGGACAGTCTGTCTGCTTTGAAAAGCAGTTGAACAGGTGATCCAAACAATGATAAGAAGAAAGAAGCAAGGGGAAAGAAAGATAAGAAAGATAGCAGATATGTTCAGGGCAGAAAGGAACTTTAAATAAGGAGAAGAGAAGTCAAAGAACAATGAAGGAAATATGAATTAGAGGCCTTTTGATTCATACTTTGATAGAAGCTAGTTAAAGTAGAAGAACTCAGACTGTAAAATGTGCTTTCTGCTTGTATGGACATAAGTATTTAAAGTTTTCCTGTGAATTATACGACATCATGGCCCAAGTCTTTATAGCCTTCACTCTAGAGATAATAATGAATCTTTTTTACAGTCTCTTACAAAAGCTTTATTATGGAGAGTTGACAGCTATTCAGCGTACCTAGATAACACATTCATCCTGTAATAATCTCATATTTAAATAGGGAAAAACTTTCCTTGCAGCCTAGAAAAATATAAGCAGAGACATTTTTGAATGAGGAGAAAAATTCACCTTGTTTGTATTTTATTTTGCACAAAATCTGTAGGCTTCGTAACTGCTTTGTTATACAGAGATATCATTAGGACCCACACCAGGCATCAGCAACAGCAAAATTCTCATATTTCTAGGGTTTTTAAGGAGTGCTCTCAGCTTCCTCAGTAACAGATGTAAGATCATTTTGTCTTCGAAACTGGAAAAAAAGTAACCTCTTACAAATCATATCATGTTTCTTAATATTATACAACTAATAAATAGATCTTTTTCTTAAAAAATACAGGTAATACTGATATTTATAGAGTGAAATCTTAAAGTATCCTATTTCTGTCCCATTCCTATTTCAACCTTATTTCTTTCTTCCTTTCTTTCTCTTTCTCTTTCTTTCTTTCTTCCCTTCCTCCCTTCCTCCCTTTCTTCTTTCTTTCTCTTTCTTTCTTTCCTTTTTCTTTCTTTCTTTCTCTTTTTCTTTCTCCTTCCTTCCTTCCTTTCTTTCTTTCCTTCCTCCCTTCCTCCCTTTCTTCCCTTTCTTCTTTCTTTCTCTCTCTCTCTTTTTCCTTCCTACATTCCTTCCTTCCTTGGGTTTTTTTTTTTTTTCAAGGTCTTGTTCTGTTTTCAAGGTCATGTCGCCCAGGCTGGAGTGCAGTGGTGCGATCTCGGCTCACTGCAACCACCTCTCTTTCAGGTTCAGACTCAAGAGATTCTCATGCCCCAGCCACCCGAGTAGTTAGGATTACAGGCCTGTGCCACCATGCCTGGCTAATTTTTTTGTATTTTTAGTAGAGACGGGGTTTCACCATGTTGACCAAGCTGATCTTGAACTCCTGGCCTCAAGTGATCCTCCTGCTTCAGACTCCCAAAGTGTTATGATTACAGGTGTGAGCCACCATGCCCAGCCTTCAACCTACTTTCTTAATTTCTGTTGGATCACTTGTATCTTTTGGTGTACCTTCAAACTTTTATAATAAAAATAACCATAGTCTTCTTGAACATAAATCTTAATAGATGCCAGCACCCTAGCCTCTCATGACATTTCTCAACCATTACCTATTCCTTCCCTTCAAGGTAATGGTCATTTTGACTTTTAGATAAGGTCAATTTTTTTTCTAGTTTCATGAACTAAGCTTCATCCCTAAACACTATAGGTTAGCTTTAGTTTTACCTGGTTTCAAACTTCATATGAATGGATTTTTTTACAAGTATGCATTCTTTTGAGTTTTTATACTCAACATTTTATTTGTAAGATCCATCCATGATGTTAAGTGCAGGTATAGTTGCTTTTAATCACCATGTCAAATTTGAATGAAGTAATACACCTCAACTTATTCATCACTCACCCACCTGTGTTGTTTCCACTTTGGGACTACTATGAATAATACTGCTCTCTATATATTCCTGGAAGTTTATCTTAATGCATAAGCGCAAACATTTCTGTTGGTTATATACCAAAGACTTAAATTACTGATCATAGGGTATGCACATTTTAATTTTTAGTAGGTAATGCCCAAAAGGTTTTAAAAATTGTTGCAATAACTTATATTTCAACTAGGAGTTTGAGAGATATTTCTTTTATCTACAATCTTTGCTATCAGTTGGCATTGTCAATAGTTTGAAATTCAGTCATTCCAGTAGGTACTTTAAAATATCTCTGTCATTTTAATGTTATTATTACAATGAATAGATTTATATCTGACATTTTATTATTTGTTTTATACACGTCTCATGTGTTTTCTTTTCCTTTCCTTTTTTTTTTTTTTTGTGAGATAGGGTTTTACTCTGTCACCCACACTGGGGTACGGTGGCCTGAATATGGCTCATTGCAGCCTTGACCTCCTGGGTTCCAAGTGATCCTCCCACCTCAGCTGCCTAAGTAGCTGGGACCACAGGCATGTGGCACTATGCATAGCTAGTGTTTTTATTTTTACTTTTTTGTAGAGATGAGGTCTCGTCATGTTGCCCAGGCTGGTCTTGAACTCCTGGGCTCATATGGTCTTCCCGAGTTGGCCTCCCAAAATGCTGGGAATATGGGTGTTAACCAACCAAGCCTGGCCATTGTGTTCTTTCTTTATTTTTTAAAAATTAAACATACTTTGTGTATGTTAATTCCCTTGTTTTTAAGCTATTATATTTTTAGCTTGCTTAATCACTAAATAAGCACCCTAATTTATCACAGTCTACTTCAGATGAATGCTAATTCAATTCCAGTAAAATACAGCAACTTTATTCCCATATAACTCATTCCCTTTCCTTTTCTTTGTGCTATTATTGTCATCTATTCTATCTATATATATTATGTAACTACCAATATGGTGTTATAATTACTGCTTTTATAATCTTATCTTTTAAAATTTAAGAGAAAAATTGAGAAACTGTCTATTGAAGAAGGGTTGGCAAGCTATGATACATGGACCAAATCTAGCCCACTCCCGTTTTTGCAAATAAAGTTTTGCTGGAACAAGCCATATCCATTCCTTTATGTATTGTCTATGAATACTTTCATGCTAAAAGGTGGAGCTGAGTAGTTATGACAGATGGAATTAATGTTACTAATAACACGACCTTAAATTAAGGTAATCATCCTGGATTACCTGGGTGAGCCCAATGCAATTAATGCTACTGTCTTTTAAATCAGTTAACAGAAGAAAACACAAAAGATGTATTTATACTGATTTTCATAACCACCTACATAATTACTTTTACTGGCACTTTTTTTATTTATTCATGTGCATTTGAGTTTCATCTGATGTCACTTCAGTCTAAAGAACTTCCTTTAGTGTTTCTCATGAGGAATTTCTGCTAGCAACACATTATTCATCTGTGTATGTCTGTATTTCACCTTCATTTTTGAGGGATAGTTTTAAAGGATAAAGAATTCCTGCCTGACTGTTTTTCCCCCTGCACTTTAATATCCCATTCCACTACCTTCAGGCCTCCATTGTTTTGGATGAGAACCCAGCTGTTTATATTATTGTGGTTCCCTTATATATGAAGAGTCTTGTTTTTATTTTTTTTTGCTGCTTTCAAGATTTTCTTTTTTATCAGTTTGACATGGAGGTGTCTAGGAGGATCTCTTTGTGTTTATTTTACTTGAAGATCCTTGAGCTTTTTGGATGTATTGAATGTTTTCCATGAAATTAGGGGAATTTGGGAGCCATTATTTCTTTAATTTTTTTTCTGGTACTCCCCATTTTTATGGGACTCCCATTATACATGTGATGGTATCTCAAAGGATTTTGAGGTTCTGTACAGTTTTCTTCATTTTCTTTTTTTCCTGTTCTTCGGACTGGGCAATATCTTTTTTGCTCTCTTTATGTCTGTTTATTTTGTTTTTTGTCAGCTCACCTCTGTTCTTGAGTTCCTCTAGTGGTTTTTCATTTCAGTTCTTGTATTTTTAAACTCTAGAACCTCCATTGGGTTTTTCATAATTTCTGTCTCTTTTATTGACTTTTATTTGATGAATCATTGTTGCCATCTTATAATTCTTCAAACATATTTACTTTACTAAATTTTTTTTTTTTTTTTTTTGAAACAACACTCATTTATTAACTCATAGTTCTGCAAGTCAGTATTCTGGGTAGCCTCAGCTGGTTTTCTGCTTAGGGTCTCCCAAGACTGAAATCAAGTTGTTGGCTGTCCTGGGCTATTATCTGGAGGGCCAGGAGAAGAATCCCCTTCTAAGATCATTCAGGTTGTTTGCAGAACTCAGTTCCTTGCAGTTGTAGAACTGATGGCTCCATTTCTTTGCTGGTTTTTGACAGGCAGCTGCTCTCAGCTCCTAGAGGCTTCTTTCTGGTCCTTGCATGTGGCCCCCTCCACCTTCAAGGCCAGCAATGGAGATGCATTCAACCCTTATCATGATTCAAATCTCTCTGACTTCCCTTTCTGCCATCAGCCAGATAAAACTTTCTCCTTTTAAAGAGCTTAGGGGCTTAGATTAGGCCTACCCAGATAATTTCCTTTTTGCTGTGTCATGTAACATAGTGATAGGAGTAACCCCAGGAAGTGAAAGTCATAGGGATTATCTTAAAATTCTGCCTCTCATAGGATAGATGGGACACCAGGCTGGCAACTTACCTTCAAATAATTCAGGGAAAAAAATTTCTGTACTGTCCCTGCAATTTTTTTTTTTATTTTTATTTCTTAAAATTTTATTTTTAATTGACATAATCATTGCAGATATATTTATGGGGTACAATGTGATGTTTTGATATGTTTACAGGGTGGAATGATTAAATCAGGCTAATTAACAAATTCATAACCTCATATACTTACTACTTTTCTTTGTGATGAAAACATTTAAAATCAACTCTTTTGGTAGTTTTGGAATATCCAGTGCATGATTAGTTATTATAGTCCCCAGTCTACGTAATTGATCCCTAAAGCTTACTCCTCCTGTCTAACGAAAACTGTATGGCCTTTGATCAACACCTTTTTGCCTCATCTATGCCCCATCGGCCCCCAGCCTCTGGTATTCATCATTCTACCTTCTGCTTCTATGAGTTCAACTTTGTTTTTTTTTTTCGTTTTTTTTTTTTTTATTATACTTTAAGTTTTAGGGTACATGTGCACATTGTGCAGGTTAGTTACATATGTATACATGTGCCATGCTGGTGCGCTGCACCCACCAACGTGTCATCCAGCATTAGGTATATCTCCCAATGCCATCCCTCCCCCCTCCCCCGACCCCACCACAGTCCCCAGAGTGTGATATTCCCCTTCCTGTGTCCATGTGATCTCATTGTTCAATTCCCACCTATGAGTGAGAATATGCGGTGTTTGGTTTTTTGTTCTTGCGATAGTTTACTGAGAATGATAGTTTCCAATTTCATCCATGTCCCTACAAAGGACATGAACTCATCATTTTTTATGGCTGCATAGTATTCCATGGTGTATATGTGCCACATTTTCTTAATCCAGTCTATCATTGTTGGACATTTGGGTTGGTTCCAAGTCTTTGCTATTGTGAATAATGCCGCAATAAACATACGTGTGCATGTGTCTTTATAGCAGCATGATTTATAGTCCTTTGGGTATATACCCAGTAATGGGATGGCTGGGTCAAATGGTATTTCTAGTTCTAGATCCCTGAGGAATCGCCACACTGACTTCCACAATGGTTGAACTAGTTTACAGTCCCACCAACAGTGTAAAAGTGTTTCTATTTCTCCACATCCTCTCCAGCACCTGTTGTTTCCTGACTTTTTAATGATTGCCATTCTAACTGGTGTGAGATGATATCTCATAGTGGTTTTGATTTGCATTTCTCTGATGGCCAGTGATGATGAGCATTTTTTCATGTGTTTTTTGGCTGCATAAATGTCTTCTTTTGAGAAGTGTCTGTTCATGTCCTTCGCCCACTTTTTGATGGGGTTGTTTGTTTTTTTCTTGTAAATTTGTTTGAGTTCATTGTAGATTCTGGATATTAGCCCTTTGTCAGATGAGTAGGTTGCGAAAATTTTCTCCCATGTTGTAGGTTGCCTGTTCACTCTGATGGTAGTTTCTTTTGCTGTGCAGAAGCTCTTTAGTTTAATTAGATCCCATTTGTCAATTTTGGCTTTTGTTGCCATTGCTTTTGGTGTTTTGGACATGAAGTCCTTGCCCACGCCTATGTCCTGAATGGTAATGCCTAGGTTTTCTTCTAGGGTTTTTATGGTTTTAGGTCTAACGTTTAAATCTTTAATCCATCTTGAATTGATTTTTGTATAAGGTGTAAGGAAGGGATCCAGTTTCAGCTTTCTACATATGGCTAGCCAGTTATCCCAGCACCATTTATTAAATAGGGAATCCTTTCCCCATTGCTTGTTTTTGTCAGGTTTGTCAAAGATCAGATAGTTGTAGATATGCGGCATTATTTCTGAGGGCTCTGTTCTGTTCCATTGATCTATATCTCTGTTTTGGTACCAGTACCATGCTGTTTTGGTGACTGTAGCCTTGTAGTATAGTTTGAAGTCAGGTAGTGTGATGCCTCCAGCTTTGTTCTTTTGGCTTAGGATTGACTTGGCAATGCGGGCTCTTTTTTGGTTCCATATGAACTTTAAAGTAGTTTTTTCCAATTCTGTGAAGAAAGTCATTGGTAGCTTGATGGGGATGGCATTGAATCTGTAAATTACCTTGGGCAGTATGGCCATTTTCACGATATTGATTCTTCCTACCCATGAGCATGGAATGTTCTTCCATTTGTTTGTGTCCTCTTTTATTTCCTTGAGCAGTGGTTTGTAGTTCTCCTTGAAGAGGTCCTTCACATCCCTTGTAAGTTGGATTCCTAGGTATTTTATTCTCTTTGAAGCAATTGTGAATGTGATTTCACTCATGATTTGGCTCTCTGTTTGTCTGTTATTGGTGTATAAGAATGCTTGTGATTTTTGTACATTGATTTTGTATCCTGAGACTTTGCTGAAGTTGCTTATCAGCTTAAGGAGATTTTGGGCTGAGACGATGGGGTTTTCTAGATAAACAATCATGTCATCTGCAAACAGGGACAATTTGACTTCCTCTTTTCCTAATTGAATACCCTTTATTTCCTTCTCCTGCCTGATTGCCCTGGCCAGAACTTCCAACACTATGTTGAATAGGAGCGGTGAGAGAGGGCATCCCTGTCTTGTGCCAGTTTTCAAAGGGAATGCTTCCAGTTTTTGCCCATTCAGTATGATATTGGCTGTGGGTTTGTCATAGATAGCTCTTATTATTTTGAAATACGTCCCATCAATACCTAATTTATTGAGAGTTTTTAGCATGAAGGGTTGTTGAATTTTGTCAAAGGGTTTTTCTGCATCTATTGAGATAATCATGTGGTTTTTGTCTTTGGCTCTGTTTATATGCTGGATTACATTTATTGATTTGCGTATATTGAACCAGCCTTGCATCCCAGGGATGAAGCCCACTTGATCATGGTGGATAAGCTTTTTGATGTGCTGCTGGATTCGGTTTGCCAGTATTTTATTGAGGATTTTTGCATCAATGTTCATCAAGGATATTGGTCTAAAATTCTCTTTTTTGGTTGTGTCTCTGCCCGGCTTTGGTATCAGAATGATGCTGGCCTCATAAAATGAGTTAGGGAGGATTCCCTCTTTTTCTATTGATTGGAATAGTTTCAGAAGGAATGGTACCAGTTCCTCCTTGTACCTCTGGTAGAATTCGGCTGTGAATCCATCTGGTCCTGGACTCTTTTTGGTTGGTAAACTATTGATTATTGCCACAATTTCAGAGCCTGTTATTGGTCTATTCAGAGATTCTACTTCTTCCTGGTTTAGTCTTGGCAGAGTGTATGTGTCGAGGAATGTATCCATTTCTTCTAGATTTTCTAGTTTATTTGCGTAGAGGTGTTTGTAGTATTCTCTGATGGTAGTTTGTATTTCTGTGGGATTGGTGGTGATATCCCCTTTATCATTTTTTATTGTGTCTATTTGATTCTTCTCTCTTTTTTTCTTTATTAGTCTTGCTAGCGGTCTATCAATTTTGTTGATCCTTTCAAAAAACCAGCTCCTGGATTCATTGATTTTTTGAAGGGTTTTTTGTGTCTCTATTTCCTTCAGTTCTGCTCTGATTTTGGTTATTTCTTGCCTTCTGCTAGCTTTTGAATGTGTTTGCTCTTGCTTTTCTAGTTCTTTTAATTGTGATGTTAGGGTGTCAATTTTGGATCTTTCCTGCTTTCTCTTGTAGGCATTTAGTGCTATAAATTTCCCTCTACACACTGCTTTGAATGCGTCCCAGAGATTCTGGTATGTGGTGTCTTTGTTCTCGTTGGTTTCAAAGAACACCTTTATTTCTGCCTTCATTTCGTTATGTACCCAGTAGTCATTCAGGAGCAGGTTGTTCAGTTTCCATGTAGTTGAGCGGCTTTGAGTGAGATTCTTAATCCTGAGTTCTAGTTTGATTGCACTGTGGTCTGAGAGATAGTTTGTTATAATTTCTGTTCTTTTACATTTGCTGAGGAGAGCTTTACTTCCAACTATGTGGTCAATTTTGGAATAGGTGTGGTGTGGTGCTGAAAAAAATGTATATTCTGTTGATTTGGGGTGTAGAGTTCTGTAGATGTCTATTAGGTCCGCTTGGTGCAGAGCTGAGTTCAATTCCTGGGTATCCTTGTTGACTTTCTGTCTCGTTGATCTGTCTAATGTTGACAGTGGGGTGTTAAAGTCTCCCATTATTAATGTGTGGGAGTCTAAGTCTCTTTGTAGGTCACTCAGGACTTGCTTTATGAATCTGGGTGCTCCTGTATTGGGTGCATAAATATTTAGGATAGTTAGCTCCTCTTGTTGAATTGATCCCTTTACCATTATGTAATGGCCTTCTTTGTCTCTTTTGATCTTTGTTGGTTTAAAGTCTGTTTTATCAGAGACTAGGATTGCAACCCCTGCCTTTTTTTGTTTTCCATTGGCTTGGTAGATCTTCCTCCATCCTTTTATTTTGAGCCTATGTGTGTCTCTGCACGTGAGATGGGTTTCCTGAATACAGCACACTGATGGGTCTTGACTCTTTATCCAACTTGCCAGTCTGTGTCTTTTAATTGCAGAATTTAGTCCATTTATATTTAAAGTTAATATTGTTATGTGTGAATTTGATCCTGTCATTATGATGTTAGCTGGTGATTTTGCTCATTAGTTGATGCAGTTTCTTCCTAGTCTCGATGGTCTTTACATTTTGGCATGATTTTGCAGCGGCTGGTACCGGTTGTTCCTTTCCATGTTTAGCGCTTCCTTCAGGAGCTCTTTTAGGGCAGGCCTGGTGGTGACAAAATCTCTCAGCATTTGCTTGTCTATAAAGTATTTTATTTCTCCTTCACTTATGAAGCTTAGTTTGGCTGGATATGAAATTCTGGGTTGAAAATTCTTTTCTTTCAGAATGTTGAATATTGGCCCCCACTCTCTTCTGGCTTGTAGGGTTTCTGCCGAGAGATCCACTGTTAGTCTGATGGGCTTTCCTTTGAGGGTAACCCGACCTTTCTCTCTGGCTGCCCTTAACATTTTTTCCTTCATTTCAACTTTGGTGAATCTGACAATTATGTGTCTTGGAGTTGCTCTTCTCGAGGAGTATCTTTGTGGCGTTCTCTGTATTTCCTGAATCTGAACGTTGGCCTGCCTTGCTAGATTGGGGAAGTTCTCCTGGATAATATCCTGCAGAGTGTTTTCCAACTTGGTTCCATTCTCCCCATCACTTTTAGGTACACCAATCAGACGTAGATTTGGTCTTTTCACATAGTCCCATATTTCTTGGAGGCTTTGCTCATTTCTTTTTATTCTTTTTTCTCTAAACTTCCCTTCTCGCTTCATTTCATTCATTTCATCTTCCATTGCTGATACCCTTTCTTCCAGTTGATTGCATCGGCTCCTGAGGCTTCTGCATTCTTCACGTAGTTCTTGAGCCTTGGTTTTCAGCTCCATCAGCTCCTTTAAGCACTTCTCTGTATTGGTTATTCTAGTTATACATTCTTCTAAATTTTTTTCGAAGTTTTCAACTTTTTTGCCTTTGGTTTGAATGTCCTCCCGTAGCTCAGAGTAATTTGATCGTCTGAAGCCTTCTTCTCTCAGCTCGTCAAAATCATTCTCCATCCAGCTTTGTTCCGTTGCTGGTGAGGAACTGTGTTCCTTTGGAGGAGGAGAGGCGCTCTGCGTTTTAGAGTTTCCAGTTTTTCTGTTCTGTTTTTTCCCCATCTTTGTGGTTTTATCTACTTTTGGTCTTTGATGATGGTGATGTACAGATGGGTTTTTGGTGTAGATGTCCTTTCTGGTTGTTAGTTTTCCTTCTAACAGACAGGACCCTCAGCTGCAGGTCTGTTGGAATACCCTGCCGTGTGAGGTGTCAGTGTGCCCCTGCTGGGGGGTGCCTCCCAGTTAGGCTGCTCGGGGGTCAGGGGTCAGGGACCCACTTGAGGAGGCAGTCTGCCCGTTCTCAGATCTCCAGCTGCGTGCTGGGAGAACCACTGCTCTCTTCAAAGCTGTCAGACAGGGACACTTAAGTCTGCAGAGGTTACTGCTGTCTTTTTGTTTGTCTGTGCCCTGCCCCCAGAGGTGGAGCCTACAGAGGCAGGCAGGCCTCCTTGAGCTGTGGTGGGCTCCACCCAGTTCGAGCTTCCAGGCTGCTTTGTTTACCTAAGCAAGCCTGCGCAATGGCGGGCGCCCCTCCCCCAACCTCGCTGCCACCTCGCAGTTTGATCTGAGACTGCTGTGCTAGCAATCAGCGAGATTCCGTGGGCGTAGGACCCTCTGAGCCAGGTGTGGGATATAGTCTCCTGGTGCGCCGTTTTTTGAGCCGGTCTGAAAAGCGCAATATTCGGGTGGGAGTGACCCGATTTTCCAGGTGCGTCCGTCACCCCTTTCTTTGACTCGGAAAGGGAACTCCCTGACCCCTTGAGCTTCCCAGGTGAGGCAATGCCTCGCCCTGCTTCGGCTCGCGCACGGTGCGTGCACACACTGGCCTGCGCCCACTGTCTGGCACTCCCTAGTGAGATGAACCTGGTACCTCAGATGGAAATGCAGAAATCACCCGTCTTCTGCGTCGCTCATGCTGGGAGCTGTAGACCGGAGCTGTTCCTATTCGGCCATCTTGGCTCCTCCAACCTACTTTACTAATTTTTGAAGCCTTTCTTTGTTAAGTCCAACATTTATTCTTCCCTTGCTCAAAGACGCTATGTCTATTAAGTGTTGTTTTGAACCCTATGGGTAACTATTATTATTTGCATACTTTTTGTTGTTGAAAACTGGACATTTTAGATAATATATGGTAGCAATTTTAGATTCTGATTGCCTCATTTCCCAGGAGTGGTGGTTAGCAATACCAGTGGTTAGTATCTTGGAATACTGGAAGTCCTAACTCCCAGTACCTTGGAATGTGACTGTATTTGGAAATAGGGTCTTTTAACTGGCAATGAAGTTATAATAAGGTAATTAGAATGAGCCCTAATCTAATATGACTGGTGAGCTTAGAAGAGACTAGGACACAGACAAATAAAGAGAAGACCATGTGAAAACACAGGGAGAAGACAGCCAAGTGAAAGCCAAAGAGAGATGCCTCAGAAGAAACTAACCCTGCCAACACCTTGATCTTGAACTTCTAGCCTCTGGAATTGTAAGAAAATAAGTTTGTTGTTTAAGCTACAGTCTGTGGTGCTTTGTTATAGAAGCTCTAGGAAAGTATTAGACACCTTGAGCCAGTAAGACTTCTACCCTTTCCCAATGAATCAGTGTAGCTTGAGCAATATATTCAAAGTTGAGGTTGCCCCAGCTTTTACTTTATTTTTGCAAGGCCTCTTGTTCAACCAAGGGCTCACTAGGACCTTCTCCTGTCTCCTTAGTATGTGTATAGCTTTGCACATATTTATATTCTTCCAGACTACAGGGGAAAAGTAGGAAGTTATCAAGGTCCACTGTGGCTGTCCTGTTCTTCAAATTTCTCTGTTGAGTTTCTGGTTGGTTGCTAGTAAATTTTTTGCCCCAACAAGTATTGTGATCTTAGTCAGGCTAGGAGTGACCTTGGCCTTATCTGCTTGTTTGTCACTGGGATTACTGTTGTTTTAATAACGCTTTTGGTCTTGGAACTTTCTGAGCTCTGTTCCAAATAAAACTAGTCATCTCAAGCAATGAGGCTGCTGGGCCTCACAGTCTGACCCACCAAGGTAAACTTCTGCGTAACGGAATCTGAGGGTGGGGTAGTATATTAGTCTGTTTTCACACTGCTATAACAAACTTGTCAAGACTGGGTAATTTATAAAGGAAAGAGGTTTAATTGACTTACAGTTCCACATGGCTTGGGAGACCTCAGGAAACTTACAATGATGGCGTAAGGCAAAGGGGAAGCAAGGACCTTTTTCACATGGCAGCAGGAGAAAGAAGACTGAGTGAATGAGGAACTTGCTAAACACTTATAAAACTATCAGATCTCATGAGAACTCACTCACTATCATGAGAATAGCATGGGGAAAACTGCCCCCATGATCCAGTTTCCTCCCATCAGGTTCCTCCCTCAAAACCTGGGGATTACAATTCAAGATGAGATTTGGGTGGGGACACAAAGCCTAACCATATCAGGTGGGAAGAGTGGGAACAGTCCCAAGCTAACATGCCACAGACATGCACTGTTCTTACTGAGGTCCAGTAGATTTTCTTAAATAAACACTTCTCAAGTTCTTGTATGCTTGGTCAACTTCCTGAATCTTTAGAAGGTTGTTCATTGACAATTTTGTTCAGTTTTATAATTTCATTTTTAGGGAGAGTTACCATGTCCTCAATCAGCCATTCTGGAAATGCAACTCATTCCCTCTCTTCAGAAATCCTTTTACCATGTAGTCTTATAGTTGTTTCTGTATTTCAATCAGTTGTTGATCATAGTAGTCTTCCTTGACCATCCTACATAAAATAATCTTGCCTTATCTCCTTAGTTTGCTTTATTTTACTTCATAACATTTTTCAGTTCTTGACATTTTATAATTTTATGTGTTTGTTTATTGCCTTTCTCCCCCAGTGGAATGCAAACTCCCTAATGGAGAGGCCATTGTTTTGTTAATCATTGCATCCTTAGTGCCTATGACAATGCCTAGCAAATAGCATGCTCTCCGTAAATATTTGAGAAAGAATGAATGAATGTTAGATATGTAGTCTTTTAAGCTTGTGAGAAAATAATCATTCTCATAAACTTTTGTGAGTTGTTATAGCATTTTGGGATGTTGTTACACTTGATCCTGCAATGACATTTCTAGGAATCAAACACCTAAAGAATTAGTGGTCCTGTATGCAAAAATATTTATACTCAAATGTTCACTGCATCATTGTTTATAATTTAGAAAAAACTGGAAACCAAGCTACATATGCAGTAATTAGGGAATGCTAAATACTAAGAAAAACAATGAAGGCAATAAAAGGCATTATTTAGATATGTTTTGTAATGGAAAGATATTTCTAATCATTGCAAAAAATGAATGTGACAAAATAATGTGAATATAATACATACAATTAGTAAAGAGAATGTGTGTGTATTCGTCTTTTTTTGTATAGAATTGGATGTGTGGATACGATGAGAACTATATTAAAGAAAAATCACTTTTTACTCTATATGCTTTTTGCTTTTAAATGTAGTTTCATGTATTACTGTTATAATTTTATGCTATTTATAAAATAACAAAAATAAAAAATAAAGGCAATATCACACATTCCATTTATATTAGTTCTAAATATTTTGTATCAGTGCACTTCATCTTCTCATAGAGTGTAGTTACTAGAAATCAACATCTTTTGATTTGCCAGAGAGTGGGTAAACACTTACCAAATTGGAACAGCTGTATATTGAGTGTGTAAGTGCAATAGAAAATTCCAAACCGTAGAAGAACAGTAAAATACGTGATACTTCCCTCCCAAGTTTCTATAACCAAAAAACAGGGAGAAATCTTAATGCTATTATCTTTAGTGAGTGCAAACATGATCATGGAAGGAGCTACTGGTATGAGAGTCAAAAAAAAAAAAAAAAAAAAGGAAGGAAAATAAGAACAGATAAACCTTTCACCATTTGATTTCCTTAGACATTTCTACTCCTTTGCCCTCTGCTACACTTTCCCTAGCTTTCAGTTCCTCAATTCAGCATCTGTGGCTTCTGCATTTGATCTCCATTGCTTAGCATTCTTGTCTCACTTCTGACAGCTTTTACAGAGTCGCTGGCACAGCTCACTATCTAAACTCTCCAGTTAGTAAGATTTGACTTTCCTGTCTCTAATGATAAGATGGCCACCAACAGATTTATCAAGCAATCCTTTTCTATTAAAACAGCTATTATTAATCACAACCCTTCTTAAATTTACATACATGGTGATAAAACTCTCACATATATATTGCTCTAATATCATTTAAAATGATTAATACATTCAAAAAGAGTTCAAAGAACATTTAACTTGGAAGCATAAGGTGATTGTGACTGCTGGGATAAATAAAACAGATTCCCTTCTGTTGCTATCAGAAAGATATTTTCAACTACAAATCCGATTGGTTAGTTATGTGAATAATATTGGTACTCATCCTGAAAATGTGGGTTTTGTGCTGGCTGTGGAAAGACAAGAATGATACTCAGAACTAGAAAGAATGACATCATAATTCTCTCCCTTTCAATTCCTTCTCTAACTCTTCCTCCTCCTTCTTTGTTTGGTTTATTTAATATCTTTTATATTCAAGAAACTATCTGGTAGTAGGAATTAGATGATAGGAATGCAATGACACATAACTTCCTGATTTCTTAGAGTTTATAATGAAGTAGAAGAGACAGAAAGATAATATAAGGTACCATAAAAAATGGATAAAAACTTGCTCAATCATTATAGGGGACAGGAGGGACAGGAGGTTCACTCCAAGCTATTACTCTCTGGGAAGGCTTCATAAAGTGGTAGGACCTTTGAAATAAGGGTAGGACTGAGAAAAACGAAGGAAGGAAACAGCATTCTAGGCAACTTTAAATTTTTATTTGCTTGTTTCCTTGTAACCTATCTTGTTTCAGAAAGAGTTTAATAGCATAAATTAAAAGTGTGACAAAATAATTTAAAAATTGAGACATAAAATACAACCAGTAGAGTAAAGCTAAAATACATATTTGAACAACCTATGGTTTTTAATGTGAGAACAAAACTGAGTGTAAGCAATATAACATTTTGAGAAAATGAAAAACAGGTTTTAACTGAATTACAGTGTTCATTCATATATGATATAAACAGGAGGATAAGGAAAAGATGTAGAAAGTTTGAAATACCAAGGTAAATAATTTTGATTTACTTTTGTTGGCAGAAATGCACAATCATAATCATAACATTTTAGCTAGAAAGTACTTGGGACCTCTTAGCTGACAAGACTGTGAAAAGTCATTTTACCCATATTCCTTATTTTTTTTAATTTTTTAATTTAATTTATTTTGAGACTGAGTCTCGCTCTATCACCCAGGCTGGAGTGCAGTGGCGCAATCTCGGCTCACTGCAACCTCTGCCTCCTGGGTTCAAGCGATTCTCGTGCCTTAGCCTCCGGAGTAGCTGGGATTACAGGTGCCCACCGCCATGCCCAGCTAACTTTTGTATTTTTAGTGGAGACAGGGTTTCACCTTGTTGGCCAGGCTGGTCTCGAACATCTGATCTCAAGTGATCCGCCTGCCTTGGCCTTCCAAAGTGCTGGGATTACAGGCGTGAGCCACCGTGCCTGGCCCCATATTCTTTAATTTATATGAGAGTGCTATTCTAAAACTCCCTCCCTGACTGAAAGCGGCAAAAGGTTGGCCAGAGCAGCTCAAATATGAAAACTGAGGAAACGGAAACACACACACACACACACACACACACACACACACAGAGAGAGAGAGAGAGAGAGAGAGAGAGAGAGAGAGAGAGAGAGAGAGACGGAATGAATGAGTTCCTGGCAGATGATGTAAACTGTAAGCTTCTGGACCCAGCTTAAGTAAAGTAAGTGACCCTTTTTGCCTTAAGTCAACTTGGGTTGTATTTCCTATTACTTAAAACCAAGATAACCCTAATTAATAAATACTTAAATGAAGAATAAGCAATATTTGGTAATTATAAAGACAGTAGAAAGAGATGAGGTATTATGTCAAGGTTTTGTATGTGGGAGATTGAAACGAGGGAGTCTTGCAGTATAGTACTTCTGAGGAGGTAAGTAATTTCCATTTTATATCTGTTGAGTTTGATATAATAGTGATAGAAACATAGCCAAGTAGAAAAGTCAAACTAGCTTTTAAAACAACAGGCCGGGAGTTTGGAAGAAAGAACAGAGCAGTTAACTAGCAGGCATTTTCTTCATTTCTCACAAAAGAAAACTTGGAAACAGTTAAGTTAAGAAACTTTTCCAGGGGTTTACACACAGTGAGTACTGAGGATAGTATTTAAATAAGTGCACTCTGATCCTGGAATCTATACTATTAACCATTTTGCTATATGAGGAGTATATTTCAGATGCATGCACTTTTCTGACCCTGCCTGGGAACACTGAAAACTTGATGACTTTGTAGATTTAGCCAAGCCCCTTGCTTATGTGAGAAAAGTTGGCATGTAAAAGTCCTGTAAAATGTTGGCTGCCTTAGCAAGTGTAAGTATATAATTCTGTAATGACACTAGAAAAAGATGGTGGCTTTGAGATATAAGTCTAATATACAAGCTCATTTTGTGTAACTAATCACAGCAAACTTGTGCTGAACTTGTGATTTTGAGAGACTATAAAACTGGTCGTTATCATTGAGTTCAGATCAGATAAATACAGACTACAATAGTTTGTCACACTGACTGCAAAAGGCAATCCTTGGCAATTATGCCATATTAAACTGATAATTAAAAGTTTATGAATAAGAATGGTGACATATAACTTGAAACAATTATGCACTTAATAACTTAAGTCCTCCTTTCCTATTCTCTGCCCTCAAAATTAGAACTAAAGATTTCTAGATTGAATGTTCAGGGCAACTGGACAATTTTCTTATAATTTATAGGGAAAATCTGGTCCATGTTTGTTTACATAATCACTTGTTACAGATAATATATTTTGGGGTATTAGTGCATTTTTCTATTATTGTATCACTGTCCTCCAGGGTTTTGTTCTCCAGGTTTGGGTTCTTTCCTCTGATGTCCCCCTTAATAATATGTCACAGGTATGGAGTGAAAGTGTGTAGGGGAGGAGGAGGAAGTTTATCCTTCACCTGTAATGACGCTTCTACTCATTACTGAAATTGTTATTTGTTTTGTTCTGTTGGTCAGACAAGGTGTTTCACTCCAATTTGTCCTCACTTTAAATGTGAGATTTTGTATTAACTTTGCTAAGGTCTTTTGCCCCACTAATATTTTATGATTCTGAATTTAAAGCCAATATAATTAAAATAAAACTATTGTGTTATCAGTAAAAATCTTCACATTTACTGGGCAACTAAATGGAAACAAGTTAGGTTTATTTATATTTAGCATTTTTGGCCTTAAAGCAAAATTTATGTAAGATGCAAAGATAGGCTATGTATGAAAAATTCTATGTTAAGCCAGAAATTACTAGGTGTCTACAATTTGAACCATATGTGTCAGTAGCAGAATTCTTTTGTTTATTTGCAAAATGGTTTTATTGTCCAGGATTATACTTTTCTTGTATTAAGAGAATCATTAAGTGGCTCTGTGCCTAATACATAGACACTTGCCACTGAAGCTTTCAAATTTTTACTCACTTTAATTCAGCAAGTCAAGAATTCAAACATTCTCTTAATATTTACTAAAACTCACAGCCTAGAATTATTTTTGATTTAAAATTTTCAATCAAGAGCTCACAACTAAATCAAAGAATTTCATGAGGACGAATAAAAGCCTCATCTTACCTCCTAAGATTTCAAAATTATTAAAAAGAATAATTTTAAAATTAATATGTTCCCATAGAATTGGTCACTTACTGCTTGTCCATAATTCCTGTATGACACAGAATTAAAATGAGACAACTCTATTATTGTTAGAGTTACTGCAGTAATTGTAGTAATTATGCAGATGATGTTTATGATTAAAGTACTTATAATCTGAAAAGGAGACAGAGGGCAAATTTATTATATTCAGAATAAACATTTTGGTGTAATAGTTTGCATTGCTGAAAAAACTCATCTAGTTAAAACTTTGATCTAGTTTCTGAAGTCTTAGAAGTATTAAATATTAAGAAAATATTTTTCTGATTTATATGAAGCCCAGTTAATCTGGAGGAAACATTAACACCATCAGTCCATTAATCATTAATCTTCCATTTAGGCTAAAACATATTGTATTTTTTGGGGCCGGGCGCAGTGGCTCACGCCTGTAATCCCAGCACTTTGGGAGGCCGAGACGGGTGGATCACGAGGTCAGGAGATCGAGACCATCCTGGCTAACACGGTGAAACCCCATCTCTAGTAAAAATACAAAAAAATTAGCCGGGCTTGGTGGCGGGCACCTGTAGGCCCAGCTACTTGGGAGGCTGAGGCAGAATGGTGTAAACCCAGGAGGCAGAGCTTGCAGTGAGCCGAGATTGTGCCACTGCACTCCAGCCTGGGTGAGAGAGAGAGACTCCATCTCAAAAAAAAAAAAAAAAAAGTATTGTGTTTTTCAATGTTATAGGTCATTTGGAAGAAAGCATATAAGATATGATTTGGACAAAAGTGGTTCCACTGTAAGAAAAAAAAAAAAGTGGAAAATGACTGCTTGTAGAAATAGGAGTCAGTTGATAAAATTTTAATCCTGGGTTTTCATTATCTAAGGAAATCTATCAGTATCTTCAGACATCATTTTTTTATCTGTAAAATTATGAGGGCAGACTAATTTCTAAGGTACGTTTTAGCTCTAAGATTCTAAAGTGTTCTTCCCAATTCTATCCACCTATACCATGCATGGATCTTTAATCTGGACCAATTCTGTACTTTGTTACAGGACACAATCTTGTTCCCAAACTGGATAGTTCAGAAAATGAAGTTTTACAGTAGTATAATGTCTATATCTAAAGGCATTAGGTCCTATTAAAATTTTTTAATTATAAAGTTTACACAATGTTAAAAGGCAGAACATCAAACAAAACAAAAACTATATATACATTTAGAAACCTATACATAAAGTAATCATGATTTTAACCAATACAGTATATTTGTCTATATTAAATTATGTTCTTCTAGATTCATTCTTAATTCTTTCATTTACTTTACAGGTAGGGTAGATTCCTTCATTGTTTAGACGTTATATTTTCATTAAAACTTAATATTTAGCTTTGTGATAAGTGATTTCTAGAGATACCTCAAACATTTCAACTTACTCCAGATCGAGTCGGATACTTTGTTACTCTTATTAGGAAGACTCCTGCAATGATAAACTGGATATAAAAACATATTTATAAATACTCATTGATAATGCTTGCCAATTTAGAATGTACTTTTAATAACTCTCTTGTAAGTCAATTATTTTAAGAATGCTAATAGTAACAAAATATACAGAAGTTTTAGTAGATGGGTCAGGACAAATTTACATCATGTAGTAATACATTGAAAGGTAATAGTAGAGTCACTCATAACAGAGACACATAGGGGACAGTGGGCAGATTCACACTGTGATAATATGCCAGACAGCCTAAGCAGTCCTGACCGGGAACCAAGTTTGCTTTTATGTGTATGAGATACATCATATATAACTCATTTGATTATTGCTTTTAATGTTATCCTTCCTAATGAGATGATGACACTACTTATGATTACTATGTACATATCCAAATATGGAAAAAGTGGTTCAAGAATCTATTCCATATTGTGATGGTACAAAATATGCAGTCTCTTTTATGAGATTGTAGTCATTATTAAGGTAATGGCAGAAATTCATGCCTTTGCCTTTGTTTTTTAAAACAGAGGTTCCATTATTTCATGTCAGGAAGTCTGTCTACTTCCAAGAAGTATAAAACTATGCCATATTGTTTGAAGATGGGTTGCACAATTTCCTCAAAGTATTCCTTATTTGTTTTATTGATAAGACACTAAAGATCCAAGTCAAAGGCTATTTTTGTCATGCTATACACTATATGTAGGAAGCCCAAACCTGAAGCTTACAAACTTCCCATGGATAATTTTAAATCTATTTGTTCAGCACTTCATTCCACAACAAAAGCTGAGATTTCTAAGGAGGTACACAGTGAACGTAAGAACTAGCTCAGAATTTAAAGTGAAAATATCTTGTGAATTTTGAATTAGAGTGCTCTCTAATGAGATTATCTTTCGATTACTATGTGTTTTACAAAATGCCTTTCAAAGTTTAGGCTTAAGTGAGAAGTTTAGTATTAAATTACATTTAGTTGAAATTTTAGATAAGTTATCCTAGGAGTTTAATATACTATTTTTATAATATGAGTGGTCAAACACTAAGGAAAATGCATCATTTATTTGGATTTTGTTGGAAAATCCACAGTTTTTCTCCTCTTTTTTAAGGTAGTGCTTTGACACTTGTGACCCAGTGCATCATTTATCATTTATCACCTATGAACCAGTGCATTATTTATGAGCCATTCATCTTTTATGAACCATGTATCATTTATCTGGATTTTGTGCAAAAATTCAATATTTTTCTCCTATTTTTTCAAGGCAATCCATTGACACTTATGAATTAGTGTATGTATAAAAGTGGGAGACCTCCTAGAGATCATTGTTTCTTCTAGTGATTAATTGCTGTCTCAATGGGCAGCCATATTGTATCCTACAGCCCTCATTCCATCTGTTCGAAGTGTGGGATAAGTGGTTTCCTTGCTCATTATTGCTATCCAACCATTCTTTCTCCTCCACCTTTGAATCACATGTCAGTTTCTATAACTCACTATCCTTCATGGTTTAAGTAATCTATTGACCCCTTGGCCATTCCTCTTTTCGAATGAATTGAAATTTTGACTCTCTGATTCTCTCTCCAACATCACTTAATATTTGGTGATTTTTACACACACACACAAACACACACATACATATATATGTGTGTATATATCTATATATATACATCTATCTATCTATCTATCTATCTATCTATCTATCTATCTATCTGTCTGATCTTTTGATATGGTTTGGCTCTGTGTCCCCACCCAAATCTCATCTTGTAGCTTCCATAATTCCCATGTGTTGTGGGCGGGACCCAGTGGGAGATAATTGAATCATGGGAGCGGGTCCTTCCCATGCTGTTCTTGTGATAGTGAATAAGTCCTATGAGATCTGATGGTTTTAAAAATGGGAGTTTCCCTGCACAAGCCCTCTCTCTTTGCCTGCTGCCATTCATGTAAGATGTGACTTGCTCCTCCTTGCCTTCTGCCACAATTGTGAGGCCTTCCCAGCCATGAGAAACTGTAAGTCCAACAAACCTCTATCTTTTGTAAATTGCCCAGTCTCAGGTATGTCTTTATTAGCAGCATAAAAATGGACTATTACAATAAATTGGCACCAGGAGTGGGGTGCTGCTGAAAAGATACCCAAAAATTTGGAAGTGACTTTGGAACTGGGTAACAGGCAGATGTTAGGACAGTTTGGAGGACTTAGAAGAAGACAGGAAAATGTGGGAAAGTTTGGAACTCCCTAGAGACTTGTCAGATGGCTTTGACCAAAATGCCAATAATGATATGAAAAATGAAATCAAGGCTGAGGTGGTCTCAGATGGAAGATGAGGAATTTGTTGGGAATTAGAGCAAGGTGACTCTTGTTATGTTTTAGCAAAGAGACTGGTGGCATTTTTCCCTAGAGATTTGTGGAACTTTGAACTTGAGAGAGATGATTTAAGATATCTGGCAGAAGAAATGATCTAAGCAGCAAACCTTTCAAGAGGTGACTTGGATGCTGTTAAAGGCATTCAGTTTTATAAGGCAAGCACAGCATAAAAGTTCAAAAAAATTTACAGCCTGACAATGTGATAGAAAAGAAAAACCCATTTTCTGAGGAGAAATTTAAGCCAGCTGCAGAAATTTGCATAAGAAATGAGGAGCTGAATGTTAATTCTCAAGACAATGGGGAAAATGTCTCCAGGGCATGTCTGAGATCTTCATGGCAGCCCCTCCCATCACAGGCCCTGAAGCCTAGGAGGAAAAAGTGGTTTCATGGGCCGGGCCCAGGGCCCCTGTACTATGTGCAGCCTAGGGACTTGGTGCCCTGAATCCCAGCTGCTTCATCTGTGGCTGAAAGGGGCCAATGTAGAGCTTGGGCCATGGCCTCAGAGGGTGCGAGCCCCAAGCCTTGACAGTTTCCATGTGGTGTTGAGCCTGCGGGTACACAGAAGTCAAGAATTAAGGTTTTGGAACCTCTGCCTAGATTTCAGAGGATATATGGAACTGCCTGGATGCCCAGCGGAAGTTTGCTGCAGGGGCGGGGCCCTCATGGAGAACCTCTGCTAGGGCAGGGCAGAAGGGAAATGTGGGGTCGGAGCTGCCACACAGAGTCCCTACTGAGGCACTGCCTGGTGGAGCTGTGAGAAGAAGGCCACCATCCTCCAGACCCCAGAATGGTAGATCCTCTGACAGCTTGCACCGTGTGCCTGGAAAAGCTGCAGACAACGCCAGCCTGTGAAAACAGCCAGATCAGGGCTACACCATGTGAAGCCACAGGGGTAGAGCAGCCCAAGGCCATGGGAGCCCACCTCTTGCATCAGCATAACCTGGATGTGAGACATGGAGTCAAAGGAGATCATTTTTGAGCTTTAAGATTTGACTGCCCCACTGGATTTTAGACTTGCATGGGGCCTGTAGCCTTTGTTTCAACCAATTTCTCGCATTTGGAACAGCTGTATTTACTCAAGCCTGTACCCCCATTGTATCTAGGAAGTAACTAACTTGCTATTGATTTTACAGGCTCATAGGTGGAGAGGACCTTGCCTTGTCTCAGATGAGACTTTGGACTGTGGACTTTTGAGTTAATGCTGAAATGAGTTAAGACTTTGGGGGACAGTTGGGAAGGCATGATTGGTTTTGAAATGTGAAGACATGAAATTTAGGAGGGGCCAGGGGCAGAAAAACTCCCATTTCTTAAAACCATTAGATCTTGTGAGACTTATTCACTATCATGAGAACAGCATGGGAATGACTCGCCACCCCCCCAGCCTCATGATTCAGTTATCTTCCACCAGGTCCCTCCCACAATACTTGGGAATTATGGGAGCTATAAGATGAGATTTGGGTGGGGACACACAGCCAAACCATATCATCTTTCTATACCTTGGGCTTGTGGTTCTTGTTCTCTCCTCCAATCCCTGACTCCAAACTATCTTAGTCACTCACTCCCATAATCATTCTCTTGTCCTTGTTGTACCTTTCAAATCTTAATTTCAAGTATTCCACCTGATCATCACCTGCTATCTTTCTAGCTCATGCCCTCTAGTATTAAAATTCTAACAACCCTTTGACCCCACCTGGGTCTATAATCTGAGAACTTCAACTCTCTGTTAAATTCTTCTTTCCATCACTAACTTAAATTTCATGGCCAACCATTACAAACACTGCCCTATATCCACTTGCAATTGCTTTGCACCTTTCTTGTTTTATTATAGTTGCACAGCTAAACAAAGATCCTGATTGTTTTTATCCTACTGCATGGTTGCACTCATGCAGCTGAACATGGCCTGAGGAAGGCATACAACCCATATTCATATCCTGTTCCTAAACCTCAAGTATGTCCTTAATGCTGTGTGAAAATAAAACCACCTCTCCATAATCTGTGCACTCTCACTTTTCCTCGATGATTATTTCATATTCTCTTGCCTTTCCTCAAACAACCAAACCACTTCCCCATACTCAATCTCAGCTCATAATCTTGCTTCCTAATTCATTGAGCTATTTGAAGCTACTGGAAAAAAAAAAAAACTTCCACAGGCTTCCAACATCCTATCAAAGAAAACTCTCCTTTCTCTGCCTTTCCCTTCTGTTTTTGTACTTTGAAACCATTTATAATTAGACTGGATAATTCTTTGTTGTGAGGTGCTGTCCTGTGGATCACAGGCTATTTAGCAGCATCTTTTGCCCCTGCCCATCTGATGTACATCTCCAGCGGTGAAAATCCAAAATATCTCCAGATATTATAAAATGTTATCAGGGGCAAAATTGCCTCTAGCTGAGAACCATGCCCTAGATAAACTTTCTATGCTCCTAGCTATTTGTGCATCAAAATCCATCACCTCTTGCCTACACAAATACTTGATCCCAATACCCACCCCCATTTACTCATATCATCAATTTTCTTTCTTTTGGTTCAGTCCTCTCAACAAAGGATATGATGCTGTTTCTTTCAACTCACAGAAACTAATAAGCAAACCCTCTCTTGAGCCAAGTTTCCCCAGCTATCACCCCATTTCTTTATACCACATTACAGTAAAGTCCTTAAAGAAGCTCCTGTTTGCTGTCTGTAATTCCTCTCTTCCTATTTTTTTCTTAAATCAACTCCTACCAGGTTTTTGCTTCACAATTCCACTGAAACTACTTGTAAAATTTACTACTGACTTCCATATTGCTAAATCCAATGGTCAATTCGTAGTCCTCATTTTATTTGACAAAACAACAAAATATAATATAGTTGATCCTTCCTCATTTCTTCTAACAATTTCTTCACTTGGCTTCCAGGATATCATGCTCTCCAGGTTTTCCTCTACCTAATGGCTATCTAGAAACCACAGGAGAGTGTTAGTAATGAAAAATTTAGAAAATGAGTACTGACTCATTGGGTGAGGAGACTGAAGTGAAGATAATAAACATGCAAGTTAATCATGCTAATGGATATTATAGTTAAGATTCTTTGCCTTTCACATATCTAGGGACAAACTGCCCTATGGTTGTCATTGTGTACTCCTGTATCCATATCTCTTGAAACAGCACTTGTAAATTAAAGGTGCTCAATATATATTTGTTGAAAAAAGGAATCTGACTTTGAATAAATTATCAACATGGGATTTAGTTACATAATTCTCCTGAAAACCTTGTTCAGAAACCGTTCCCTACCTTCTACTATTGGCATGAATATTATTTATTGTATGATTAAAGCAATATATATGTATTCTACTCACAAAAATTCCCCATAAAGTACATCCTGTTTTGTAAGTTACAGGTTCATACGTTCCAAAGGCTCCTTTAATTTGTCCCATATACAAAACCAATAGAAAGTACCACATGAAAATGTGAAAGATGCCAATCATAATCTGGATAGTCTGTGAGAAGAGAATTATGTTAGTACCGAAATAATGTAATTTAAAACACAATTCCAATAAGTGTTAACTATAAGAAGCATTTAACACCTTTACAAATACAAAAGTAAAACAGCAATGCACTTAATGATGTATTTCCTGGATTGGTTATCCCAGAAAAAAGGACCGATCAGGAAGGACTGAGATTTACCAAATAGGAATCAGTCATACTGAAAGCAACAGGCTGTTCAATAATAGTAGCTCTGGCCAATTCTCCTGTAAGTTAACAGTTTGATTCTATCACTGGATAGTCTCCCTACCTATCAAGTAATGGTATGAGAGAATATTGGGGTTACTTCAGAGAAAATGTGGTTACTAATCTACTATAATGCAGGAAGCCATAAATCCAACATTTTCTTGTACATTAGTAATTTATTAAAGATGAATCACTTTTTGAATTTTATAAAGGTTTGATTTATCTTTTCCTTCAAGGAGTATTTGGTATGATTTTTTTCACAAGTATGCTGGAGTGGGGCATAATCCAACACAGCAATACAGAAAATATCCAAAATGGACTCGCTTGAACTCGGTTTTCCCATTGGAAAGGGGAAGGATTTTGAATAGGGGAGAATTATTACTCAACTCTAATTTGTAAGAAGATAATTATAATCCCAGCAAATTTATTTCTGAATTTATATGTGAACTGATATTTCATATATTTAATCACATTTTTGATTACTCTTTAAAAATGACAGAGGACACATAAATTTTATTTTCATATAAACTTAAACAGAAAGCTATTTAATGTTTTAAGAGTTCCAGCTCTTTGCAAAGCAGGCAGTCTATGAAATATATAAGTGCAATTGGCTAACTTTAAAAAATACATTTTGGAGAAGTTTTGTTTTTTTTTTAAGAAAAAGTCTCTTTTTTGGTAACGATCATGCATTTTTATAGATTTAGAATTTAACGTTTCCCCTTGCATCAAATTTGCAAGAATGGTAATTTTCCAGAAATTCTTTGGATTTGCCTGGAGAAATATCTCCCACTAGACTGCAAAATCCCTTAGGGCCTGGAGTTTTTTTTTTTTTATTGTTTTATCACCAGCCTCTAATATGGTGCCCAGAATAGAGAAGGCATCCAGCAAATACCTCTTATATAAGCATACTGGTGTCAAGAATAGTGATTCCATGTGACTTTCCCAACTGTTAAAAAAGTAAGTGAGCTTGAAAAGTACTATCTCTTTTTAAATGATTGACTATTGTTTTATATAAAACCATGAGATAGCTAATTAGCCAATGCTTGTTAAGAACTGCCAGTGTGTGGAGAAGGACAAGATAGGTTTTCTTATTTAAAAATGATTCTTAATCTAGAATCAATATGAGTTCCAGGAGGTCAGACCCGCCTACCCCCTGCCCCCAGGGAAAAAAAATGCGAAGGATTGTGACATGTACATAATTCTGGAAAGAAGATTCAGAGTTTTCATTCTATGCCAAAATGGTCTGTGACCCCAAAGAGGTTAAGAACCTCTGCTGAACAGTCGTATAGGCGACTTAGATAATTGATCTATGCAACATTCAAATTCAGAAGAAAAGTTCACGAGTGGAAATGTTTTCTCCCCTTTGGATGTGAAAAAGCATGATACTCATAATTCCTTGGTGTTCATTAAGAAAGCTAAACTGTAACTTCACATGTTTATAACTTAATAGAAGAGACAAATTTATAATCATCCTACTGCATAAATGTAAGTGCAGTACTCTCTTTTTTCCTTTTAAACCTTACTTGGATTTCTCTATTATCCTGTGTGTGTTGGTTTAGTCTGTATCCCCATATCTCAGCACATGAAGGAACATGAGATCAGTCAAAATTTGTAGAAGACAATCAACATTTGAAAAAAAAAAAACTTTTACCCTTTTGATTTAACCAAGTCTGTCCCCCTTTAGATCCAATATATCCGTTAAAAAAATGAAATAGTTCATGATCTTAAATTTAGTTAGTCAAAGTGAAATCTTACCCCTAAAACGAGAGAATCTGCTGTAGAGATTTGTTAAAGAACACATGCCATACTGCCAGCATTTCCTCTAGATGATTTTCTCTTTAACCTTTGGTGATGTCTTTATTAGCAAACTTCTACAAAACAGTACAAAGCACATATACATTATTTTCTTAGAAGAAAATACGTAAGTTTGATCCTTTCCTTATTGTTCAGTCACCACCTCTCCAAATTCAGAAGCAATAGCCTTCTTTCTTCTTTCTAGGCCTTAATATTAGAGGCATCAACTTTCATCCATCTGTTCTGAATAACAGCCTTCATAACTGAAAAGTCTCTCTCTATGACTAAAACATATCGGCATTTTACAGCTATCATCTCTGAGTAGTAAATAGTGCCTACTGTTTACAGAGTATGATAGGGAGAGGAACACCGTAATCAGCCTCCGTGTCCCTTTATGGCTTCTGACACGAAAGCACTCCAGCAAAGCGACATCACTACCCTGCATTTTACTTGTTCAAGGTTCCAAGGAGTTTCGGGGGGCGCTCGTCCAGGACCCAGTCCGAGTTCTCACGCCAGCGCCCAGGCCTAGATGAAGAGGAAGATCCCGGCTGGCAACGCGCTCAGCGCCAGGTCCCCAGATCTCGCTGAGCTACCATCACAGGGATAGCCAGGAGCCCAGCACCCGGCCGGCTCTCAGGCTCCTCAGGGAGTGACGGTCTGCAATGGCAACGGTGTGCTCCTCTTGCGCCTGCGCACCCACTCAGGAACTGCCGGGGCGGAGGTAGTGCGTGTGCGCAGACTCACTAGGCTCCTGGCAGCCATGTGGTCAGACACCCGGTTAACTACGTTTTGGTGCCTCTAGGAACGGTTTCTGCAAACCTCTATTCTGAGATTGCCCATATTGGTGCATTTCTTATACACCCACCTGCTGCACAGTGACCAGGATCACTGAGGAGAAGTCCGCCCTTCACCTTTTCTGTCTTCAAAGAAAAATTTTGACCACAAGAGCACCTTTGGAAGGTGCACTTTCGAGTGAAGTGGCTAAATCAATGGCTCACTTTTTTTTTCTTTAAACATAAGTAACTGAAGAAGGAAATTAGTGATGAAAGTAATACTTAACAAGACACCAGAATGACTTTTTGATCCACTTGCTGAGGCGGGTTTACCTTTTAGGTGACACGTGGTGTTAGTTTTCTGTTTGAGGTGTAGACAGTAGTTAAAACAGTGTTTATGAAGAGGTGCTTTAGATGAGCAGTACAGACCATCCTCTTAGGCAGCTATCATGACTTACTGAGGCGTTTAAAGTACCTGGAGAACAGCCACTCAATGGCATTTCTCATTTATTCATGGAAAATTTAAATTGACATTGTGGAATAGTTAAAATTCCAGCTTGTAGTGTAAATTTTTAGTCAATGATAGCCAGTGAGTAAAACACGCAGAAAACAAGACAGATTTTTCTTTCATAAGGAAATTTTCTATGCTTTCAACACCTTTATTTGCAAAAAGCTAAATCATGAGTGTGTCTAAAAGCCATCAAGATCTTTTATAGCCTGAAAAATCAACTGTAAATTGAGAATCTTAATTTTTAGTCTCACAGCTAGCTTCCTTACATTGAGACTCCAAAGTCCCCTCAAATCAAAGGAAAAAAAAACAAAAAAAAAAAGCCCAGCCTCTTCTAAAGTCTTTACATTCTGTATTGGTCAGTATGTCATTGAAGGTAATAGTTTTATTCTTAAGTAATATACCACTTCAGTTTCTAGCATTATTATTATTTTGTGAGTTCCTTGTCTATGAGCAGACAGGGCTCCGATAATATTAAGCATTCTCTTTGCTGTAGAAAGAGGAACTGTGTCTTCAACCTCAGGGTTATGGATTTTTTAGAATCCATAGTAGTAAGAGCCAGTTCTGATGAGATGGACCGCTATTGTAACTTGCTGCCAAGACTGATTGATTATTTGTGAGAGAAGTGACATATTTCTTCATTTAAGCTTTGGCCAACAGTCTCTGGAAATTATCATGGATTTGGTCATTTTTTTGGACTGGGGCCAAAATGTGTTTTCAGTATAAACATAGGCAAAAATAGAAGAGTGAGCCAAACTATGAGACAGGCATGGTTCCTTGGTACATCTTATTTCTTCTGCTAATATCACAGATCAGTAAAAGCAACATTGATTTTCTCAGTACCTATAAACTGGATTTGGAAATTCAGAATTCACTTTAATTTTTTATCCTTTGGTTGTTAAAAACTGTATTCTTCAGCAATGAAGAGGCAATCAATCAGTCATGGTTTGACATCCAATATGACTTTTATTTCTCCATGTGGATCATATTGTTAATTTCTCTTGAATTAGTTCCCAGTATACAAAAGACATTAGTGAAAATGTGCTGGAACCACAATGCCTATATAATGTTGTTAAAACCATTGTTGGGGATTATTACAAGGACCCTGTTGGCTGTGAGCCCTGATAAAATAACTTGTCCAGATTTCTTTGAGGAATTTTATTTATTTATACACTAGAGAAAACAGATGTTTCCTCTGTGTAAACACTAGGGTGTTCTAGTAAAGTAAAATGGAAATCTATGCAAACTGGGGAAACTAAACAATTGAATTCATTGTAGAAATGCAATGTCCATACATATGTATATTTATGTAAGGTATAATCTATATGTATGTAGGTATATATATATATGCTGGTACACACACATATATATAGTAGATTTCAGTTTTCATATGTTTACTATATCACTTATATACTATTCTTTAGTAAAATGCTAATTAATAGCTTAAACTTATCTTGCTTTTTTTCCCTTTCATTTACTATGTTGAGGCAATATGTTAAGTACCTTATATTGCTTATTTAAACTTCACCACATGCCAATGATGTACATACCATTGTTATTTTCATTTTAACAGATGAGTATGCTAAGGTTTGGCGAAGTTAAGAGTCACACAGCTTATAAATGTTAAGAGTTGAGATTCTAACTCCAGCAGTGTAAGTCTAGCTCCAGAATTTGTAGCCCATCCTCCTACCCACTTTTCTTCCTCTAAGTCTCCTTCAGAAAGAGCTCTATGTTGTGACTGTCATGGAATTGCATAAAGAATATTGTTGAAGCAATCACAAGATCTAGGGATGGTTTCCAGCTCCAGTTCTGGCTGTGTGTACTCCACTCCTCTACTCTTTGAATTCATTTCTCATCTGTAAAATTAGGGTCTTGAAGTACACATTGTAGCATTGTATAAATATATGAAATGACATTTGGCCTAAAAGTCCATACCATATCCTTAAGCGTTGCCAAATACTTGGGAGAGTAGGAAGAGTTGTGAAATATAAAGTGAAATTGTGAGTGAGACCTAAATGAAATAGAGACCCCTGTGGTGTGTGTGTGGAGAAAGAGTTTGAATGAAGCCCGTTGAGCACTGCTAGGCTGCTAGAATTTAGTAACAGCAATTTGTTTATAAGAGTGAAACCAGAGAACTGAGGGAGAGGAGGAGAGCTAGGAGAAAAGAGAGAACAGTTATAAATTATAAATTTGCTTGGTTTGTTTTAAATGCAAAATGAAGAGAAAAAGGCAGAAAGCAGCAAGTTTTAGGAAAACACTGATATCCAAGGCCTCTCCAGCCTGTGGGAATTAGCAAGACATGTTAGCCTTATGGCCCAGGTGGCCTGGTTTCCACCCCCATCTGTTGAAGAATGACCCCACTTATCTGCAAATCCCAATTTCCAGAGCATTTCTGGGAGTCCCCAGAATTTTCACATTTGTTCTCCAGCAGGCATTGGCTGAGCTGTTGCTGAGTATATGGGGCAGCCACTTTCCAGATACACTGTAGTCTTCTCAGGCCTTGCTGCAGCTTCTCTGGGAGAAGGCTGCCTTACCCCAGATGCTGTCTCCCAGGGCTCCCCAAGCATCAGAGCCCTGGAGGTGTTCAAACAGCCTTGCATCATCTTCAGTCTTCCTTACAGAGAAGGAGCCTGGTTATAGTCCATGCACAAGTGAGGAGCACAGCCCTTTCTCCATAGGGATTAGACCTGGTCACCTAGGTGAGGCTGGCTACTGGATTCTGATCTTTCAGCTTGAGTATCAGATACCTGAACTCAAAATTTCTGTGGCATATTTTCCTTGATGCAAATCACCCCTGCAAATAGATGCCTAGGGACTCTGCACCCCACCCCCAGTTGTCCAAACTCAGGGTAGGTTTGGCCAGCATCTGCTCTGTGGGAAAAGGGGACAATTGTGATTGATTATTAGAGGGTTGTGACAAATGCAAAGATGTTCTGGGATAGAGAGCTTTCAGAAATTTTGTTTTGGCCAGGCATGAATCAATGACACATGTTTATCTAAGATATATTTATAGATTCTTGAAAGATTATTCTTGAGCCCATGTGTTTCATGATGAATGATCGACCGACCTTCTGTAAAGCCTTAGAATCTAGAATTAGAAGACACCCTAGAGGCCTAGAGATCTAATAATGATCTGTGCTCTTCTGAGGACGGAAGAGACTAAATATAGGAAGTACTTGAGATGTGTGTGTAATGTGTATGTGTGTGTGTAGCTTAAGTTATATTTCGTAGGCAAAGTCTCTGTATGCAAATCCAGCGTTAATTGTGCATGAAAAAAGCATGTGTTCGCTGACATCTAGATAAATCCTACTCCATTTCATTTTATATTACCCTACATGAAAAAATATGTAAAGCCTAAATTTGATGGAATAGCAGAGTTTTCATCACAAAGTAGTAGTGTAATACTTCTTTTTAAGCAAATGAATGAAAAAAATGAACATTTAAAAAAGATTTTCCAGAATGAAAATACCATAAGGGCTTTAAATAATACCACAGCAGGCATGTGACCTCTATGTTGCAATATCATATTTCTTTTTTTTTCTTTCTTCTGTACATCTGCTCATTTATTTTATTTTTTTATTTTTATTTTTTTAGTATTTATTGATCATTCTTGGGTGTTTCTGGCAGAGGGGGATTTGGCAGGGTCATAGGACAATAGTGGAGGGAAGGTCAGCAGATAAACATGTGAACAAAGGTCTCTGGTTTTCCTAGGCAGAGGGCCCTGCCGCCTTCCGCAGTGTTTGTGTCCCTGGGTATTTGAGATTAGGGAGTGGTGATGACTCTTAAGGAGCATGCTGCCTTCAAGCATCTGTTTAACAAAGCACATCTTGCACCGCCCTTAATCCATTGAACCCTGAGTGGACACAGCACATGTTTCAGAGAGCACCGGGTTGGGGGTAAGGTCATAGATTAACAGCATCCCAAGGCAGAAGAATTTTTCTTAGTACAGAACACAATGGAGTCTCCTATGTCTACTTCTTTCTACACAGACACAGTAACAATCTGATCTCTCTTTCTTTTCCCCACATTTCCCCCTTTTCTATTTGACAAAACCGCCATCGTCATCATGGCCCGTTCTCAATGAGCTGTTGGTACACCTCCCAGACGGGGTGGCGGCTGGGCAGAGGGGCTCCTCACTTCCCAGACGGGGCGGCCAGGCAGAGGCGCCCCCCAACCTCCCAGATGGGGCGGCGGCCGGACGGGGGCTGGCCCCCACCTCCCAGACAGGGCGGCTGACCGGGCGGGGGTTGCCCCCCACCTCCGGACGGGGCGGCTGGCCGGGCAGGGGCTGCCCCCCACCTCCCAGATGGGGCAGCTGCCGGGCAGAGATGCTCCTCACTTCCCAGACGGGGCAGCTGCCAGGCGGAGGGGCTCCTCACTTCCCAGATGGGGTGGCTGCTGGGCCGAGGGGCTCCTCACTTCTCAGACGGGGCGGCCGGTCAGAGACGCTCCTCACCTCCCAGATGGGGTGGCGGTGGGGCAGAGACACTCCTCAGTTCCCAGACGGGGTCGCAGCCGGGCAGAGGCGCTCTTCACATCTCAGACGGGGCGGCGGGGCAGAGGTGCTCCCCACATCCCAGACGATGGGCGGCCGGGCAGAGATGCTCCTCACTTCCTAGACGGGATGGTGGCCGGGAAGAGGTGCTCCTCACTTCCCAGACTGGGCAGCCGGGCAGAGGGGCTCCTCACATCCCAGATGATGGGCGGCCAGGCAGAGACACTCCTCACTTCCTAGACGGGGTGGCAGCCGGGCAGAGGCTGCCATCTCAGCACTTTGGGAGGCCAAGGCAGGCAGCTGGGAGGTGGAGGTTGTAGCGAGCCGAGATCACGCCACTGCACACCAGCCTGGGCAGCATTGAGCACTGAGTGAGCGAGACTCTGTCTACAATCCTGGCACCTCGGGAGGCCGAGGCTGGCAGATCACTCCCGGTCAGGAGCTGGAGACCAGACCGGCCAACACGGCGAAACCCGGTCTCCACCAAAAAATACAAAAACCAGTCAGACGTGGCGGCACATGCCTGCAATCCCAGGCACTTGGCAGGCTGAGGCAGGAGAATCAGGCAGGGAGGTGGCAGTGAGTCGAGATGGTGGCAGTACAGTCCAGCCTCGGCTGGGCATGAGGGAGGGGGAGGGGGAGGGAGAGGGAGAGGGCAATATCATATTTCTATTCCAGTCACCTTCTAGGGTCTCAGATCACAGGCCCAGCTGGAGAAATTTGTTCATAGTATAAATTTGCTAAAACCCCCTCAAATGTACCCTCAGTATAGCTTGGTAATCCTCTGTTTCTCTGATCAGTTTATTCTCCGTTTCCATGACTTTTCCCACATTGAAAAAATATGCACATTAGTGGAGCCACGCAGTTCAAACTCATGTTGTTTAAGTGTCAACTGTATTATTATGTTACTAAATCTCCTCTCTCAGAGAATAAGGCAATGTCTTCCAAATTTATTACAAGCTTACTATAGAGAAACATTTCTGTTTGTTTTGGCATTACAAGTGTCTGATTCTATCCAAGACCATAAGAATAGTGGGAATAATGGTTAGGGCAACTGCCCGGACCTGGGAAACATACTGCCTGGGTTCAAATCCATGCTTCACCATTTGCTAGCTACATATCTTAGGACAAGATTTTTAACTTTTCTGCCAAAGTTTTTTCATCTGAAAATGATCCACCTGCCTCACAGGTGGTTGTCATGAGCATTGAAACAGTGCTTGGAACGTGAGTGGTACAAAGAATGGGCTAAATATATGCTGTTATTATTACTATTATTAAAGCAATTTGAAAAATAGAATATATTTGATAGAAATTTACTTAAAAAATGAACTTTGCTGGAAATGCTTCTGTTCCCTAAAGTAAGTGACTTTTATATTTGTTTATTTTACGTGTATAGATATACAATATACCATCCCCTCCCCCACATTTTGAGGCACCATTTATTTTCCAGACCCTTAGACCATGAAATCTTTGTCTTCACTTTTGCTGAGCTGTTGAGCTTTATGGTGAAGGACACAGCATTTCCAATCACCCAGTTGCTGAATAGTTGGGACCTAGGCAGACCAATGACGTTGAAATTATGTGACTCTTGCCTGACATAATACATCTGCTTTCCCAGATGCAAAAATTCTGTTCTTCTAATCTTCCTCTTCCCTGATTTTGATTTCTCTGCCTACTCTTTTTGTTATATTTTTCCCTTCTGGCTTCTTTAATAATATTAAAATTTCAAAAAGGGACAATACTTTGCTATTTTTAAACCATATTCATATAACATTATCTCATTTGATTGTCACGACAGCTCCCGGAGAAAAGGCAGATTTCTCCATTTATGATCAATCTGTCTTTTTTCTTTATTATTGCTTTTATTATTACTATTATTCCTTCCTTATCCAGTTTAGATTCCACAGTCCATCATTTAAATAATATTTTTTACAATGTCCTAAGCTTTCTTGCTCTTCTGCTATTTTGTCATCTCCTCTAGCAAAATCTTAACCCTGGAAAAAATCAAATAGTTTCCTGGATCCGTAGTTTGCCTGGATCTAGCAGCAAGGCCTTGCAGAAGCATTTGTCCATACTCTGAATTTGTTACCACATCCTCAAATGTGCCTTCTGTACCGCTTGGCAATCCTGTTTCTCCGACCACTTTATTCTCCAGTTCCATGACTTTTCCCTTGTTACCATTCTGTTCAACATTCTGACTCTACCTGTGCCCTTACCTTAGGCATGACATCACTACTGCTTTGACAGGGATGACATGAGCCATCACATCGGATCCTCACTGCCACTATTGCAAAGCTGTGGATATCTGTGATAATTATACCTTTCTATTTTGTAGAGAAACTGCCCTTTTTCATGACTTAGGTGATGTTTTCCATCTGTGCTTTTGATTTCTTGAAACTTACACTGTCATTCATCCCTTCTGTCTTACCTTGATTGTTCTAATTGGCTTATAAATGTGCCAACAATTCAAAAACAAAAAGCCAAAACTCAAATGAAAACCCCTCAATGCAGCATCCCTGTCTGACTGTTGTCCCATTGCAGGTGAGTTTAATGTACATGAAAATACTCTGTAAATAGCAAAATTTTGTAGATGATAGTTAAGAGGCAAGATGTTTGATGATATTAATGTATAGAATAATATGACCTCCAACAAGGGCAATTGGACACTTGCTTTCTGAACAGAAAGATGAGGAGGAGATGAGTTAGGGAACTCCAGTGACTGGACACCTAGAAAAATCATCATCAAAGGTTTATCAATCTTCTTGGAGTATAGATCAGATCTACTGCTCTACAACCAATATCAAATCAAAATTAATTTTTTAAACATACTGAAAAAGGCTTTTGTTTCTAATGACATTTTATTAAGGAAAAAGTAATATGAACAGAAACATTTCTAACTTTAAGAGAGTTGCAGAATCATTTTTCAGTCCTCTGATCCTTCACCTTTGCCAGCATGTAGTAGTGGTAATGTAGGAAGAGACAGTGAAGGGAGATACAGCCATCATTAGCGACCAACCTAAAAACAAATCTCAAACACAGTTTTTAAAGACTAGAAATCATTGTAGACAATAAAAGACATCTTCTTAAGAAGTTTTTGCAAGTAGTTTTTCTCCATGAGATTAGACTGATACCCCTTTTTCTTTTACTATTTAGGGGCATTAGCTGAGTAGTTGTTGCATCTGGGAGGAGCTGAAGAAGACGCTGGTGTCACAGGGTTGCTTTCATACATATTTGGAATAACCAGGACAGACTGGAAAGAATGAATAAAAACAAGCAATATGGTTACTACAATCCTATGCAATTTCCCCTGGTACCATCAGAGTGAAGGACAAAGAGCATTCTGGTAAGCCGATAGTAGGATTTAGCAGACACAAGTCTGTATTTCTCCAGGGCATTTTCAGATTATTTTACAAAGAAGAGACCCAACTCACCATATTGGTTGTGGTGTTTGCTTGGTTGGCAAAATGGGCTGTGGCACAAGCTACGAAGAACTCCAAGAGGGAGAAGATCATCAGCGTGGCTGAAATGCCTTTTCCAGAAAGCTGAAATCATAAATAAATAGTGAAATTTTGGCTAATCAGGAGGGCCTCACGTGGGCTTCAAAAAGTTATTGACTCATCAAATGTGCTATTGCTTATACTCAACTCGCTCCATGCTTATTCTTCCAGTATCATCAAATGCTTGTTCCAGAGGAGTGTGAATTTATTTTGGATTTTCTTTAAAATGCCAGAAGTCTTTCCTTTTGGTAAGTAGGCTATTTTGTTTAGAAATATTAGAAAGAAGGTAGTTTTTTTCCTTTGTGATGGCCTCGTTGTTTTTTTTAATACAAATGTTACTACTCATTAAAAAAGTCAAGCAATACAGAAACCAACGGATCATTCCAAATGCCAGTGTTTAGAAATAACCAAAATTAATGTTTGATGACTATTATCCTAGCTCTCTGTGTACAGGGAAAAGGCAGAAGAATGGATGTGTGGAAAGATGCCGTGAGAGGGAAAAAAGAGAATAACCAAGAGAGAGGAGCATCATTCTATAAGAATGGAATCATGTTATTTCTATTTTAAATAAAAGTATTAAGCTCACTTGAACTCTATACAGGCTTTCTATTTGATCAGGTACAGTGTAGGTGAATTTTCCTTCATTGACACTTCTGTTTATTTGGCTCCCATTTGTCTTCCTTGCTTCCATTACAACTTGAGCCCTAGCGGTTGTTTTATATCCATGTTTCTGAATGTGAACATATATAGCTGTTGCAGGGAGAGAGATAGCTTAGCTGGCTTCGAGCACAGTTCTTGCTAGCGAGGATGGACTTCACTTTTTCTGTCTTCTGAGAGCCTGCTAAATGCTTAGTATGGAGGCCTGCTCCTTGGCTGGAGGTTTATTCCTGTGCATTCCTGTGCATTTCTGCTCATTCCCTGCTGGTAGTAGGGTACCATGCAGGGTATGGGAAGGTGTTGCCCTTTCTTCTGTCTCCTGAGGTCCTGGGTACTACTCATGGTCTTGTACCATACAGGATTTGCTTTATCCTTTCACAGAATTGACTGCTCTCCACCCCAGCCTTCTCAGCTACAGACTGGAGAGTGTTAGTGAGACTTCTCAGTATTTTTTTTTGGCTTCCCTTCTTTCCTCAGTTTTGTTTGTAGGGAAACAAGAGCCAGGTCTAAAAGCTGTGCTTTTTTTCAGCTTTGAGTAGCATCAGAATGATTTGTTTCTCTACTTGGATGCCAGTTTGAAAGCTGTTTTTTTTTGAATAGTTTTTGTTCTTTTGTTTGGTATTTTGGAGGGTGAATTTTGTTCTTGCTTCACTCTGCCTTATTTACCGAGAAGCTTTCTCATCTATTTTTGCCTCCTGATACGGTTTGGCTCTGTGTCCCCACCCAAATCTCATCTTGTAGCTCCCATAATTCCCACTTGTTGTGGGAGGAACCTGGTGGGAGATGATTGAATTATGGGGTGGGTCTTTCCCATGCTGTTCTTGTGACAGTGAATGGGTCTCATGAGATCTGATGGTTTTAAAAAACAGGAGTTGCCCTGCACAAGCTCTATTTTTTTTGCCTGCCCCCATCCATATAAGATGTGACTTGCTCCTCCTTGCCTTCTGCCATGATTGTGAGGCCTCCCCAGCCATGTGGAACTGTAAGCTCATTAAACCCCTTTTTCTTCTCAGTCTTTGGTATTTCTTTATCAGCAGTGTGAAAACAAACTAATACACCTTCTTATATAAGCTTTTCCTTACACTGCAAACAGTGTTGTCCTTTCCAAGCACAAAAGTGATCATTCAAATTCCCGGCCTAAAACTCTCCTATGTTTTTAACAAAGGATTGTCTCAGAGCTTGGTGGAAAAAGAGTGTGCCAGCAATTCAAACTACTGACACTTCAAAGAACATACTCTAGGGGACACGCATCTGATGGGAGTGCCTAGACAACTTTCAGATTATACCAATGGTTGGAGTCAGGATTTCAGAACCCTTTAGTTGAGAAGCAGATGGCTTCATAAGCCTGCCACTCCGAGATCCAGTGAAATAGAATTACTTACACAGTATTGAGTGAACTGATAAAGGAAATGTTATTGTGGTTATTTGTTCAAAATATTGTGATATTGTCTTAATGTTAATATGTTCTAGATAGATAAGGAAGTCATTCTGTGTCTTTCTTAAGATATATGTAGCCCACAGTAATTTAATAAACTCTGCTTTTTGTAAACTGAAAAGCAAAAGCAAAACCAACCCCAACATAAAATAAAATGAAACCAATAAAACCACTCTTCTGTGGTTTTCCATTGCTCACAGAATGAAGACCAAAATGGTTAATGTGGCCATTGAGGTAGGATGACAGCTTCCAGCCCAACCTCATTTTATACCATGTTGCTCCATTCCTTATAGATGGTAAGCATTCCTGCCCTTGGGCCACCCATTTCCTCTTAAGGTCAGAGTCCATGCTTGGCTATATAAGGCTAATGAATGTGTGATTGTGTTTTGAGCACATTCAGAGATACGTGCTTCATTTTGCAATTGCTTCATTCCTTGGGTTTCTCTGTAAAAATCAGATGTTCTTATCCCTGTCATTTCCCTCTCACTTCATACTTTACTCTGAAGTTTAACAAAAAACACTCAATAGCTTGACTACCTTATTTATATAGAATTTCAAATGTTGGGAAAATAATTTTTGGACAATTTTAGAAGCCATGGAGGCCTATCCAAACCCTTCCCCATTGTTCATGTGATTAACAGTGAGATGGGCCAATAAAGGATGTCCTTTAAGCCTCGGTCTATCTGTAGAGGTAACCCTCTCACTTTATTCTATAGTCCTAGAGATCATATGACTAGGGGTGGGGCTAGAATAGAAAAAACATTTTCCACTAGAGCTGGTATACGGTATTAAGAAATAAAACATAGACCCACTTTACGGGACTGAAAATAGAGCAGGCACATGGTGGAGTATGGGATACTTACCACGGCCCAGTAGTCTTGGCCAGCTACCCCATTGATGCACATATCCACCAGCAGCAGAATCACTCCAATGAAGGCCAAGATAGAACTAACAATGTTCATTCCCAGGCTGCCTTTCACCTAATGGAGATGGCAGGAAAAAATCAATTATATACAGGATCACTGAAGTTAAGTGAGATAAGAATCAATCAAATTTCATGGTTCTTAATTTTTGAACTTTCAAAACAATTTTTCAAGTTGAAATTATTCTGTTTTCTGCCCTTCTGGGTAATTACCATAAACATTATTCTGTATGCAGCCTAGATGTAGGGTACTTCTAAAAAGCTGTAGAAAAATGTAAATCATATAAAGCAGGCACTCATCTATTGGATTTTACTAAAAGCTTCATGCACAATAACAACTATATTTTCTTTATAAAAAAATGAAAAAACAAACTTCTAATGAGCATTTTTCTGTGTCAGACACTGTGTTAAATTATTTAAATTATCTCAACTCTTACAGCCTTTGAATGAGGTAGTACGATAGCATATGATTTTATAGATGGGAAAGTATTTAGACACAACATGTTTGCTGAAAAATTTAGGAATTAATGAAAACCCTAAGTCTCTCTGGGGACTAAATATGAACCCCCAAATTTAGAAGGAGAAAATTTAGGCTTTTGTGGGCAGAGGTGTATGGGCGACTACAAAACTTTCCCCAGTTTCTACAATAGGATTTTAACATGCAGAAGAATAATTGTGAAACCAAGTCCGCAGGTGACTTGCTAGGGGTGGCACAGTCGAGTTCTTTAGAATGTGCTTGTGCTGCAGCGTGCCTTAGAGCCTCCTGAAGTTCTCTAAAAGCTCTTAGAAAAATTGTCTTAGGTATGTGTCAGTGGCTGTCTCCTCTAAGAGGTGGAATCTATGCTTCGACAATCTCAATTAGACGGAAGGATCCTTAAAAGATGCAGAGAAAGGGTGCTTTATTTTGTTTTTGGACTGCAACAGGAGTGGTTAATCAGAATTAGGCTTATTTTATTTTAATTTGATTTAATTATTTTATTCTTCTTTTGTCTGCAAGAGCATGAGCTACATGATTCTGTGTTCCTCTTTCCCCGTTCTTCTTTCTTGTACTGGATTACATATAATCTTGACACCACCTCTGCTCTAGTTGACTCTAGTTCTTGATAAATCACTTTCTTTTTCCTGGTTCAATAGTAGACCACGAAATTGGAATAGGTGGGGTGCTGTGACCGACAGAGCTCAAAGTCCTGTCTTACTCATCATTTTTATAAACTCTTCTTACAGAACAAGCTAGACTCATTTAATGGCAATTTAAAGAATTGTAAAACACACAACCTGTGTAAGAGTAGGAAATAGCACAAATAAAAAAATAAAAATACAAGACAGAGCTGAGAAGTGGCAAATGAACAGTAGAGACTTGGTAACTGATGTGTCTAGTATGTATTTCCTGGCTCCTGGATTCTCCTTTGGACTTCCCATAATAGAGTGTGACCAGACTGAACCAGGGAGCTTTTAGGTTAAAGCTTAAACAACCCTGATTTTTACTACTTCTCACCTTTGTGAATTCAAGAGTCAGGATATGGAGCTCTGCCATTTCTTAGTGGCAAACTGTGTGGACCATTTTCTCACCCCAGCGCTCAGACCATAAGGCAACCAATAGATTTTTTTTGGGAAAGGTGCTCCCTTTTGCATTTCCCAAATCCAGCTTTTCAATTTTCCTCCCCAATATGTTAAGCTAATCTTTAAAGGGGTTCAAAAAGTAGAGACAGTCTAACTTACCAGACAACGGGAAAGCTCCTTGGATGCTGACACAGAGAGAGAGCCAGAGATAATAAACTGTGGAAATGGACAAATTTATTTGTGAAATGGGTTAACTGGTTGTGCTTGGGAATTTCTCTTTATATGAAAGGTTGGTCTATTTATGTTCATCTAGTTTCCTTCTCAAAATTTTCTCTCGCACTTCTGAATTTTCTGGAGTAACTCTCAGTCATATGTCCTTGACTTCTTTTTTATTTTCTTTTCCTTAATTTCTGGCCTATGAAGAACTCACAATGTTTAAGCATTCCTTGTTCTGAGGCTTACTGCTCCATCCCTTCTCATAATCAATTGCATTTTTTTAATTAAAAAATTTTTTTAGAGATTGAGTCTCACTATATTGCCCAGGCTGGCCTCCATCTCTTGAACTCAAGCAATTCCCTGGCCTCAGCCTCCCAAGTAGCTGGGACTACAATCACACACCACTATGCCTGGCTTACTTGCATATTTTTAATCATGTTTCCAATCACCTTTTCTTTTCTTTCTCTCTCCACCCAATACATACATTTCCATCTCAAATGTAGTAGGATATCAAAACTTTGGCTTGCTGATTACATGATTAAATTTTAAAGAATGGAATAAGCTCCTAGGTAAAATGGCGAAAGAGTTCCCGATTTTTTCATGCTCATTCAGAGCTGTTAATTTTTCTAAATTCTCCAGCCCTCATTCAGAGCTGTTAATTTTTCTAAATTCTCCAGCCCTCAGATGTAGGGCTTTATCAAGAAATGAGTTGTGAATTGGCTGGAGATAGCAATACTTTATAAACCAAGAGGGAATACTTTATAAACCAAGAAGGACTGGTGTTCTAGCAATCTACTCACAGAAAGGCCACCCCAGAATGGGTATCCACCAATAACAGCAGTAGAGGCAAAACCTAATACTTCTCTAAAAGAGAAGGATATTAAACACAAAACAATTCCAAAACCAATGTGCATCAATCCAACCATGATCTGGATCACCTGAAAAAAGAAAACAGCCATTTAAAATTACTTCTTCACTTTCAGACGTGTGAAACATTACTGTCATTGCTGCCCCTGCTTATTTATTGTCAATTTTGCTGAGATCCATCGTTGTCATTCAGGCACACATCTGAAGCAGGAGGTGGGTCATGAAGATTCTGACATATACTAGAATAACTGGAGTGCAAGGCCCTTAGTGAAACGCCCTGTTTTGAGGTATTTGGAGAATTTACTGGGGTGGCCCAAGAAGAATTCTTCAGAAAGTACAGCTGCTTAATCATGCATTAGCATCTCTGAGGGCCTCTAAAAGACTATTAGAAAAACAATACTTTAACTGTGATGTCAGTAGCTGCTTTTTCAGATGGATCAGTTCTCTGCTTGGGTCATCCCAGTTACGGGTAAAGGAATTGGTGAAGATAAAACCATTTATTAGGCATGAATTATGTGCTTGGTCATGTTCTGAACACTTTACATTTATTGTTTCATGTAATCCTCCTACAACTGGATTGAGTCCCAGAGACATAAAGATATCAGGTATCCAAGGTCACACAATTCCTAAGAGGCAGATCTGGGAATTTACTGCAGCACATTGACTGCTGAGCCTGTCTGAATTATTCGGTACTGTCTTCCCCCATGCTCAGCTCTGCTCTACCTTTTCCATGAAGTCTTCTTGATTACACCAAATTAATCTTTTTTCTTTCTTTCTGAATTTCAGTTGCATCTCATGACATAAAACACACCTTATTACTTGATTTTGGATTCATTTATATTGTTTTTTTTTTTGTTTTTTTTTGGTTTTTTTTTGAGACAGAGTCTTGCTCTATTGCCCAGGCTGGAGTGCAGTGGCATGATCTCGGCTCACTGCAAGCTCCGCCTCCCGGGTTCACACCATTCTCCTGCCTCACCCTCCCGAGTAGCTAGGACTACAGGCTCCCGCCACCATGCCTGGCTAATTTCTTTTTGTATTTTTAGTAGAGACGGGGTTTCACGGGTTAGCCAGGAAGGTCTGGATCTTCTGACCTCTTGATCTGCCCGCCTTGGCCTCCCAAAGTGTATATTGTCCTTTTTTAAAAAGTTGCAGGTATGCAATCATTTTCTTACCAATCATTCTTCTTATCAATCATATATTACTAAAAGTAAGGTATACATCTTTTACCTCCTTGTACCTCTTATTGAACCTTCCTTCATTGTAAATAAAGATAGATTTCTGAGGAATAATCATTTCTAGATTGGTCCAAAACTTGATTGTAGATTTGTAATTTATTTTTCCCCATGGTTACATCTTATCTATCCAGGGAGACTGCAAATACAAAGACTGCTGTATTTATTTCTTCAATAAATAGCTACTGAACACAAGTAAATCGAATTAAAATTAGAAAAAAACCCAGTTTCATAAACAATGCTAAAAGTTTCTTGAGACATCAATAAAAACCATGAACCTTTCTCCCTGAAAAATTATTCTTGCACATTCATACACACACATACCATACTTTTGCTTATAGCTTCAGAGAGATGATGGGCCACGTTTAGCCTATCTCACTTAAAGAACTCCTGTATTAGACTTTATATTTGGTTTTTACAACTGTTCTTTAGAGCAGCAATTCAGCCGTCTGGTCACAAACTTCCCATTCTCATCCTTGCTGTCACCTTGATGAGGGGCAGTTAGATCTGGATTTGTACTGGCCCTCATTTCTCCTCCTACAGCCCTGGCTGTACCATCTACTGATCAAAATTGCCTATAGGACAGACTTAAAAATTTGGACATACAATTTGTCTGCATTTTTGGCCACAGAAGCACTTTAAGGTCTGAGTTGACTGGTACAGGTGTGCCAAGTCCTGCCACCTGTGGCCCCTGCACTGTCATGATGCCCAGGGCCTGCTGATGGCATAGAAATAACAAATCTTCAGAGAGAGGAAGTAGCTTCTGCCAACTGGAGATTTTGAAAACAAAACTTCACATTCTTTTAAAGTATTTTTATCACACGCCTCTTCGGTGCCGGGCAGCATGCTTCAGTGGTTCCTCATCCACCCAGTCAAAGCCAAAGCCTTCTGCTCTGCAGGCCTCACCACCTGTGGCCTCTGCCACTCATCTGCCCTCCTGACAACTGCCCCCTCCCTCACTCATTCTGTTCTATTTTATTGGCCTCCTCCCGGTTCTTCAAATACCTCAAAGACATTTTCATCTAAAGACTTTTACACTGGTTGTTTTCTCTTTCCCTAATATCTGCAGGGCTCACTCCTAACTTCAGGTTTTTGCTCAAATGTCATGTTCTAAGGAAAGCCCATTCTGACCACCTTGAAATTGCTGCCTCCTCACTGCCTAGTACTTTTTAGCCCTTTTACACTTCTTTGTTTTGTCTATATCATTCGACACCTTCTAACACACTAAGTACTTTACTTCCTTATTATGTATACAGTCTGATTTCCCCCTCTAGGGCGTAAGTTCTGTGAGGGCAGAGATTGCACCTCCTTTGTGCTTAATGATATTCCAAGCACCTGTGTGGGGCTGGCTGTATGGGGTGTTAGTTTGTCCCATTGGCTTATTAGGAGCAGGGAATTTCCTCTATCTGGGAGGAGGAGGATCAGAAGGGCCACCTCCACAGCTTAGTAAATAGGCTGCTGCAGGAGAACTTATGCTCATTTTTACTTCCCTAAAACATCACAACTTGAAATACATAGTAAGATGGCTAGAAGAGTTTCTGGCACATAATGAGCATTCATTTACGGAATGCTCCAGCAGAGCATTTTGAGCTATTCACAGGGAGAGACTTAATATAATTTGGTGGAATTGTGCTAGCGGGATGAATGATGTATTTGGAAAGCACGGAGAAGGGACTAACAATTCTACCTAGGCAGGTGGAATTTTCTTACAAGTAGGGCATTTTTGTTTTTACAATGCCTACAGAAACAAGGCAGTCAGTTCAGAGTCTCCTTTGTAGAAGTAAGGTGACAGTTAAACTGTAGCATCTCTAAGGGTATTGGTGAAAGAGGCATAGCAGATGGAATGTCCCCCAATTCTTTCACACTCAGCCTTTCCCAGACTGCCCATTTGTAGTTTCCTTTTCTGGGGGCAGCCATCATTGTTCATTGTTATGTAAATTCACCTTTATGCAAAAACCAGACTTGTAACTAATCCAGAGATGGGATTGAGATTGTCCAAAAAGTCCTTTGAAGAAATGAGATCAAGCTAGATGTAACAGTGCTTCTGTCACGTCAATATTACCAAATTCTCCAGCTAGGGAGGCTCCTCTGTGTCTTGTTATATTTTTGCTTGATCTAAAATGAAATGAACTCAAGGGAAAGTCTATAGGCAGACTAAATATTTCTGTCTAAAAGAGATAATTTCAGAATAACGTTCAGAACTTTTTAGCAATTGGATGATACTCTCCTATAACTTATAAGAAGACCTTGCAAATGTGAAATTAAAATTCTGGTAGTAAATAGACTTACCCCTAGTGCCTTTGCTTCTTCTTTAAAGTTCATTACTGCTGTTCCCACACTTGGATTTATCATTTGTATATTTCCTTGACCCGGTTGACTGCTAGCAAAGATTCCCGGAGATGTGATGCCGTAGGGCTGAGCACGCTGAGCACCCTGAGCTTGGTTTTCTAAGTTGATTGAACCCAGAGGCTGTTGAAATCCAGGAGCCATAAAGCTGCTTGGTGGGTAAGGGTTGGGTATGGTTTCATTTACTTCAGCATGGCTTGTTGGCTTGGATGACATCATTATGTCCTAAGTATCACAAAACATACAAAAGTGATACGTTTATCCAGAAAAGAAACTAAAGAAAATCTTACCAAATGTCAAATGTCAATTATCTATGCAAATGGAGAGAACAAGTGAGCAGATAATGGGCCATAACAACTGATAGAAACATGATTCTCATAAGTCCCCAACCCCCACGCCAAGGACTGGTACCTGTCTGTGGTCTGTTGGAAACCTGGCTGCACTACATGAGGTAAGCAGCAGGCAAGCATTACTGCCTGAGCTCTGCCTCCTATCAGACCAGCATGGCATTGGATTCTCATAGCAGCATGAACCCTACTGTGAACTGCACATGTTGGGGATCTAGGTTGCATGCTCCTTATGAGACTCTAATTCCTGATGACCTGAGGTGGAATAGTTTCATCCTGAAACCATCCCTCATTAGAGAGATGCTATGCTGCCAACTGTGAAGTTGGAGGAAGGCGTCCATGAACCAAGGTGTATGGGTCGCCTCTAGAAGCTGGATGAAACAAGGAAACAGATTCTTCCCTAGAGTCTCCAGGAAGGAACATGACTCTGCTGACACCTTGAACTTAGTCTAGTGAGCTGGTATTGGAATTCTGACCTACAGAACTGTCAGATAAAAAAATTATATTGTTTTAAGCCACTACATTTGTGGTAGTTTGTTATATCAACAAATAGAAAACTAATACAGGGGCCAAGTAATACAATACTTGTATGGCAAGGAGGGCAGTCCAAGATTAAAATTGTTTGCCAGTAATTGGGAAACTAGATAGTTCACATATGCCCACTTAAGATGATTCTTCTGTTCTTTAGGAAAAATGCTTTTATTCATTTCTGTCCTTCTGAAAGCTTAGAGCATCTCAGGCCCCATGTAGGCAAGGGAAATTTTGTTGGAAATAAGCCAGTACAACTGAATATGGACAACAATGACTATTAATTCTTGAAAAAAATTATGACACTTAAAAAATTTGTCTTTAGCCTTAGATTCCTTTTTTTGAGGTCTTCAAAAGCACAACAATTTTCTTGTGCTTATGAATATCAAGAAAGTTAGAGTGATGAATGTCTCATTCTTGGTATGAAGTATGAATACTATGAATAACCTATTGGTACAATGTATCACTGGTATCTAACAAGGACACATATGCAGACCCTGTGCTCATAGAATCCAGAAATTTTAGGGTAGAAAAGACCCTTTCCATTTATCCTGTCTCATTCCCCTTGATTTACAGATGAGAAATTGAAGCTGAGTCGTTAAGTGACATGCTCAAGGTTACACAGAAAACATGTGGCAGAGTTAGGACTTGAAAATGGGATTCTTGGCTGTTGGTTCAGAATCCCCCTCCATGCAGCATCACTCTGGACATTTGCAGCTTGTTTTCCAGGCCAGCCTTGGTGACAGGGTATTGACTCTGCTCCTGCAACTACCCAACAACAAAACTTCTGTCTTCTGATGCCATGGAGAGGAGTTTATAAACCGGATTAACTTCTTTGTGATTGAGTGAGTTAGTAAGGATTCTCTTTAGCAAGCTTTAGGTGAGGTGTATAGAGAGCTAACATTTATTAAAGACTTATTATAGGCACAGTAGGGTCTGTATAGTGTCATGTTTAGGAACATGAACTTGGGATCTAACTCCAACTTTGTGTCTTTGGCAAGTTTGTTAACCTCTCTTTGCCTTTGTTTTCTGTCTGTAAAATAGAGCTAATAAGACTACCTTCCTTAGAGAGTCAGTTTGAGTATTAAAGAGTTATTCTCTGCAAAGTATGTGGAATTGTGCCGATTACAGGGTTGGCTCTATTATTATTTCTATGTTAAGTGCATGAGATACATTATCTCTGTACCCTTTACAGAACCCCATGAGATAGGTACTCTACTAAAATCCCCATTTCACAATGAGAGAATTTAATCCAGAACCTGTACTCATAACCCTTACCCTCCGATACTAGATGCAACTGAAAATGGTTGAAAACTCAATGAAAAGGGAGAAAACATCTTTCTGAAATATCTGATTACAGAGGAATTTTTTTTTTCAAAATGGAAACACATCCAGCACTTTAGGAGGCCGAGGCGGGCAGATCCCGAGGTCAGGAGATCGAGACCATCCTGGCTAACATGGTGAAACCCCGTCTCTACTAAAAATACAAAAAAAAAAAAAAAATTAGCCGGGTGTAGTGGTGGTCGCCTGTAGTCCCAGCTACATGGGAGGCTGAGGCAGGAGAATGGTGTGAACCCGGGAGGTGGAGCTTGCAGTGAGCCGAGATCGTGCCACTGCACTCCAACCTGGGTGACAGAGCGAGACTCCATCTCAAAAAAAAAAAAAATGTAAACACATTTGAGCCCACAAAAGTTTATTTTAAACAAGGAAAAAGGAAACAAGTCCATAGCTGTGACTCTTGGAGTAACACCACGTAACTCTCAATAGCATTTGAGAATGTGAGGTTATACATCCTATGGATCTGGTTTCGGTGGCCAAATATTGCTCAAGCCCTCTTTTCTAATCTTCAATCTGCTACTTCACTAAGTCTGGGACTTTAAGCAAGTTTCTTAATGAAATCCCTGTTAGTTCCTATGTCTCAACTGTAAAATGACAGAAGGTACCTAAGGAGGCTAGTCTAAAGTTCAAATTATCCTAATTTATGCAAAACTGTTGGAACAGTGCCTAGCACATGGCAAGAGCTTAAAAAGGAACTATTATTTTATTATTAGATCCCAAGGTATTCTATCTTGTTTTAGGCAGTGGATGTGGCCATAGGAAAAGTTTATAAAAGGAATTGAACAGGGTCAATTTCAAGAGCAAAGAAATAGGAGATGGGTACTCAGAGTACAGTAATTAACCAGAACAAGAATTTTTTTGAGCTTTTAAAAAGCATACAATTAAAGAATTGTCCACGTTTCTGCATGTATATGATTTCATTACATTCTCCTTTGCTGTTGATCATTGCTTTTTTTTTGTCTCGAGAAATTTTATGAGGAAAACTCAATACTTTTCATTTATTTATCAACAGTTTCTCCTTTCATATCTGCTGTTTAGTTTCTGGACTAAGATCTGTAAATTTCACATAGAACCCAGATTATTCATGGCTAGGTCTATAGTTATTAGGACTCAGAATACATTTTTACTGGGTCAAGTTCTGGTTTTATAAAAGGAATTAAAGACAGAGCCAGCCAGTTCTGATTCTTTAATTATTCAATTGAAATGAAGACAATTCTGTAAATGATACATGAGAAGGGAAACTAATAAATAGACTCCTTTTATAGATTCCACCTATTGACTTAGTAGGATTGTTCTCTTGACAGTTGACAAAATATTTACCCCTAGTTGTCCTTTTTTTAAAAATAAGAATTAGAACAACTGCAATTATTTTTAAGAACAAGGAACACATAAAAATATTGGAGCTCTGATGAGATCAAAAGTATAAGACTAAAGCAATTAGAGAAAACCTCAGCAATTTGCTCTGTGATTACATTATTTCAAATAAAAATGGGAAAAATTTACTTCTTTATAGTTTCTTTCTACCTCATTTTCATGCTAACTTCACTTTTGACAGAGTGAAGATGATTATTATTTTCAAGAGTACTTTATAGCATAAAGCAAAACATGAAACCGAATCATTTTCACAAAATCACCCAGTACATCCACAGGTATACACTTATATCACCTTTCACAAAATGCTGATCTGGTGAAAATGAATGTTCTTTCCCTACCTATTTTAATTTTAATTGTTTTCTTGTCAGAAAGAAGTACCTTAATTAAAATGTGTTACAAAGCCAAGGGCTCCAGTATTACTTCTGTGTTCTATGTTGTCCCTGTGGTAGCCACATAATCATCAAGTGCCCAGTGGGGCATGGCCTCGTCCTTTTGGGCCCATGTTCATGGAATGGCATACAGTTGAACCTATTATTCACCTTTCTTAGCATTAGCTTTTTTTTTTTTTTTTTTTAAGATGGAGTTTCACTCTTGTCACCCAGGCTGGAGTGCAATGGAGCGATCTCGGCTCACTGCAACCTCCGCCTCCCGAGTTCACGTGATTCTCCTGCCTCAGCCCCCCGAGTAGCTGGGATTACAGGCACCTGCCACTACGCCCAGCTAATTTTTGTATTTTTAGTGGAGATGGGGTTTCACCATGTTAGGCAGGCTGGTCTCGAACTCCTGACCTCAGGTGATTCTCCTGCCTCGGCCTCCCAAAGAGCTGGGTTTACAGGTGTGAGCCACCGCACCCAGCGAGCATTAGCTTTTTTTTTCTTTTTGCAGTCCGTTTTATCTCTTGTACAGCAACCAACTTACTTTTTCATTCCTCTTCTGTTTTGTTTCTTTCTTGTTTCGTTCATGGTTTTATTCTCCCTCATTTTTCAACTGGCCTCAACATAGAGTCAAGAACTTGTCTTCATCCCTCCAATCTAGAGAACAGAACCCACACAGGTAGACCAGCCACAGTTTGTGCCCATTGATTTGGAGGAGAGATAGGCAAGAACGTATCAATGGACTTACTTTGTTCCTTTGGCACCTCTATGTTTCCTCTTTCTCTGCTCCAACCTGTGTGCCAGTATCAGATATTTACCTGGATTTTATAGGTAGATTTTATTTCCGTTCTCCAAACCAATTTGTCTTGTATCTTTATGTAGTTCCAGAGTCCTTTTATGGTTATTTCTCTTTCACCTCAAGAGATGTAAATGCAACTGTAAAGTTTGGAATACGCTGTGCTTTCACATCCTCCTCTAATTTTTACTGGGAAGCCTATTGTGACCCTCCCAAACACTTTAGTATTTATTTTCTCCAGCTTTCTAATGCTCAATCATTGCAATATCATACTGCATTTTTTTATTTTTATTTTTATTTATTTATTTTTTTTACTGGGATTTTATTTTTAAATTTCTAAACACTCAAATTATGTTTATAGTCTCTTTTTTTTTTTTATTGATCATTCTTGGGTGTTTCTCACAGAGGGGGATTTGGCAGGGTCATAGGACAATAGTGAAGGGAAGGTCAGCAGATAAACAAGTGAACAAAGGTCTCTGGCTTTCCTAGGCAGAGGACCCTGCGGCCTTCCGCAGTGTTTTTGTCCCTGGGTACTTGAGATTAGGGAGTGGTGATGACTCTTAACGAGCATGCTGCCTTCAAGCATCTGTTTAACAAAGCACATCTTGCACCGCCCTTAATCCATTGAACCCTGAGTGGACACAGCACATGTTTCAGAGAGCACAGGGTTGGGGGTAAGGTCATAGATCAACAGCATCCCAAGGCAGAAGAATTTTTCTTAGTACAGAACAAAATGAAATCTCCCATGTCTACTTCTTTCTACACAGACACAGCAACAATCTGATTTCTCTATCTTTTCCCCACCTTTCCCCCTTTTCTATTCCACAAAACCGCCATCGTCATCATGGCCCGTTCTCAATGAGCTGTTGGGTACACCTCCCAGACGGGGTGATGGCCAGGCAGAGGGGCTCCTCACTTCCCAGAAGGGGCGGCTGGGCGGAGGCGCCCCCCACCTCCCTCCCGGAGGGGGCGGCTGGCCGGGCGGGGGCTGACCCCCCCACCTCCCTCCCGGACGGGGCGGCTCGCTGGGCGGGGACTGGCCCCCCACCTTCCTCCTGGACGGGGTGGCTGCCAGGCGGAGACGCTCCTCACTTCTCAGACGGGGCGGCTGCTGGGCGGAGGGGCTCCTCACTTCTCAGACAGGGCGGCTGCTGGGCGGAGGGGCTCCTCACTTCTCAGACTGGGCGGCCGGGCAGAGACACTCCTCACCTCCCAGACGGGGTCGCCACTGGGCAGAGGCGCTCCTCACATCCTTGACGGGGTGGCAGGGCAGAGGCGCTCCCCACATCTCAGACGATGGGCGGCTGGGCAGAGACGCTCCTCACTTCTTGGACGGGATGGTGGCCGGGAAGAGGCGCTCCTCACTTCCCAGACTGGGCAGCCAGGCAGAGGGGCTCCTCAAATCCCAGACAATGGGCGGCCAGGCAGAGACGCTCCTCACTTCCCAGACGGGGTGGCGGCCGGGCAGAGGCTGTAATCTCGGCACTTTGGGAGGCCAAGGCAGGCGGCTGGGAGGTGGAGGTTGTAGCTAGCTGAGATCACGCCACTGCACTCCAGCCTGGGCAACATTGAGCACTGAGTGAACGAGACTCCGTATACAATCCCGGCACCTCGGGAGGCTGAGGCTGGTGGATCACTCGCGGTTAGGAGCCGGAGACCAAACCGGCCAACACAGCGAAACCCCATCTCCACCAAAAAAATACGAAAACCAGTCAGGCGTGGCGACTCGGCAGGCTGAGTCAGGAGAATCAGGCAGGGAGGTTGCAGTGAGCCGAGATGGTGGCAGTACAGTCCAGCTTCGGCTCGGCATCAGAGGGAAACCGTGGAAAGAGAGGGAGAGGGAGACCATGGGGAGGGGGAGAGGGAGGGAGAGGGAGAGGGAGAGGGAGAGGGAGAGGGACAGGGAGAGGGACAGGGAGAGGGAGAGGGAGAGCCATACTGCATTTTAATGCCTTTTAAATTAGGTGGACAAAATTGGAAAATGCAGATAATAAAAAAAGGAGAGAAAAAGCACTCAATCTCACCACGCAGACATAATTAATGATAGTATTTGCATTTTGATTTGTAAACTTTTGTGTGCGCATGTATGTATTTTACATAGTAAAATCAAGTTAGGATCATAATGTATATATACTTCATAACCTGCTTTTAAGCTTAATGTCCTATAAATATCTTTTCATGTCGATAAACATATTTATTGTAGTTCTTTTTTTTTTTTTTTTTTGAGATGGAGTCTTGCTCTGTCACCCAGGCTGGAGTGCAGTGGCGCGATCTCGGCTCACTGCAAGCTCTGCCTCCCGGGTTCACACCATTCTCCTGCCTCAGCCTCCGGAGTGGCTGGGACTACAGGCGCCCGCCACCATGCCCGGCTAATATTTTGTATTTTTAGTAGAGACGGGGTTTCACCATGTTAGCCAGGACGGTCTCGATCTCCTGACCTTGTGATATGCCCGCCTAGGCCCCCCAAAGTGCTGGATTACAGGTGTGAGCCACCGCACCTGGCCTATTTATTGTAATTCTTAATAGTGGCGTGCTGTTTTATTTTTTGGAAGTGTCCTGTCACATTCCAGTTATTTATTTTAGGTTGTATCTCAGGTACAAATGAGTACCTTGAGACCAGAGATCCTTGGGGCAGGGGCTGATATCTATCCCCACCTCCAACTCCATGTATGGCACAGTGTCTCACACATGTTAAGGCTCATTAAATATACATTAAAAGAGTTGGTGGCATGAGTGCAGATTCTTTTTTCTTTTTTTGTGTATTATTGAGAGTTTTCTTTCTCTTGTGGGTTTACATTTTTATATATTTTTCTAAAATAGAAAAAAGATGCTGAAGATTTATTAATGTTATGAGCTTAAGAAAATGACAATTTCAGGCAATAATATTGCTGAAAGGCTTGAAGGTATTTAAAGGAAAATGAAGTAAGCATTGTTTTTGAAAGCCCACAGAATCATGATTACTGTCTGGAAAGGTATAACATGATCAACCTTATTCATGTTATCCAGGCAGCAGGAAGAGAAAGTTGAAAATAAATAATGTCAGGCTGGGCACAGTGGCTCACGCCTGTAATCCCAGCACTTTGGGAGGCTGAGGTGGGTGGATCACTTGAGATCAGGAGTTTGAGAGCAGCCTGGCCAACATGGTGAAACCCCATCTCTACTAACATACAAAAATTAGCTGAGTGTGGTGGCACACGCCTGTAATCCCAGCTACTTGGGAGGCTGCAGCAGGAGAATCACTTGAACCTGGGAGGCGGAGGTTGGAGTGAGCCGAGATTGCGCCACTGCACTCCAGCCTGGGTGACACAGCGAGACTCCCTCTCAAAAAAATAAAATAAAATAAAAAATAAAAAAAGAAAAAAGAAATAGTGTCTTTTAAACCTAGAATCCCCTTCCTTCTCCTGTTGGCCTTTCAGACCCATCTCCATGCAGCAAATCTTGGTAAGACTTCTGCACTGTTCTCTCCTGTAATCATGTGGTTAGTGCCATTAACAGTGTGATTCTTCTATGTTGTGTTCTGATTTGTGATTTCTTCAAACATGCTCTAACTTCTAAGGGCAGGAGTTATAGTACCATTTCATAATCTCTTTTGTATCCCTAGCTTAGGAACATGCTCGTAAAGCTGAATGCTTTACAGTCTGTGGAGAAAGGCCATTTTTTCCATTAAAATTTTCAATTTATTGTGGACCAACACATTTGTAAAATATAATAAAAATAAACAACTAGGAAAATAAGATAGACAATAATTCAAGCCCAGAGTTTTCATTAGAATCTGTAGGCATAAAATTGTTTTAATAAATGTCATCTCAACATGGGAAAACAGAAAAGAATTACAAATCTGACAACGATCCACAACTATTATAATCACTATTACACATAGCTTTTGGCTCTTCCAAAACTGTAGCTAAACAAAAATTACAAAGGAAATACTGATTTCCTGCATTAAAAGTCTATAATACACACTTGGAATAAACATTGTGTACATCACTCTTTAAATTTCCACTATTTAAATAAACTTGCTTCTTGCTTATTAATTTGTTTAACTCGGATTGATGGCAGTGCTACTTGCAGAGGATAATGCATTTTTAAACTGTTTCTATGTTTTGTTTTAACAATACCCCTAATAGAGAAATCAGTCTCACAGAGGTATGTTGACAGGAACAGAATAAATTTTGGAATAATTTCAGAAACACATAATTTTTGTTTGTTTGTGTTTTTGAGACAGAGTCTCGCTTTGTCACCTAAGCTGGAGTGCAGTGGCATGATCTCAGCTCACTGCAACCTCTGCCTCCTGGGTTCAAGGGATTCTCATACCTCAGCCTCCTGAGTAGCTGGAATCACAGGTGTGTGCCACCACGCCCAGTTACTTTTTGTATTTTTAGTAGAGATGGGGTTTCACCATGTTGGCCAGGCTGGTCTCGAACTTCTGACCTCAAGTGATCCACCCACCTCGGCCTCCCAAAGTGCTGGGATTACAGGTGTGAGCCACAGCTCCCGGCTGGAAACCCAGAATATTTATTTAAAATTCTTATATATAACAAAACAAGTGATATCATATTTTCAAAGTACATATTCAGTCCATCGGTAGTCACTGCTAACAATTTATCCTGTCTATAATTTTTTTCCTTTTGATCAAAAAATGGATTTTGAGATAATGCGATATATTTTTTTCTGTGTCTGGCTGATTTCACCTATTGATCCATTTGTCTGTTCTTTCACCAATACCACACTGTCTTCATTACTGTAGCTTTACTGTAAGTCTTGAAGTTGGATAGTGTCAGTCCTCTAACTTGGTTCTTCTCTTTTGATATCATTTTTGCTAAAAAATTTCAAATATACAGATATAGAGAACAAAATGTTGGTTAGCAGGAGTGGCTGGGGGAGGAAATGGGAGATGTAGATGAGAGGATACAAAGTAGCAGATATGTAGGATGAACAAGTCTAGAGATCTAAGGTACACTATGAGGATGGTAAGTAATAAAATTGTAATGTATATGGAATTCGTGCAAAATGAATAGATTTTGCTTCTCTTGCCACAAAAACAAAAACGAAAAAACAGGTAACTGAGATGATGGATTTGTTAATTTGCTTCACTACAGAGGCTTTTTGCTGTCTATATGTATCTCATAACATCAAATTGTATATTTAAATATATACAATAAAATTTATTTATGAAAAAGAAAAATGCATTCTAGAAAGATTAATTTTCCATTTTTGGACCTCTTCTGAATTTTATATTCCATCAAAAAAATATAAAATTCATACGGTGATTGGTAATAACTTATTGCAGATGTGGAATATCAAAATCATCAACCACTTTCTTGCTAGTTGTTAAATGCTCTTTTTCTAAGCTTCTAATGTTTGTTTTTGCCCTTTAATCTTACCTGCAGTTTTTCTTTGCATAGAGTTATTATAATCATTAAATTATGAAAGATATCACACAAATAAGTGGTTCTGTTCATAGGCACATCTTTGACAAGTTGAGATCAAACAGGCTTCTTGTCTTGATGAAACGCAAACAGTTCACTACCTATTTCAAATGTTTTCAGCAGAGCTTTTCCAATGGAATAATCGGTTATAAAGAATGTTTAAATTTTCTCAATTTTTCAATATATTTTATTGAGTTAGAGTTGACAAACCAACCTTAGCATATTACGTGTTGCAATGTGGTCCTATAGAGCATGACCAATATGAAGCTCATACCACATACAACTTGTTGTATAAGCTGCATGCATGATGGTCTATACCCTGTTCAATGAGACGGAAGTCACTACTTGCTACTACATACTCCTCTCCATACTTGGTCTCAGCCAAAAGGCCGAGAAGCGATGCAAGCTTTATTCTCATTTTCTGTATTTATATTTTCATGAAATGGCAAGGAAGGAAGGAAGGAAGAAAGAAAGAAAGTAGTCTAGCATTGGTCTGTGGTCAACGGTTTGGGTAACACCAACCTGTCAACCATTATGACTCCATGTTTGCCAGACAGGCTCTATCTGGCAGCTAGAGGTACAGGGAGTCAGGTCTAGTCTTCTGGGAAGGGGAATGGTGAGAGCTAGGTCACTCAGGCTGAAAGGGTCAGTGAAAGAACCGAGGCCCAGTGGTATAAACAGGGTCAGAATAAAGATAAGAAGAGGAGAGTTAGCATGCTTAGGGCTCCTGGAAAATGTATAGAAATAAATTCTAAACCTCAGTCACTGGTGGGTAGAGAATGGTAGTACATTCAATATCAGGTTAGGATTGATTTAGACATAATATCATGTGCCATTTAATGGGTACTGTTTGGCTTTGCATAAACCTTTATTTAATTCTTCCAACAATGCCATAATAGATTTAACTGCCATTTTACACACAGGAAACTAAGTCGTAGCATGGTGAGCAATATGATTAAGGTCATGTAGTTAGAAAGTGGTAGAGAGTCTGTCCAGGTGTGTCTGAGTCCAAACTCTTTACTTTTTCTACTAAAGCAGGGCACCTTCAGCGACTGGGAGCCTGACTGAGTCGCTAGGTAAACTTGAGCCAATCAGGGAGAGTGAAGTGAGACAGAGGCAGAGTGCACTCATGAATTAATGACTGGCTGGGGCTTCCACAGCATGGCTTTTCAAAAGGCTTGAAACTCACATGTGTGCAGTATCTGAGCCTCAGTAGTGGCCTCAAGCGGCAAGTGTGGTACGGTACAGAGGAGCGATGGTGACATGATGGTGACAGATTTCACCACCAGGTGTCCTTCATGGTTAATCTTTGCTTAAAAAAAAATTCTTGTTTTGAACAGTTATTCTTTTATTCTCCTTTTTCTGATATAACTAGACGTTGACTCAGAACCTTGGAAAGGCAAGGAGACATATCTCTCTGCTTCTCTCCTAACACTGTGCAACCTCAGAAAATGACAAGTGGTTGGAAATCTTACAACAATACTTATACAGTATGCCCATTTGGGTCAAGTATTTTGAATCTAGAGAAAGTATTTATCTACTAAAGACCTTGAATTTCACTAGTTAGGGATTAATTGGTTCTGTGACTGGTTTAAATTAGAAAGCGATAAAAGAATAGAGCACATTTTGAAATTCACCAAATACTTACTGTAGGCACTATTCTAGGCTCTAATAAGTGAATATGGTAGAAAATGCTTATCACATTCCTAGCTTCTGTATCCTTTAGGTACTCTGCTTAGTACTATTCTATCTGCAAGTTTCAATTGGGTGTACAAGCCAGGTTTCCTAGAAATAGACTCCTATCATCAGAGCCTTCCAAGTTCATGGATGGTCCAAAGATCTGGCATAAATTTAGGGTGGAAGGGTAAAGCCTACAGACATTGGTAGATTCTTATATCTTGTTCATGCTAGGGTTTAGGATGTCTCTAAAATATTGATGTCTTTAATTTCACAGATAAGAATCCATTTCTAGTAATGCTATGTCATAAGCCACTCATATTTTTAAAAATTGGACATGTGTTATTCTAATTAGAAAAGGGTCTGATATCAATACCACTGATTGCCTCTGAAGAATGGAATTTGTGATTAGAGTGCCAGTTAATCATCACCATTCCTAATTAAAGTGGAAGCAACATAGGTTTCTAGGCCGGGCGCGGTGGCTCACGCCTGTAATCCCAGCACTTTGGGAGGCCGAGGCGGGTGGATCATGAGGTCAGGAGATCGAGACCATCCTGGCTAACAAGGTGAAACCCCGTCTCTATTAAAAATACAAAAAATTAGCTGGGCGCGGTGGCGGGCGCCTGTAATCCCAGCTACTCGGGAGGCTGAGGCAGGAGAATGGCGTGAACCCGGGAAGCGGAGCTTGCAGTGAGCCGAGATTGCGCCACTGCAGTCCGCAGTCCGGCCTGGGCGACAGAGCGAGACTCCGTCTCAAAAAAAAAAAAAAAAAAAAAAAAAAACATAGGTTTCTATTATAGCTTAATGCAACTAAAAAGCAATCAATACTACACCATCTACACTGAAGTATGTGAACTACAGATATTGTAACACTAGTCCTTACCCTCAGATGTTCAGATTCAATGGACCTCAAACAGGATCCAGAATTCTGCTTTTTAATATTCATGACCAATTGAAGGAAGGCCTCCCTCTGTGTTTTGAGAATCACTGGATTATTCTGGTAGAAGAACTATAGGAGGCTAGAAGAAAATGAAAGGTTGTAGCTAAGCCAACTATATACCCATTCAACGGACTACTCAAAAACAAAAAGTAATAAACTATTGATACAGGAACTGAAGGATCTCAAGGGCGTTGTGTTAAGTGAAAAAAAGCCGACCTGAAAAGATTACATTCTCTATGATTCCATCTATAGAATATTCTTAAGATGACAGAGTATATGATGATGAACAGACCAGTGGTTGCCAGGGACTAGGGATGGGGTAGGACTGTAAAGGGGTGACACAAGGGAGTTTCTTTTTGGTGATGGAAATGATCTATACTCTCAAGTGTTTGGCGGATGGTGGAACTGTTCTAAAATCCAATTATGGTAGTGGTTACAAAAATCTCTACATTTGATGAATAAACTGTATATACACACACAAAGCATAGTGAGTGCATTTAAAAACTAGTGACATTCAAATAAGCTCTGAGGTTCAGTTAGTGGTGTTATACAAATGTCAGTTTCCTGGTTTAGGCAGTTATACTATGATTATATACAATGTGCACACGAGGGAAGCTGGCAGAAGTGTACCTAGGAGCTCCTTGTAGTATTTCAGCAACTTGCATGTAAATGTAACATTATTTCAAAATCAAAAGTAAAAAAAAATCAACAATAACAAGCCTATGTTGAAGTTGCCAAGGTAGTAAGGATTAAAGATAGGTCTAAAAAGACAAACGGGGAAGGTAAAACCCATGGAGGTTAAGAATATGATAGGATCTAATACAGAACAGATGCCTGTTCTCTCTCTTCCTGTTTGTGATCTCGGGCAAATTAGTTAACCTCTCTGTGCTTTAGTCAACTTGTCTTTGAATTTGAGAAATAACAGTATCTATGCCAAAGGGTTATTATGAAGCTGAAGTGAGATATGTGTACGGAATACTTTTATTAATGTTTGATACGTAGGGAGGACTCCAAAACATGTCATTGTTTTGTTGCAATATGGAGAAAGAATCATCAAGACTTAGGTTAAAGTAAATGTGGGGACCAGAGGCAAGTGAAGGATCCTGGAGGAGAGGACAGAATCGTCACAGGTACACTTGGTGCAGGTAGCTGTTTGGAGAAGGAGAGTTGCCTTTTGTGTGGAATACAGAAATGGGGCTCACCTGTTGGCTTTTGGGGACAAGGTATTAGCAAAATATAGAAAAGAGAATTAACTAAAAATAGTGAATTGCACTACCTCCTCCTTCTCAAAACATCCGAGCCAACAGGATAAAAGCTGAAGTGCTTAGAGCTGATTTCTGGAATACTGCCAAATGAAAAATTGTATATATTTATGGTGTACAACATGCTGTTTTGATATATGTACACCTTGTGGAATGATTAAATCCAGCTAATTAACACATCCATCACCACACATACTTATCATTTGAAGGAAAGTAAAGTTGTGTAGAAGATAAGGCACATATTTACTTTTGTTCTAACTTGAGTGCTTTACAGAGGTAGTGCTGCTAATGGAAATTGTGTTGATGATTTCACTAAGTTCTTAAAGAACAAAGTCTAACATAGTTATTCAAAGAAAATTGAATGAGCAGGGACTGGGGATGCTGAGGTGAGTAAAAAATGGTTATTACCTTCAAGAAGCTTATATCCTAATGACAAGAGTCAGACCCAGTGAAATACACAGTTATTATGAAATCCACTCAGGCCATGAGAGAAGAATTTACAGTGGTTGGTGAGGAAAGGCTTTGCAGAAGAGGTCATCCTTGAACCTGCCTTTGAGCAAGTCTTTCTCTGAGTTGGGAGGGTCTGTGGGGTCTCTGGGGCTAAGAAGCAATCTTTGGTTTAAAAGTAGCAGCATGATAATTTAATTTTGTCCAATACGGGGGCTAATTGTGTTCTTGTCATACTCACTCATAGACTCTTCCTCAGATCTGGAAATTCCCATGCATTGGAAAGGGTGAGAGTCCTGGTCCCTTATTTAATGGTCACCTTTTATAGTATCCCCTGGAGTTGAGAGGATAGGGTGAAGAAATGGAGTTCCTCCATCCTCATATTAGGGAACAGAGGGGAGGGTGTTTGGGGAACGCAGGACTGGCCAGCCCTGATCTCTATCATCAGATGCACACCCTGTTCACTTCCTCTTCCTGTCATGAGTTTCTGCTTTCTGGAGTAAAACGTGAAGGAGGTACAGTCTGGGCCTAGCCTCTTGGGGGCCAAGTTTGCTCCTCCCTGATCCTTCTATGATTTTACTGGATACCTCCAAACACACCTTAGCTTTTGCATTATTAATGAAAGGTCCTGTTGGTGGGTACTGTCATAAAATGTTTTTGTTTTTCAGAAAAGCAAAGTGAAAGATCTGTAAAAAACGATGTTTGCCAAGTGTTGGAAGGTAGAATATTTCAGAATGAAGCACCATCATCTAAGTGTGAAGAACGTAGAGCTAAACAAAGATGCTGCCTCTTAGAGATGTTCTATTCCAGGCCTCTGCTTTCCATCTGAGAGTGAATATTCAAATCTAAACTATTTTATTAATATTATTCTTTAAATATCTCTGCCAGAATTTCCATCAAAAGTCAGTCATATATCTGAGTAGTTCATTGAATCTATCACATAATTGTTGTTAAGATGTGCCATTATTTTATGCAACACCAAGAAAGAAAATTCAGCCACTTAACCTATGATACTGTAAGATCTCAAAGATGTTAAACAGTGGAAAAAAGTAAAGAGTTAATGTAATATGTTATGTCTTTAGATGGAAGATAGAGAGATTTTCCTTTTTAGTCCTAAGACAGTAGGAGAAATAATGAATATTTTATAATTAGGCTGAAGTTTGAATTCCAGTTCCTCTATTGTGTGACCTTGGGAAGTGATGTTTCTTTAAACTCTATTTCTTCCTCTGTAAAATAGGATTATACCCACCTTCGTTGGGTTGAGGTGAGGAATAAATGATTTACTGGATGTAATGCTTCTACCCTAATCCCTGTCCCATGGTGTACATTTAAAAGAAAATTAGTTTTCCTTCTCCTTATTTTAAACCAATGTAATTCTCTTAATAATTTAAGTCAAGTTCCTCCTGTTTCAGTCCTCTAAAGCATAGGCATAGTTCTAAATTAAGATGCCTCATAAGGAGGAGTCTTAGTTATAGTAGAGCATTGCTCTTTCTCACCATCTCTGTCTCCTTACTTTGTCCTCCTTTATTTCTTGCTGGTTAAAATGTAGACTTCAATGATTAATTCCCTGTATTGCTTTGCACATAGACACACACATTCCTTGCTTATCGAATAGTCATACATGAACAACAAAAGGAGCAACTCTCATTTTCGCCTATTATGCAAAGTGCCTTCTTCCTAGATAATGCTATAGAATGTTGTTAAATATTGCCTCTCCAATTTCTCTAAGATTTTAGTCATACCCTCTTTAATTCATTGGATCTCTTCTGTCACCAACTGCCTTGTTTATTAAATTATCTCCTCAAAAGGATTCTTTTAATTCATTTCTTCAGTTTGAAACTTTTGTGCATCAAAGGATACTATAAATAAAATGCAAATACAATCCACAGAAGGGGAGAAATATTTGCAAATCATATATCTGATAAGGGTTTAGTATTTAGAATACAGAAAGAAAGCTTACACCTCAACAATCAGAAGATAATCCAATTAAAATTTGGCAAAGGATTTGCATATATATTTCTCCAAAGAAAATACACATATGGCCAATCAGTATGTGCATGACAGGCATCTGAAAAGATATTCAATATCATTAGACTCTAGCGAAATGCAGATCACCACAATGAGATACTGCTTCACATTCACAAAGACGGCTATCATCAAAAAGAAAGTAACAAGTGTTGGTGAGGATTTAGAGAATTACAGCCCTCATAATTTGCTGGTGGGGACGTAAAATGGTGTGGTTGCTTTGAAAAGTTGTTTTGCAATTCCTCAAAAAGCTAAATATAAAGTTACCATATGACCTAGCAAGTCGACTACTAGGTATATACCCAAGAGAACTGAAAATATATGCTCGCACAGAAACTTATATACAAATGTTCATAGCCATAATAACCAAACAGTGGGAACAACTCAAATGTCTATTAACTGATGAATGGATACAGAAAATGTGGTATATGCATACACTGAAACATTATTCATTCATCAGAAAGAATGAAGTACATGCCACGAAATGGATGAACCTTGAAAACATCATGTTAAGTGCAAAAATCCAGATAGAAAAGGCCATATATGTGCGTTACTCCATTCATATGAAATGTCCAGAATAGACAAATTCATAGAAATGGAAAGTAGATTAGTGGTTGCCAGAGACTGGGGGAAGGAGAAAACGGGGAGTGACTGCTAATGAGTCTAGGTTTCATTTAGGGGTGGTGAAAATATTCTAGAATTATATAGTGGTGATGGTTGTACAACTTCCTAATATATTTAAAAACAAAGGGGTAATTTTTCAAATTTTATGAATACCTAATAGTTGTACATGTTTATGGCATATATGTGATATTTTAGTACAAGCATACAATGTGTAATGATTAAATCTGGGTAATTAGGATATCCATCATCTTAAATATTTATAATTTCTTTATTTTGGGAATGTTCCAAATCTACTCTTCCAGCTATTTTGTAATATACAGTAAATTATTAGCTCTAGTCACCCTATTGAACACTAGCACTTATTTCTTCTATATAACTATATTTTTGTACCCACTGACCAGCTCCTCTTTATCCCTCCCTCCTCACTACCCTTCCCAGGCTCTGTTAACCACCATTCTATTCACTATCTCCATGAGATCATTTTTTTAGCACCCTCATATTGGTGAGAACATGTGACATTTGTCTTTCTATGTATGGCTTATTCCGTTTACCATAATGTCCTCCAGTTCCATCCATATTGTAGCAAATGGCATGATTTCATTAATTTTTATGGTGGAATAATATTCCTATATATATTATATATATCCCATTTTCTTTATCCATCCATCTGTTCATGGACACTTGAGTTGATACTATATCTTGGTTACTGTGAATAGTGCTGCAATAAACATGACAGTGCAGGTCTCTTTTCAATACTCTGATTTCCTTTCTTTTGGATATATACCTAGCAGTCAGATTGCTGGATTAAAGCTTTTGACAACAAAGAAAATAATCAATAAAATAAAATAAAATAAAGAGACCTACAGCATGGGAGAAAGTATTTGCAAACCATTCAACTGACAGAGGATTAATTAACAGAAATGTATACGGAACTCAAACAACTCAATACAAAAAAAATCTGATTTAAAATGGGCAAAATAGACATTTCTCAAAAGAAGGCATACAAATGGCAACAGGTATATGAAAAAATGTTCAACATCACTAGTCATGAGAGAAATGCAAATCAAAACTGCAATGAGATATCATCTCACCCCAGTTAAAATAGCTGTTATCAAAGAAAGAAACTAAATGCTGGAGGGGATGTGGAGAGCAGGAAACACTTGCTCACTGTTGGTGGGAATGTAAATGGGTACAGCCACCATGGAAAACAGTATGGGAGCTTCTTCAAAAACCTCCTTAAAAAATTAAAAGAGTAAATTTTATGGTGTGTGAAACAAATCTCAATACAAATAATTTTACAAGATAACCAGTGATATAAGTCAGCCCAGAAGAGCTAAATAATGGTATAATGTCCTGGTGCATAGGAGAAAATAATTGCTCAATAATATAGCACAGGTGGGAGCTCAATAAAATTGGAGTATTAGAAGAAAACCTCATGGAATAGGAAGGATTTGAGATGAATCTTAGAGAATAGGTAGAACTTAGTAAGAGAGAAAAAAGAGAAGACTATTCCACGTAGGGGAACAATATCTAAACAGGAGGAAAACAGAAACATTCTATTTGTGTTCAGGAGCAATAATTGAATAACCAGGCTGGACTGTGGCTAAATTAGGGTGTAATGAGAAGGCAGTAGAGAAAAGTTAAAACAATACTATGCAGGATCTTATATGTCCATGGCATCTGGACTTTAATTGGTAAGCACTGGAGAATCATTCAAGATGTCTAAGTAGGGATGTAACAATTCCAATTAATCGTTTATAAAATAAGTGAAACAGCAGGAGCAAATGAGAAACTAGGCCTAAAGTGAAGACTAGAAAGAAGAGGAGAGTTGGATTTTAGAGACATTTTAGAGTAGACAAAACTTAAAGTACATGAGGAACTTCATTAGATAAAAAGAGTGAAAAAGGAATAAATCAAATACATCTCTCAGCTGTGAGTGTGGATGATGGGGGAGGATGTGAAGGGAGAGAGACAGGAAGCTAAAAAGGAGGTGCATGGGAATTAGACCGCGGGCTCAGACTGGACCAGCTCTATAGTTTTACATTGCAGATAGGAGATCATTATGAAATAATTTGCAAATACCCGGACATGCAGGCTTGGAAATCAGATGAGTAAACAGGATTGAAAATGCAATTACATGAATTAGTTACCTAAAATTGATAGACTGAGTTATGGGAATGGATGAGAGTTTTTGGGGGAAGGTAACACTTTGTAAGGAATGTGCACATTTGGTTGTCAGAAAAAATGCAACTAGTGAAGATGAAATTGTGTATGTCTAAGAAAGTAGGAGAGAGAGTTAAGAGTGTCCCATCTTGGAAGCTAAGGAAGGGCATGTGTCTCAAAAGGCAAGGAAGCAAAAGGGCAGTGTTGTTAAATCTCACAGAATGAGAATTGAGTAGAATCCACTGGATTCAACAATTAAGAAGTCATTGGCAGCATTTGGGGAAACAATTCTAGAAAAGTATTAGAGAGAATAGACAGACTGTAATTCACTGAAAAATGAACGCGATATGAAAACATTCAAACCTGAAAGCAGACTCTGCTTTTGAGTTGTTTGGTTGTGAAGGACAGGAGAGAGAGAATTCAATGGTTTGCACGAGCATCTAGGCAAGCAATTACCTCAGAATGGTGGAAGGTCTAGAGCCTACAGACACAGCTAGATAAAAGGGCTACATTCAGTCAGCAAATTCAACAAATTCAGCTTTCCATGTGCTTGGTACTAAGTGCTGTGTATATAGGAGTAAACAACATAGACAAGAATTCCTGCCTTTGTGAAGTGTAGAGAATTTAGATGAATTAGTCTCCATCTCACTAGTGAGTAGTCAAGAGGATGGTGCAGGTGTAATTTAGACACTTCTATTCACTTAGAGCTAAAGTTCAGTCATATCACTTATAATAACTCATTGACAATTGGGTGTTGTAAAATTTTCTTCAAAGCAATTCTTGCTCATCTTTGATGGAAACAACCACAACAGCCAATACAGTAGCAACAAATCTCTGAGGTGCAGCATCAATGACAAGAACGATACTGCTCCATGAACCAGGTGAGATCAAGGAAACGAGAAGTCCCCAGCCCTAAAGCATCAGAAAGCTCTCATTGCGTAAATAGCTCTGGCACCATTTTTCATCAGCTTCTGCAGTAACAGATTTGCCCAGAGATGTATCCACAACTTTCTGTACTTTTATCTTTATAGGAAATGAAACTTGTTGAAGTTACGCTTTTGCGTTTTGCAGGAAACAGCTGCAGTAAATCAGAATTGATGACAGGAACAATGCATCACGAGATGACAGAAAACTTTATTAAGACATTGAATGCAACACACAATTTTTCTTCTTTTAAATTTGAATTAGGTGCTTGTCAAAAAAAAAAAAAAAAAGCTAAGATCCATCTAGGATATACTATTTTGCAGGCCTTTTGTTTGCCAGTGTGGAACTGCAAGAGATTCTCTTAAAGACTTTTTCTTTCCTGAGTTCTCTTGAAAATGTTTAATTAGCAAAGCTCTGAGAAAGACAAATTCAAAAAAAGGCTCTCATTGAACAGGACAAAATGGAGTAGAGTTCAGCAGAATTGAGTTTTCCGCAGGCGTTTAGCATTCTAACCTAGGATGCATGCTATTTTTAAAATCACTAGTTTTCACGGCAGCTGTACTGATAAAAGAAAAACTTCAGCCAAATTAAATTTAAAGGCGTTTAATTGAGCAATGAATGATGCGCGAATCGGGCAGCCCCTCCTCTAGCCAGAGGCTCAGAGACTCCAGCACAGTCACGTGGTGGAAGAAGATTTATGAACAGAAAAGGAAAAGTGATGTACAGAAAAGGAAATAAGGTAGAGAAACAGTTGGATTGGTTACAGGTTGACATTACCTTATTTGATCACGGTTTGAACAGTTGACTACATTTGATTGATCAAAACTTAGTGACTGGCACAAGGGTAGGCTACTGTCTGTTTACACCTCCACTTGTTATAGTTCACGATGTAAAGAAAAACTTTTAGGCCAACCTTAAAATACGTAGGGAGGCGGGCAGGGCACAGTGGCTCACGCCTGTAATTCCAGCACTTTGAGAGGCGAGGCGGGCAGATCACGAGGTCAGGAGATCGAGACCATCCTGGCTATACTAAAAATACAAAAAATTACCCGGGCGTGGTGGTGGGCGCCTGTAGTCCCAGCTACTCGGGAGGCTGAGGCAGGAGAATGGCGTGAACCCAGGAGATGGAGCTTGCAGTGAGCCGAGAACGTGCCACTGCACTCCAGCCTGGGTGACAGAGCGAGATTCCGTCTCAAAAAAAAAAAAAAAAAAAAAAAAAAAAAAAAAAAAAATGTAAGGAGGCAGCTTTAGGCTAGACTTGATTTAATTGGAATTATCTGGGGACCTTTTAAAAATCCCAATGCCTAATGCTAGCCCAGAGATTCTTTTTCTTTATAGTTTATTTTATTTTATTATTATTATACTTTAAATTTTAGGGTACATGTGCACAATGTGCAGGTTAGTTACATACGCATACATGTGCCATGCTGGTGTGCTGCACCCATTAACTCGTCATTTAGCATTAGGTATATCTCCTAATGCTATCCCTCTGCCCTCCCCCCACCCCACAACAGTCCCCAGAGTGTGTTGTTCCCCTTCCTGTGTCCATATGTTCTCATTGTTCAATTCCCACCTATGAGTGAGAACATGCAGTGTTTGGTTTTTTGTCCTTGCGATAGTTTCCTGAGAATGATGATTTCCAGTTTCATCCATGTCCCTACAAAGGACATGAACTCATCATTTTTTATGGCTGCATAGAATTCCATGGTGTATATGTGCCACATTTTCTTAATCCAGTCTATCATTGTTGGACATTTGGCTTGGTTCCAAGTCTTTGCTATTGTGAATAGTGCCGCAATAAACATATGTATGCATGTGTCTTTATAGCAGCATGATTTATAATCCTCTGGGTATATACCCAGTAATGGGATGGCTGGGTCAAATGGTATTTCCAGTTCTAGATCCCTGAGGAATCGCCACACTGACTTCCACAATGGTTGAACTAGTTTACAGTCCCACCAACAGTGTAAAAGTGTTCCTATTTCTCCACATCCTCTCCAGCACCTGTTGTTTCCTGACTTTTTAATGATCGCCATTCTAACTGGTGTGAGATGGTATCTCATTGTGGTTTTGATTTGCATTTCTCTGATGGCCAGTGATGGTGAGCATTTTTTCATGTGTCTGTTGGCTGCATAAATGTCTTCTTTTGAGAAGTGTCTGTTCATGTCCTTCGCCCACTTTTTGATGGGGTTGTTTGTTTTTTTCTTGCAAATTTGTTTGAGTTCATTGTAGATTCTGGATATTAGCCCTTTGTCAGATGAGTAGGTTGCAAAAATTTTCTCCCATTTTGTAGCTTGCCTGTTCACTCTGATGGTGATTTCTTTTGCTGTGCAGAAGCTCTTTAGTTTAATTAGATCCCATTTGTCAATTTTGTCTTTTGTTGCCATTGCTTTTGGTGTTTTAGACATGAAGTCCTTGCCCATGCCTATGCCCTGAATGGTAATGCCTAGGTTTTCTTCTAGGGTTTTTATGGTTTTAGGTCTAACGTTTAAGTCTTTAATCCATCTTGAATTAATTTTTGTGTAACATGTAAGGAAGGGATCCAGTTTCAGCTTTCTACATATGGCTAGCCAGTTTTCCCAGCACCATTTATTGAATAGGGAATGCTTTCCCCATTGCTTGTTTTTCTCAGGTTTGTCAAAGATCAGATAGTTGTAGATATGCGGCGTTATTTCCAAGGGCTCTGTTCTGTTCCATTGATCTATATCTCTGTTTTGGTACCAGTACCATGCTGTTTTGGTGACTGTAGCCTTGTAGTATAGTTTGAAGTCAGGTAGCCTGATGCCTCCAGCTTTGTTCTTTTGGCTTCGGATTGACTTGGCGATGCGGGCTCTCTTTTGGTTCCATATGAACTTTAAAGTAGTTTTTTCCAATTCTGTGAAGAAAGTCATTGGTAGCTTGATGGGGATGGCATTGAATCTATAAATTACCTTGGGCAGTATGGCCATTTTCATGATATTGATTCTTCCTACCCATGAGCATGGAATGTTCTTCCATTTGTTTGTATCCTCTTTTATTTCCTTGAGCAGTGGTTTGTAGTTCTCCTTGAAGAGGTCCTTCACATCCCTTGTAAGTTGGATTCCTAGGTATTCTATTCTCTTTGAAGCAATTGTGAATGGGAGTTCACTCATGATTTGGCTCTCTGTTTGTCTGTTGTTGGTGTATAAGAATGCTTGTGATTTTTGTACATTGATTTTGTATCCTGAGACTTTGCTGAAGTTGCTGATCAGCTTAAGGAGATTTTGGGCTGAGACAATGGGGTTTTCTAGATATACAATCATGTCATCTGCAAACAGGGACAATTTGACTTCCTCTTTTCCTAATTGAATACCCTTTATGTCCTTCTCCTGCCTAATTGCCCTGGCCAGAACTTCCAACACTATGTTGAATAGGAGTGGTGAGAGAGGGCATCCCTGTCTTGTGCCAGTTTTCAAAGGGAATGCTTCCAGTTTTTGCCCATTCAGTATGATATTGGCTGTGGGTTTGTCATAGATAGCTCTTATTATTTTGAGATACGTCCCATCAGTACCTAATTTATTGAGAGCTTTTAGCATGAAGGGTTGTTGAATTTTGTCAAAGGCCTTTTCTGCATCTATTGAGATAATCATGTGGTTTTTGTCTTTGGTTCGGTTTATATGCTGGATTACATTTATTGATTTGCATACATTGAACCAGCCTTGCATCCCAGGGATGAAGCCCACTTGATCATGGTGGATAAGCTTTTTGATGTGCTGCTGGATGCGGTTTGCCAGTATTTAATTGAGGATTTTTGCATCAATGTTCATCAAGGATATTGGTCTAAAATTCTCTTTTTTGGTTGTGTCTCTGCCAGGCTTTGGTATCAGGATGATGCTGGCCTCATAAAATGAGTTAGGGAGGATTCCCTCTTTTTCTATTGATTGGAATAGTTTCAGAAGGAATGGTACCAGTTCCTCCTTGTACCTCTGGTAGAATTCGGCTGTGAATCCATCTGGTCCTGGACTCTTTTTGGTTGGTAAGCTATTGGTTATTGCCACAATTTCAGATCCTGTTGTTGGTCTATTCAGAGATTCAACTTCTTCCTTGTTTAGTCTTGGGACAGTGTATGTGTCGAGGAATTTATCCATTTCTTCTAGATTTTCTAGTTTATTTGTGTAGAGATGTTTGTAGTATTCTCTGATGGTAGTTTATATTTCTGTGGGATCGGTGGTGATATCCCCTTTATCATTTTTTATTGCGTCTATTTGATTCTTCTCTCTTTTTTTCTTTATTAGTCTTGCTAGCGGTCTATCAATTCTGTTGATCCTTTCAAAAAACCAGCTCCTGGATTCATTAATTTTTTGAAGGGTTTTTTTTGTCTCTATTTCCTTCAGTTCTGCTCTGATTTTAGTTATTTCTTGCCTTCTGCTAGCTTTTGAATGTGTTTGCTCTTGCTTTTCTAGTTCTTTTAATTGTGATGTTAGTGTGTCAATTTTAGATCTTTCCTGTTTCTCTTGTGGACCTTTAGTGCTATAAATTTCCCTCTACACAGCTTTGAATGTGTCCCAGAGATTCTGGTATGTTGTGTCTTTGTTCTCTTTGGTTTCAAAGAACATCTTTATTTCTGCCTTCATTTCGTTATGTACCCAGTAGTCATTCAGGAGCAAGTTGTTCAGTTTCCATGTAGTTGAGCGGTTTTGAGTGAGCTTCTTAATCCTGAGTTCTAGTTTGATTGCACTGTGGTCTGAGAGAGTTTGTTATAATTTCTGTTCTTTTACATTTGCTGAGGAGAGCTTTACTTCCAAGTATGTGGTCAATTTTGGAATAGGTGTGGTGTGGTGCTGAAAGAAATATATATTCTGTTGATTTGGGGTGGCTTTAACACCCCACTGTCAACATTAGACAGATCAGTGAGTCAGAAAGTTAACAAGGATACCCAGGAATTGAACTCAGCTCTGCACCAAGCAGACCTAATAGACATCTGCTAGCCCAGAGATTCTAATGATTATATCTGGGCTCAGCTTAGGCAGTAGGGCTTTGGAAAACTCTCACTTCATGCTAATGTGCATCCATTTGGTAACTCCTATTCTAAATTCCTTCTTGGGAGTCTAAAGTATACCAAAACTCAAAACCCAAACAGTATGGAGTAAAGTTGTGTCCTTCTTTATTTCCTTTACTTCCTTTCTTTTTTTCTCTTTCTCTTCCTTCCTATTTTCCTTCTTTGTTTCTTTTGTTTGTTTGTTTAAGAACAAAGTTATCTATTTTTTCTTTGGTTGCTTGTGCCTCTGGTGTCATATTGAAGAACTCATTGCCTTTCCAAGGTAACAAAATGTATACCTATGTTTTCTCCTAAGAGGTTTTATAATTTTAGCTCCTACATTTAGGCCTCCATTTTTATTTTTGTGTATGGCGTGAGGTAGGTATCCAATTTTATTCTTTTGTATATGGCTATCCAGTTGTCCCACCACAGTTTGTTGAAAAGATTGTTATTTTCACATTGAGTTTTCTTGGACCTTTATTGGTTATCTTTTAATACATATGCTTATATCATTCTCAATTAGGCAGTAAGATTTTTGAGATCAGGGAGCTTCTCCTATCTTTATCTGTACCCCACCATACTTAACAAAATGCTTTACCCATAACAGGTACCTGATGAACTAATTTCTCTTTCTCCAGCCAGGTAGTAAGTTCTAAGGGTAGACAACTTATTTATTCTTTCTCAGCATTTTGCACTGCTGAGTAGGCTGGGGTCAATAGAGGATAATTGTAACTTTGCTTTGATTTTGCCACCACATGATTCTATCATATTCATTTATGACTTGGTACTTTTTAGCTCAGAACACACAACCAAGTTTTCCATAAAAGGAAGCTCACTAAAGGATTGAAGACTTAACCTAGGAAAATTTCAGATTTGAACCCCTCCATCAGTGTTTTATGTTATACACCAAGAATTTAAAACAAATCAGATTTCTTAAATGAACTCAAGCTAAATGAATCTGAAGTAACTATTTCTGTGTATTGGATCTTTGACTATTCTCTTGTTGATGTGAAATTAAAGGTAAATTTTCTGGGTTTTAACAGGTGCTAGTAATTCCTACTGGTCAATGTTGACAAGACTTTAAATGTAAAGCTACATTTTGAATAATAAGAGGAAACATGTATCTTGCTCATGATTTCTGTGCTCCAAAAGTGATTTGTATAAAGAAAGAAAAGGAAATACCCTACATATCCAATAATAGAGGAATGGTAAATTTATATTGATTCATAAAATCCTAAGTTGAAATTAAGTGATGCTTATGAAATTATGTATCAATAAGGAAAAATCTATGATATACTGTTACATGTAAAAAGTAAATATTATGCAGTGATTGTAAGTGAGTAATCTATTACTATGAAGTAGGATAATCAACTATCCTGTTTGCCTGGGACTATCTTGGTTTTAACATTGAAAATCGTGTATCCCAGGAAATCCCTCAGACTCAGACAAACTGGGATGGTTTATCACCTTATTTTAAACAAAGATTATAAGAAAACCAGAAGAAAATGAAAATAAGTTACGTCAGCCTCCTAGTCAATGAGTGCACTTGGGTTTTTAAAGTTTATTTCCTTTGTGGATACAACATTATTTTTACAAAAATGCAAATTGGGAGGAAAAACTAAGGCTAGAGAATATATCTTCTACTTCTTGGCAAAGCATGTTTACTATTGGTCAATGTTATTATTTGACTCTATATTGCCAAAGGGATAATCGGGGAGAAGGTCATAGGAATTTTCATCCTTCTTTAATAGCAGACATTAAAGATGTCTCCTATTATAAGGAGTTATGTGAGGTCAGCTAAAACTAATTATTTGAGGTCATACAAATGACTCAAAATTCTTAGAGAAACCATGGGTTTGGAGAGGAATCCTCATATATATTTCAGAAGAGGAGAAAAAATAAGATAGAAATAAGATCTTGTATTTTTTTAAAGATTTCTGACTTTCATTTTTTTCTCAGGCCTGCTCCTACTATGTCCTTTTCCTTCTCTCATATATTTCAGTCGTCTGGAGTTCTCAGAATAAGGAATCCATTATCAATGACCTATCCCATGAACATTTTTTTTGAGAACCTGTGTAAGACTATATAGACATGAATATTTGATGACCTGACACCTCACCGTTCAAACCTAGATTTGGGTTGTATAAATATCAACTCAAGGCTGTAAGAGCCTCCCATGGTCTAATGTTTCAAGAGTAAAGAAGAATAGACAAACACCCATGTTGGAATCATCTGTTGCAGAAAAGAACACAAAGATAGTTTTATTAATTTAGAACAAATTTTGAGAACTTTACATAGACAGAAATCTTCTATCTCCTTTTTTTCTAATTTTGGGGAATGTCTTCCACTAGTGGTCGCTAAAAATGTAGAAATATCATAGGGAGTGCAAATTACATTGTCTCTTTACCTGCCACAATCTGGCAGCACTCATCATGTAGCAAATGCCCAAATAATAGACTACAGATTATAGTGACTTCACCCTAGGTTAACATTATTTCTAGGTAAGGTACTAGTATATCTGAATTGAAAAGTAGGGCAGCTGTTGACTCAGATTCGGCATTTTAATTACATTGTTTCCAAGTATGATATTCTGAGAGTGTCTATAGCACTTAGTGTCTGCTTCATATAAACTACCAGTTATTATATATTTATGATGCAAGTAGTTTTCCAAATGTGGTGAAAGTCTGAGTCTTTTTATCCCCATGGGTAAAATCTGAATCTGGCTCTCTGTGTCTCTCAGTGCTTGTTTATTGCTGGTCAGAGAGTAAATTCTTGATAAAAGCTGTTGACTTGGCTCTCACAGTTTATGCAGACATTGGAGAGACAATTTGGTTATTTCAAACATCACAGGATTTGAGTAAGAAGACCTGGTTATGAAACAAGGCTCTCATAATTACTAGTTATGACTGTTGACAAGTTACCTTTTCTTGTTTACAAGTTATTTGGCCTCTTTGAATTACTTGTAAAATAGAGATAGGGATTCTTTCTTGATCATGGAACATCAAATGAAGTTATTTGATGAAATACTTTGTCATCTGGAAATTATAAATATAACTAAATGTTAATTATTATTTGAAATTTGGGCACCTCATGGTGGCATTTTCTATGGTCATTTTTTTCTTTTCTCGCATAATGGCTAAAAGTAGGTAGACATGCAAACAATAGCCTAGAGTGGGAGTTAGGAAAAGTTAAGGCAGAGACATGTCCATGTATAAGCTATGCTGTTTTTACAAAAAACAGATGGGTGTTGGCTATTTAGAGCTTCCCTCATGGGGTGTGGTAACTCTAAGAATGTGCCACAATGTCAGCCCTGTAGAAAGATAAATGGAATGGGTTCTGTATTGTCCCTAGTTGTTATTTTTTTTTATCATCCTTAAAACAATGATGCAAAAGGGACTCCACCAAAAACGTAGATGTGGAATAAAAAAAAGATAGTTTAGGAATGTCATGAAGCAGTCATATATCTTTTCCATCAGGTGCAGTCTCCCTGGTTGTTGATGGAGAAAATGACAAAAAAAAATACTATACTAAAAAGCCTATCCAAGGAACAGGTTAGTAGGAAATCACATTCTGAAGCACTCATTCTGCCTTTCTTCAGTGTAAGAAAGTTGCTCAAAAGAAGAAGCGTGACAACACAAGCTGCTACAATGGCTACATTCTCTACATTCAATGTAAGAGAGAAGGAGCTATGGTCACTCCATGCAAAGGCCAGATAGAGATGTGGTGCGTATGTGCAGAGTACCTCAAGAAATGAAAGTCAGCATGTCTCTTGGAAGCTATGAACACTAATGTTTAAAAAAGGAAACAGAAAACAGAAGAAATCACTTAAGGAGAGCTGTCATTTTCTATTGGTGAGGATTCCTGATCTTGGGGAGGTTCTGGAAAGTTCGTCTCTGTTTCTTCTTCTTCCTCTTCTTGGATTGGAATAATTTCAATGTCTTCTTCATTCTTTGGTTGGGAAGATGTTTCAGTTAGCCCAACCACTTCTTCTTTTATTTCAATAGTCTGTTCTTTTTTTTCTTCTGCTGACAGGAGAACTATGTTCTAAAACAGAAAATTAAACAAACCATTCTTTACTTTTACCACTGACACCTTTGTCAACAATCTCCACAAACATTTATCAAATACCTCCTGGTTTTTATGCTACTTATGTCATTTATTATATGCCTTTAAATGCCAAAATTTTTTTGCAGGTGCTTATATCCTTATCAAGTCATTTATTAAAACTCAAGTCTGAATAAATCTTCAAGGGCAGCAGACATTGACCACAGTGCCTGGAATGACCACGTGGTATTGGGAAAAGAACATTGCAGTAATAGAGGAGTTTAGATTTTCGTTCTGATTTGCCTTTAGTGAATATAACTCTGGGAGAATAATTTTCTCTCTTTGATACTATTTTTCTTTAAATGCAAAATGAAGTAATTAGCGATGATTTCTAAATTCTAAATCTAACAGTCTGGTTCTGAAGCAGTTAGTAATATATCTATTATTGGTCTGTTTTTATTTCCCATTTGTGGAGCCCTTTAACCTGTTGTTTTGGAAGAGGAATTAGGTGAAAAGGAGGGAAGAGGGGAATACTGAAAAATGAAACCAAAGAACTAGTGACTTAGCCTTCAACCTTCAACCATCTTGCTTTTACACACTGTATATGGAATCATGAAATCAGGATGGAAGCCTGAAGTCAAGCAGCAGGGAAGGTTAATAAGAAGATGCACAGAGGTGGGGCATGGTGGCTCACGCCTGCAATCCCAGCACTTTCGGAGGCTGAGGTGGGAGGATCACCTGAGGTCGGGAGTTCAAGACTGGCCTGGCCAACATGGTGAACCCCCGTCTCTACAAAAATACAAAAATTGGCCAGGCATGATGGCGGGTGCCTGTAATCCCAGCTACTCGGGAGGGTGAGGCAGGAGAATCGCCTGAACCCGGAGGCAGAGGTTGCACTGGGCCAAGATCGCGCCATTGCACTCTAGCCTGGGCAACAAAGTGAGACTCTGTCTCAAAAAAAAAAAAAAAAAAGACGCACAGAATATAGAACTGTAGGCTCTAACTACAGACTTATTTCAAATTTCAAGACATCATATTATTTGCTTTCTAGAAATATGCCAAGACCAATTTTTTTTTTTAAATCAAGCTCCTAGTTTCAACAACTCATCAGATTACATTCTCCATAAATGATCCTTTGTGGATGTGGATTTTCTAGAGGGAGGTTTTGGCCAGAGGGGCTACTACTTACAGATTTGGGTCTGGAGCACGTTCTTTTCCATTCATTCTCAACGATGCCAGCTATTACAAGTTCCTGGAAGAAGGCAAAGATCAGCATCACTGACAAAATGCCCTGAAAAACAACAGAAGAATGAAGGTGAAAATGTAATAATGGCACAAAGAACATTGTTGGTGTTCAGTAAGTTATTGTTGACTATAATTGAACGATTAAGAGATCAATTCTTTAGACAAGTAATGAATAGCTGTGAGAACTGCTAGTACAGGAGACAGCATCTTTATAACCCTAACTCTTAACACAACTTTTGGCACACAACAGATGGTTAATGTGTATTGCTGATAGAAAGTAAGGTATGAATAATCAGTTGAAGAATCAATTCTGTATAGGAAAGAATAAGTAATGAGTCTCAAATTAAATTGTATTCAGCCTTAGTTGGTGTGGCATCATGCCTAGGAGACCTCTTCATCCTTGGGAGATGCATTTTTTTTTATCTCTTTCAAACTCTACATTTAAAAGTCCTTGGGCAAAAGATATTCATAACATCTTAGGAATTTCTTCTATGCTCATCTTAGTTAATATAATGGTAAATATTAATGCCATTAATGATGTTGAGAATAATTAATGTTAAAGCCAATGCTTATATAGCACTTCTGTGTACCAAACACTGTTCTAAATGCTTTGTATATATTAACTTATTTATTCCTCAGAACAACCCTATTAGATAAATAGTGTTACCATCCCCATTTTACAGTTGAAGAAATTGAGGCACAGTGTGGTTAAAATTCTTTCCCAAAGCCACACAGACAGTAACTAGCAAACTCAGGTGGTCTGGATCCAGAGTTCATGCTCATAATAAACAAGTCATCCTTCCTCCCTGGAGAGAAATCCAATCTCACACTTACCAAGAACACTTACCAAGAACAGAGATTGTATGCTGTAACAGTATTGGGTAGATGGGGAGTTTTTCTCAGAGGGATTAGCTGGTTCACAGTTGTATATGTTAATATATGGTGTGTGAGCTCTAATAAAATTCAGACTCTCCATTTTTAAAAAATGGGAAATTTTAATATTAAGTATGTCCATGATTGAAAGAATCATTCCAGAAATGGCAGCAAAGAGGCTCAATGAATTCATTATCATTTTTCCTTTGACCTGAAATGGAGACACAGATTTATTAATTGGGTTTGATTTCCCTTTGGAAAACATAATCTGGGAGGGAATTCCAAATGCAACTGCCCTGACTCACAAAGCAACTACAACTAAATATACTGAAGTTCTCTCAGTTGTTTTTAGCCTCTTTGTCACTATAAAATAAAATCATGTCTCTATCCTGTTCTTTTCTCAGTCTTCCCTATCTCATTCACCATCCATCTGTTTTATAAAGCAAAAATTCTAAGAGTAACCCTTGATTCTATATCTTGTATCCTTGCATTTCCTTCACTGCCACTGCCACCATCCTAGTAGGCACTCAATAAATGTTTGTTGAATAAGTGAAGATAAATATTATCCAGTTTATTATCTGCCTTCATAAATAGGTAGAGGGAAGAGAGTGAAGAAGTTTCTTGTATCACACTTTAGTGGGATGGTATTATGAAGTATAGGTTGGGAAGGTTCAGATAGAACCCTCTAGATCTGTACTATCAAATAAATGGAAATAAAAAAAGCAGAAGCAACAACAGTAACAACATCTATTCCTGCTGACATAGGTTGCAATCAGCCCCAGTCAGCTATCTTCCAAAATACAATTAGGGCTGATGTCTTTGGGTAGCATAGGTAAGAAAATATCAGTGTGAATGTTCTACCTTGCAGGGATGATAAAAGGTTGAAACAGGAAAATATAAATAACAAGTACCATAATGATATGGGATTATTGATTATTATTTTATGCTGCGCATATTTCATTCCTGGCTCTATGACCTACACATGGCAAGTCAGTAAATCTGGCTGTATCTAGAGAATAATTTGATGTTCATAAAAAGTTTTCCCCCCAAACTGAGTGTGTCAGGCCACTTTAAGACAGGAACCATCTCAATCCACCCATTCCCTCATTGATTATGAAAGTGACACAGTTTAGTAACAGTGTTGGGGGAGGAATTTTTTGGGAGCGAACTTGCTGCTAAACTCTTTTCATCCATACAGCATCAGCAGCTCTGCAGGCCAGTTTCCTCTGGATCTAGATGAGTCCCTAGGGGTTTTATGGGCAAGACCACAGTGTAGTACTTTATAGCCTGTGAAGCACCATCACACACTCTACTGCCTTTCATCTCCATTGGACGTCACATGGTAGCAAGGACTGTTACCCTTCCTTTCTAGGTGAAAACTCAGGAACATAGAGGTAAACTGACTTGTTCAATGTTACGGCCAAAAAATGGCTTAGCTAGAATTTGAATCAATCATGACATTGATCAGATAATTTTCCTAAATGGTGATCTGGGAGAAATGATAGGGCTTTCAGAAAGGTCTATTATTTTCACACAGCATTTAACGTTCTTAAGACTGTAGGTATGGTTTTCATGGATCTGCTTTTAGTTCTGTTCCCATGAACATACTTCAGATAGACCTCGCTTCTAAGTTTTTCATAAATAAAATCACAATAACATTGTGGAGGGTCTTTGCTTTTTAGGGCTGAGAGGCTGTGATACCTTGGCTTTTTAAGGGTCTCAGTTTTTAACCGAAAAAAATAGGTACTTCTCTGACATGTGGGAAAGAAGGACATATGGTTACTTGCCAAACACTTCCTGGAGTTTTTCTCCGTTGCTGCCAGGAGTGATCCGGAAATAATATACTGTAAAAAAGAGAGGTGGGGGAGATGGAGAGGGGGTGGGCAAGACAGGAGATAGAGGAGAGAGGGAGATCACTTTTTAACATTGATAACTGGTCAGAAAGAAGCCTACACTTTCAGCAACTTTCACACAACCATCCACCCATTTTTATCAGTTGTATTCATTTTTCAGCTGTCATATTCCTCCTTTATTCAGGCTCAGTGACACTAAATTCATGCCTTTTACTCAATCATCTGGGGATCTGTGACTAGGAATATAGTAAGACCAAAGAGACAGAACTCAAATTTCCTCATCAATTAATACTCATACCATAAATTTAAAAGTTTTATTTCTAGTTTTTCTTTGTTTTTAACTTGTGGAACTGCCCTTTGGGGTTCACAGTGACATAAATGACTCTGATGCCCTCTGAAGAGTGAACTGATGCAGAAGGAAATACTTGACCTGAATGGCACAGGCACTCCATGAAAACATTGGCTGTTACAGGAAGTGATGATGACTATTGCTCATCTTCCTTTTCTCACATTCAGGCTGTAGAATGGAGGAAACTCTTGTTCTAACCCATCTCTACTTGTTTGGAAAATTTTAATCCTGGACTTATCTTTTATAGTGGCAACTATGAAAAGTATCACGGGGAAATAAACATCACTGTCCTATGTGCCACACCCAGACAGGGTTACAGATTTGGAAAACATGTACGTAAAACAGCCAAAAGAGTGCTGCTCTGTCGATAAGCAAAATGAGACTGACTTGTGATGGGACAGGTTTCACCAGGTACCATAGTAACCAAACAGAATTGTAAGCAAGAAGGGGTAGATGGAAGTGGATGTTCCTGCTGCCTCTTGCTTTCCAAAACATCTTGCTATCTAGTCTAAATGTCTAGGGCCACCCTCCCCACCAGAACTGACTTTGGAGAGTTCTTGCTTTGGACAGTCCCTGTGAGATCCATGCAGGGCCCCTTTCTCTGAATTCACATGAAACAGGACCACTGACTCTCAACCATGGGATTTATACTCAATTTGGTCAACCTGTCTTCTTAATTACTTTAACCCAATAATATTTCCTACTCATATATTTCCCTCAACACAGAAATAATCTGGCATATCCCTGTGGAGCCTTTTAACATTTTTGTCTGCACCATTTCCCAAATGGCTGCTATTCTTTTACTCACCATAATGCCTCCCCAGAGAGGGTACCACACAGTCACACAGATGGGTGCATAGATCCCTGCTGGGATCATCAGAAGACCCCCCAGGGCAATGTGGAAGAGCCCATTCATAATCTGGACAGCCTGGGGAGAGAACAGAGGCAGCAGTGGATGAGCTGAAATCATCACTGCTAGCAGGCAAAGACAAGGTTGGAAGCTCTGGCTCCTGACTTGGAGCTGTGAGGAATGCCTAAAGGAAGCAGTGGAGGTGCCAAGAATTTTGTCTTTTTCTTGTTCGAATCTGTTTCCTCAACCACATGGGGCATTTCCAGGGAGCAGGTATGCCTGGGATTCTGGCAATGGACTGGGATGGGGGACCCCTGCATATACAAGCCCCAAAACCAAAAGGTGACATAAGATCACCCAGAGGTGATCTAAGTGATAACTTCTCTGATGCACCCCTGATTTGGCCCACTGTGTTAGACATAAAGAAGACATCAGGTTGGATCCCAATTCTTCAAATTGGATTGAATTCTGTATGTGGCCTATACCGCATCAGCTTCTGTCAGCCAGAGAATCCCTACGACATGGGATGGAAGGCAACTGACTTACCCCCAAAGTCTTAGATTCCCTCATGAAGAAGCTTTGCGTGGGGCCCACCAGTGAAGACATCCTCCTGAAGAGTGGTTTTGGACCAGATTGCATAGCAATAGGGCCTTTCATTGGCTCTGCCGGGAAAGTCCCATTTACTGAATTTCTGGGTGTTGTCATTTTGCTCTCAAAACTCCTAAAAATAAAACAAATAACAAAATGAGGAGAGCAAGAACAAGATTTTTGGCAGTCTTACCTTGTGTCATGCATCTGAATGCTTCTCTCAGCATTTCCTCCATGAGTGTCATTGAGGGTAGACATGGCCTCTTCCGAGTGACCTTGGATCTGAGGCAAGGCCTACTGCTGAGTTCTGAGAAAGGAGATGGAGGGGTTGTTTAGGAAGAGCATGTGGGCCCAGGAGTCCCTGCCAGTGATCTTGACAACTGGGTTTGGGGCATTCTTTATCTTTGTAGAGGACACCTTGCATATATGACTGCATGTCCTCTTTGTTTCTTATTCCTGGATGCTTTTCTTTTGCTTTAATATTGAAAAATGTATTTTCAATGGACTTGTCCTTGTCCTTTTGCTTATCTGCCTTTGTGCATTATGATGGGCCAGAGGCAACATTGCAGAGTATGGTAAGGACTATCTGTAGAAGCAGGAGGGGTCGATTCCAGGCCTCTCTCTGTCTCTAACTCTGCCACCTTGTGCAAGTCACATCAAGAAGGCTCTCTAGGTCGGGCACGGTGGCTCATGCCTGTAATCCAAGCACTTTGGGAGGCCAAGATGGGCAGATCACCTGAGGTCAGGAGTTTGAGACCGGGCTGGCTAACGTGGCAAAACCCCATCTCTACTACAAATACAAAAATTAGCCAGGCATGTTGGTGTGCACCTGTAATCCCAGCTACTCGGGAGGCTAAGGCAGGAGAATTGCTTGAACCCAGGAGGCAGAGGTTGCAGTGAGCTGAGATCATGCCACTGCATTCCAGCCTGGGTAACAGAGTGAGACTCGGTCTCAAAGAAAAAGAAAAGGCTCTCTAAGGCTTTCTAATGCAGTATATAAGACTGTGGCCTCCTGAGTCAGATTGCCTAGGTTTCAATAGTGATTCCTCCATTTGTTCTGAGATGTTGGGCAAGTTCTTTAAATTCTCTGGGCCTCAGGTTCAACTGTAAAATTGAAATAATAATAATTCTTATCTCGTGGGCTGCTATAACACTTAACTGGGCTCATGGTCTGTGCATGGCTAGTGTCTTTTTGTTCAGGTGTAGCTCAAATGTCAGCTCCTAGAGGAGCCTACCTTGAACCCTCAATCTATAACATGTACTCCTATTTGCTGTCTTTTACAAAATCCTATCTTAATTGCTTTACGGCATTGATCACTGTAGGAAATTACCTTATTTATTTAATTGCTTATTGTCAGTCTCTTCCCCACAGAATGGAAGTTCCATCAAAGTAGAGATTTTGTTCTCTCTTGTTCAGGATCTAAAATAATTTTTGGATTTAGTTACTTCTTAATAAATATTATTGAAGAAATAAATGTATGCAAAGAACCCATGTTGGAATAAATAGTTATTTTTGTTGCTATTCTTGTTCTTTGTACTTTGCTGAGCATTAGTTTCGATTTTATCCTTCTGTAAAGTTAGAACAGTACCCCTCTCTGAGATGTAAGACATAAATAAGTTAACATATGTAATTGTGCCTAGGACAAAGGGAGAGTGTAGTAAATGCTATTTATCAGTTTTCATGATTTATTCATTTCTGAAGTGAGAAGGCAATTAATACGGCCCTTTCCAGCTCAGACATTTTAAGATTCTGTTCAATCTTCATCTTGGGTTTCCTTAGCATTCACTTGTTCATGTTAACCACTTATGCGGACTCCACTGGGTCTTTCCTGGAATCTGAAAATCCCTCTTTTGGGGACACATCTTTGCTCTTGTCTTTATTGCTTGTAAGTCATGTAAGATGTCTTGGAAATCAAGACTGTCTATCCAGGTCACATATCTTACTGAAGCCGGTGCCACATCCCAGCCATTAGACCACAGCCTGAAGTATATCTTACTGAAGTCAATCAGAGCTGAGTAGCTGCAGGTGTGCTGTAAAACAGGCAGCTGACTACTGTCACATTTATACCTACTTTAGGGCTGGAAGTAAATTTGACACATGGCATCTCATCTGAGCCTTATAGAACAGGCAAGGGGTGAATCATCACCTGTGTTTTATAGAAGAGGAAACAAGGGCACGGAGAAGCTAGGTTACTTGTGCCAAGTTACATAATTAGTAAATATTTTTTGTTTGTTTGTTTGTTTTCATGACAGGGCCTCGCTCTGTCGCCCAGGCTGCAGTGCAGTGTCATGATCACAGCTCACTGCAGCCTCTACCTCCTGGGCTCAGGTGATCCTTCTGCCTCAGCCACTGGAGTAGCTGGGACCACGGGCAACCACCACCATACTCAGCTAATTTTTATATTTTTTTTAGAGATGGGGTCTTGCCATGTTGCCCAGGCTGGTCTTGAACTCCTGGACTCAAGCAATCTGCCCCCCTCCACCTCCCAAAGTGCTAGGATAACAGCTGTGAGCCACCATGCCCAGCCTGTAAAGATTTAAAATGAAGACTTGGATCTCTCAAATTAGGCATCCAGGGTACCAGGCTGCTTTGTCTCCTGTGAGAAATAGGAATTCAGCCTTTCCCTTATGACCCCTCTTTTCTCCTTCCAATATATGCACTATGTGAATGACTATAAATCAGTTGAAAAGTATTATCTGTCTGGCGCATGGGCTAGAGGAAAGAGAGAAGAAACTTTGGTTGTTTCTCACTTGATTTTGCCCCTGCCCTAGATAGCCAGATGCCACATGGTCCTGGGGATCTGCTTTGTACAACAAGCCACTCTACAAGACCTCTAACAAAAACAGATATTTTAATATAGCCCACTAAAGAGTTTGCGGACTGATTCTGGTCACTAGGTAGGATTTCTAGAGCTAGTCCAAACCTCAGAAACCATTCTGTTCATTTCACAAATGAGGAAGCTGCAGTCTGGGTATAGAATTTGCCTTAGTAAAGACCTCACAGTTAGCAACAGAGCCAAGCTAGAAGGCACTCACCATGGCTCTGATGTTGATGCTTTTTCTGCTGTACCATAGGTGAGTCCAGATAATTATAGTTGTTTACTGAGCACCTACTATATACTAGAGATATTGTATATGGTATTGCCAACTCACTCAACACCTTCGTAAGTAGGCATTTTGACTACTTTCTGCAGATGAAGAAATGGAGGTTGAGAGAGGTTATTTTTCCCAAGGTCCTATGGCAAGTATGGAATGAGCTGGGAGTCACTACACTCCGCCCCAGAGGGGTAACTTTAGTGAAGATAACTTAAAATGCAAAGGTCATCAATTGTTTGAACTGAAGGAGATGATTGGACTGCCATTGTTTTAATTTCATTTTATTCATCAACTGCTTGATTAAAGCTGTGTCTGTATTATTGGCGAGATAAACTTTTTTGTAAGCCAATTCTACTTGGGCTATGCCTGTTGTAACTAATGGCAATAATGACCATGAGGGCTGTGTGTGTGTGTGTGTGATATTTCTCTGTTAAAATGGTATCTCATGGTGGCAACTATACTTCTACAAACCTTAAACAAATATTTGTATAAAATAGTAGTTTATAAAGAAACACATGAGTGCTTTCTCTGTTTTTTTATTTCTTATGGAAACTATCTTTCATATATATATCTGATTATATATATATCTGTCTCATATATGAGAGGTAAATATATTAATCGATTTATGGCATTGTGGGCTGACTGTAATGAAAAGCTTTCGTTCCATGAGAATTCATAAATACATAAAACTCGCCTACGGAGATTGGAGATTCTCGCAATTTTGCCTTATCATTAAAATAAATTGTTCACAATGACTTAGTGCCCAATGCACAGTTATGCTCAAAGACTAGTTGGTAGATTAGTAGGGGTTATGGACCACATTAGCCGCAATATGATAACAATAAGATTTTACATTTGCTGGTGTCCAAATCAGCATGAATGTTAAAATAGAGACTCAGGTGATCACTCAGTACCGCATTTAATTACTCACACTAACTCCTGCAAATATTTTTTTATTTTTAAAGGCACCCCTGTTTTCATGTCCATCCACTGAATAAGATCTCACAGCCTTTATGGGTTTTGGTTTGAATAGACTTTTAAGTCCACTCGTACCATCATGTACTGAGAAGTTTAAAAACTGCCTCACTGTTGTTACCTCATCTTCATTCTCTTCCACTCAAAATAGTTTTGCATTTTTATCCCTTCTGGCCTCCTGTGCACCTATCTCCGAGGAAGAGTGCTCTTACTTCCCTTCCCTCTGTGCTTTTCAGCCCATCTCAGTCCAACCAAGCTGTTAGCCCTTCCAAGAAATTATTTCTTCTTTGCACCTTCAGTCTCCCAATTTCTGGCAATATGTAGCAGACAGAGTTAGTCCCAGCTCTCTTGCTTGCTCCTCTTGTGGTCTCTCTGTAAGTTTAAGGTAATAGTTACCTTCCCCATTTCAAAGTATCATTTTGAGAATATGAGATAAGTTGCATTTGTTAAGGTGCTAAATACTCCTTTTATGACTAAAATGTACTTCAGTGTCCCTGAATCCCAAAGTCCTCTTCTTTTAATCTAGCAATGTCCTTGCCCACTGCCCAGGCTCACTTTTTCTTCACCGCAGCTGCTTCAAAGCTTTGCTACCCACTCTCTTCCCCCACCTCCTCTCCACCCACTCACTTCTCAATGCTTGGCAACTAGTTTCCGCCAGTCAGTGGACTGAAACTGGTCTTTGAGGACTGTGCTGTGAAGTCAGTGGTCTTTTCTCAGGCCTCGTGTCTCAGATTGTTTTATTTGTTTCTCCTGCCACCCAGGCTTAGATAGTTGGGACCACATTTCACTTTAGCTCCATCATCTCTCAGTCCATCTTCATCTTGGCTGTTGGTCAGTCAGTGGCCAAGTCATGCCATTTCTACCTCTGCAATACATTTTGCATGTGGGTCTTTTTTCTATATCCAGAGTCACCTGTGAGTTTCTCATTTCCATTCATGCTTTTCTGCCTTCAGTCTTTCTCTTTTCTAATCCATTGTCCACAAGGCTGCTACATCAAGCTCCCGATCACTGTTTTGAGTGATGCTCTTCCTGAGCCTGAACTCCTTTGCTGGCCTGTCATTACCTGCTGGAGAAACCCTTCATCTAACCCCTCAAGGCCTTTGGAATTCAGCCCTGTATGACTTCCCAAGCTCATATCCCACTACCGCCACCAGAGCCACTGGTCTATACATGTCCTCTACCTTCTTTCCTGAATCTTCTCAACTTTGAAGTGTTCCTTCTCCCTCCCTCTTTACTTTCAATCAAACTCTGCATTAGATATGCACATCACCTGAGGGCGTTCCTGCTCTCCTTGCCTGATTGCAAGGAATTCTTCAGAGCTCCTAGCTCTTTGCTTTCCTTACTAGACATCAACTACTTTCTTCGGAGAATCCTGTATCCTACTAGACTTGCATAGGGAACCTGTTTTCTATGTACTATGAGCTCAGTTACATTAAGCTGAACATCAAACTCAGCTACTTCCTCAGGGAAGCTTAACAAGTGCTCACAATGGCCAGGTGCAGTGGCTCACACCTGTAATCCCAGCACTTTGGGAAGCCGAGGCAGGTGGATCCCCTGAGGTCGGGAGCTCGAGACCAGCCTGGCCAACATGGAGAAACCTTGTCTCCACTAAAAAATGAACAAACAAACAAAACACACACACAAAAATGCTCACAATGCTGGATTAAACATTTCTTTCCACCGGATTCTCAGTGAGATTAAGCCATTTTATGGGAAACAGGGAAAGGGAATCACTTATATACTGGATTCAGAAAACAGTAATGGCATGATTAAAATTAATCCTTGTTTTCCTTCATTAGAGCTCCCCCACATCTGCAGCGCCCCCTCTTACTCTTGGTTTCCCATGTGATAGATTTGAGGCAGGATTTCATGCTCAACTTGGTGTCCACAAATCCCCTCCAGAAAATGTTAGCCTGTAAAGCCACCTATACTTCTAGGTATATTTACATTTAATGTAGACAAAAGCATTTACAGGAAGACAAATGGAGTTTTTTTCATTATGCCTATGACTGATTATTTTCTCATTTGGTATTGGGAAGTCCTAAGGGATTCAGGATTTTAGTTCCAATTTTCCTAATGTAATGGGTACCATTGCCCCCATTTTATAGATGAGGAAGCTGAGGCTTTAGAGGTTTAGTAATTTGCCCAAGGTTATATTGTTTGTTAGTGGTAGAGCTCCAGTTTGAACCCAATGGTTTAGAAACCATGATTTAATATATATGCTGCAATCTACTACTTTTGTGGAATGATTCACAGTTGACTGCATAGGGTAATTGTTGAGAGGGAGACTGATTAGAGGAGTGAGTGGGCAGCAAGCCTTGATATCGTCACCCCTCCTTAAGTCATAGAACTATTAGGAAGTCTGACTAGGGAAACTCTAGAATTAAGATCAAGAACCTCCAGTCTTCAAAACCATTCTATACCTTATCCATCACCTCCTTTAAGTCATTTAAAGAAAGCAAATTGATTCCTTACCTGAGTCTCCAAGGCCTCAAATCTCAAGGGCTGATTTGGATGCTAGCTGCGGAGTTCAGTGGGTGCAGTTTGTTTCTCAAGCACACTGGGAGGGTGAGTGGTGTAGTCCAGGCCTGAAGATGAAATCGCTGATAGACATCAGGTGACAGGAAATCAGTAGCTTCTGCTACCTTGGGCTTCGCTCCAATTACTTTGGTTTAACACTTACCATAGCTGAAGGAGGTGCAAAAAAAGTTTCTGCCTTACCAGGTTTCACTTCTTGAAAAAGACCCCAGGGGACTGCCTGGCATGCTCATGCTACCTTAATTAGAAGAACTTCTGCAGCCCCCACCCTATAAGCAGGTGTGGATGGTAGGTCCCTGAGGACAAGAAAGATTCTAGAAGTTGGTCAAAGATGGGCCGTTAGCACTGACTTTTACCTTCTGGCTTCACTTTTAGGGCTGAGTAGGTGGGCAGGAGGCATCCATGCAGAGATTCAAGAATCACTGAGGCTGTACACTTGGCAGCACTATACTTAGGGGTCCCCAAATATTGTCCTCATTGGCTCACACTTAAGTTTCTTATGAACCATGTATATATCTTGTGTCAGATTTAGCAGAAATGGCCTAAAATTATACTTTAGTGCCATAGTACATGTACCCAGCCACTCAAAGCAAGAATTAGCCTCCATATTTGGAAATATAAATTGAAATAGCACTTTTACCTCTGAACCCACCTTTTTCTTCTGTCTGTCAAGTTCCCTTGTGTCCCCTCTCTTTTTAGTCTAGTCTGGAGCTGCAGGGTCATCAAGCACAGTACTAGATCAAGTAGGGAAATGGAAGAAGTTGGTAGTGTCAGGAGAGTCTAAATATTTGGGATGTGAATCAAAGTTTTGCCCAAAGATAATGTCCTCTCTCTCCCCCTACAATATTCAACTTTTATGTTCATATGTGGGATTTTTAATTACATTTTTATTTCCCTGTTCATTGCTTCATTTTATTAGAGACACAGAGCTATAGTTAGGTAATTATTTGTTTATTTAATCTAAAGGGATGAAATATGGCAGGCAGCTCTGTTGCCTAATTCGAGGTTCATTCCTGTCTCTCTCTTTCATCTCTTCTCTCTTTCTCTTTCTGCCTCTCTTTTTAAATTTAAGATAGTTTGGAACCATAGGGTTAGATCCACTGGGTAGAAGTAGTTCTGGGGAGGCTGATTGTGGTGTGATATTTAAAAAGATGCCACTCTAAAAAAAAAAATTGTTGGAGCCGTTCATTAGGGGAACTGGCTACCATTTCAATAGAGAATTTACTTCTTCAAGAATACTCAAGTAAAGTCATGCAGTCACCTCTCAGAGATGCTGTAGAGTGAAGGAGAGTGGGAACAGAAGATCCATCATCCATTTAACATTCTAATTGAGGGTCTATGCATATCTGCTGAAATGCTTGAGTGATTGGTGATGGGAGGACAATTACCTAGGGTCTGAGTTGTGGATGATTGTGAAACCTGAGGTTTGAGTCCTGGATGGTGGGGTGGTTAGAGGCATGTGCCTTCATTTTAGTTGGCATGGGAACAGGGTCAGGACTTGGCAAATGTATGGCAGCAAAGGGGCTTGAGTTGTGGCAGCACAACCTGGTCTTTTGCATCCTTTTCTCTGTTTGAGCCCTGTATTTCCCCAGTCAGTCTCAGGTTGTTTGCTACTTTGTGGCCAATGAGATAACTTAGGTGGCTCTATGTATGATTCTTCCCAAATAAACTTGAATTTGAATTTGTATGAATGCATAAACATTTACCTTGTCTTTGCTCATTTGAATGATCAACATTTTAGTGCTTGAGTGTGTTGAAATTCTCACTACAATTTGGACTTGTCAATAGCATCTTATTTGATGTATCACCATCACTCTTCCCCCAAGGTTTGAGAATATTTTATTAGGTTGATAACATATTTAAAATATTTCTCTTTGAATTAAGCCTATTTTCATTATCTAGTGACCTTGCTTCCAAAAGACAATCTTAAAGTCTACATAAAAGTATGCCAACTTTTATTTAGTTAGTATTTTCCTGATGTGAATTTCCTTTTTATTCTCTGCACGTCCCAGCACTCCAATTTTTTTAATCATTGCCTTCTATATGAAAACTGTGTGCTACATCATAATTATTTGTGTCCTTGCCTTAATCAGCCATTGTCTCCTTGTCCCTTGAAGGCAGGGTCAGTTTTTGTGATTGCTGTGTCCCTGGCAGTGCTGAGAAGGAATGGTTCTGTTTGGCTTTTTCTTTCACCCAGGTGATTGTCCCCAGGCTCTCCAATATTAGGAAGTAACATTATGCCACGTTCTCAACTTCTCAGCAAGGCCCTGGCACCCAGAATTATCTGCTGTTGGAGGGTTCTGGTGTCAAAGAATTGGTAAGGGAGACATAGGGCTCGTCAGAGGTGAGGCTAAAGATCTAATTGCAAATAGAACTTGGTTACAGGTCAGAAAATCCCATTGTTGCACTTATAAATAATTCATAGTAAGGAAAATGTAAATTGAAATACTTAAGAACTTTATAGTTGATAGGGTCTTCTTTCTCTTCTAAGGGACTATACATTTGGAACAGCTAGGAAGGTAATATTAGTTAAATAATTCCTTTTATGTCAAGAATTGTCCACATATAAGCCTTACCACACATATAATATTGATTCTGTTTTATAATTGTGGAAACTAAATTTCAGGAAATGGAGGAAGCCATTCCCAAGTTGGAAAGCTGGTAAATGGTAAAATAAGTGATGTTTAGAGCAAGAAAATCTCAATTATAAATTTCAAAAACTAGCATTTACTAAGTGATTTTTAAGTTCCAGGCACTGATAAACTCACTTTCCATGTTTCATTTAAGGTTCACAGTAAACCCATTAGGTAGGTATTACTATTATTGCATTCTAGTCTAAAAATTTTAAGCCCGCAAAGATTAATTTGTTCAAGTGACACAGCTTTAAATGGCAAAACATTTATTATTATTCGTTTTAAGATATAAAAATGTCTGATGTACTCCCATGTGCAGATTACTGGATCACTCCCTTTGCTTTTGTGACGTGGGAATATAGCTGAAGAAAAAAATGCAATTATGACCTCATAGTTATTGAAAAGAGTTTTTTCTCTTATGTACCAATAAATATGCTATCATTGGAGATGAAGTGTTACTGATATGTAACGGTAACATTTTTCTGCAGGTGTTGACTATAAAAATATCATTATGTGATAAAAAATTTAATGAAAATAAGATGTTGTTTTGCTTTCTCAATTATATTTCTCAAAAAATTAAATAATATGTATGAAAAAGTACTTATAACAGTGAGACAAGAAACCATGTGCCCACAGCCATGATTAGAGATACAAGAGTGTCACTGATACCTTTGAAAGCTCTCAGGTTATCCTTCCCCAAGCCACCCTCTTTATCAGAGCTCACAATTATGCTGAATTTGGTGTTTATCACTCTCTTCCTTTTCATTGTATTTTGACTTTCCACATATGCTTACATTTCACACGGACATATTGCTTAGTTTTTGTGTTTTCTTTTTTTTTTTAATTTATTTATTTTTTATTGATAATTCTTGGGTGTTTCTCACAGAGGGGGATTTGGCAGGGTCATAGGACAATAGTGGAGGGAAGGTCAGCAGATAAACAAGTGAACAAAGGTCTCTGGTTTTCCTAGGCAGAGGACCCCGCGGCCTTCCGCAGTGTTTGTGTCCCTGGGTACTTGAGATTAGGGAGTGGTGATGACTCTTAACGAGCATGCTGCCTTCAAGCATCTGTTTAACAAAGCACACCTTGCACCGCCCTTAATCCATTGAACCCTGAGTGGACAGAGCACATGTTTCAGAGAGCACAGCGTTGGGGGTAAGGTCACAGATCAACAGGATCCCAAGGCAGAAGTTTTCTTAGTACAGAACAAAATGAAAAGTCTCCCATGTCTACTTCTTTCTACACAGACACGGCAACCATCCGATTTCTCAATCTTTTCCCCACCTTTCCCGCCTTTCTATTCCACAAAGCCGCCATTGTCATCCTGGCCCGTTCTCAATGAGCTGTTGGGCACACCTCCCAGACGGGGTGGTGGCCGGGCAGAGGGGCTCCTCACTTCCCAGTAGGGGCGGCTGGGCAGAGGCGCCCCTCACCTCCCGGGTGGGGCGGCTGGCCGGGCGGGGGGCTGACCCCCCCACCTCCCTCCCGGACTGGGCGGCTGGCCTGGCGGGGGGCTGACCCCCCCACCTCCCTCCCGGATGGGGCGGCTGGCCGGGCAGAGGGGCTCCTCACTTCCCAGTAGGAGCGGCCGGGCAGAGGCGCCCCTCACCTCCCGGACGGGGCGGCTGGCCGGGCGGGGGGCTGACCCCCCACCTCCCTCCCGGATGGGGCGGCTGGCCTGGCGGGGGACTGACCCCCCCACCTCCCTCCCGGACGGGGTGGCTGCCGGGAGACGCTCCTCACTTCCCAGACGGGGTGGCTGCCGGGCGGAGAGGCTCCTCACTTCTCAGACGGGGCGGCTGCCGGGCGGAGGGGCTCCTCACTTCTCAGATGGGGCGGCCGGGCAGAGATGCTCCTCACCACCCAGACGGGGTCGCGGCCGGGCAGAGGTGCTCCTCACATCCCAGACGGGTCGGCGGGGCAGAGGCGCTCCCACATCTCAGACGATGGGCGGCCGGGCAGAGACGCTCCTCACTTCCTAGATGTGATGGCGGCTGGGAAGAGGTGCTCCTCACTTCCTAGATGGGATGGCGTCCGGGCGGAGACGCTCCTCACTTTCCAGACTGGGCAGCCAGGCAGAGGGGCTCCTCACATCCCAGACGATGGGCGGCCAGGCAGAGACGCTCCTCACTTCCCAGACGGGATGGCAGCCGGGCAGAGGCTGCAATCTCGGCACTTCGGGAGGCCAAGGCAGGCGGCTGGGAGGTGGAGGTTGTAGCGAGCCGAGATCACGCCACTGCACTCCAGCCTGGGCACCATTGAGCACTGAGTGAACGAGATTCCGTCTGCAATCCCGGCACCTCGGGAGGCCGAGGCTGGCGGATCACTTGCGGTTAGGGGCTGGAGACCGGCCTGGCCAACACAGCGAAACCCCGTCTCCACCAAAACCAGTCAGGCGTGGCGGCGCGAGCCTGCAATCGCAGGCACTCGGCAGGCTGAGTCAGGAGAATCAGGCAGGGAGGTTGCAGTAAGCCGAGATGGCAGCAGTACAGTCCAGCTTCGGCTCAGCATGAGAGGGAGACTGCGGGGAGAGGGAGAGGGAGAGGGAGAGAGCAGTTTTTGTGTTTTCTAATCATTATTTAGGTAGAATTAATAAGATGTTCTTTTGTGACTTGCTTTCTTTACTCAACATTAAATGTGTATAATTCATCTTTGTTGATTTGCTTCAAGTAATTTATTTTTACCAATATGTGGTCCTCCAGTAGGGAACATGGTACAATTGATCTGTTCTCTGTCCATGGACATTTGAGGTATTGCAGGCAATCCTGCTCTGGAAACATTCGTACGTGTCATATGTTGCACATGTACAAGGATTTCTCTTGCGTATATTAACTAGCAGTGGAATTGTTGGGTTATAAAGTATGTGTATCTTTACCTTTACTAGGGAATAGTTTTTAAAGTGGTTGTCTTCATTTACACTCATACCATTGTGGTAGGAGAGTTCCTTTCATTCCACAATTGCTTAAGAAATTGAGTGCTTTTCATATATTAACCTTTGTTTCTGTCTCCTGTGAAATGGCTGTGCATGGCTTTGGACTAAGTTTTCATCAAGTTGTATTTTTCTATTAATGTATAGGAGGATTTTATATATTCTATATCCCATTATTTTTGTTGGTTATTTGTGTTGCTAAAAGGCTTTGATTTGTAGCTGCTCTCGTCACACTTATGTAACATTCTTAATAACGACTAAATGGGTTGTATCAGTTCTTGCTGGTACTATTCATGTTCTGGGATCTGTTTAAGAAATTCTTTACTACCTTGACTTTGTAAAGAAGTCTTCTATCTTTATTTCTAATAATTTTAACATTTCTTCTTTGTTTTTTAAATTTTATTTTAGGTTCAGGGTACATGTGCAGATGTGTTATATAGGTAAGTGGCATGTCACGGGGGTTTGATATACAGGTTACTTTGTCACCCAGGTAATAAGCATAGTACCCAATAGTAGTTTTTTGATCCTCACCCTCCTCCCATCCTCCACCCTCAAGTAGGCCCCAGTGCCTGTTGTTCCCTTCTTTGTGTCCATATGTACTCAATGTTTAGCTCCCACTTATAAGTGAGAACACATGCAGTATTTTCTTTTCAGTTGCTGTGTTAGTTTGCTTAGAATACTGGCCTCCAGCTTCATCTATGTTGCTGCAAAGGACATTATCTCATTCTTTTCTATGGCTATGTAGTATTCCATGGTGTATATGTACCACATTTTCTTTATCTAGTCTGCTGTTGATGGGCATTTAGGTTGATTCCACGTTTTTGCTATTGCAAATAGTGCTGCAATGAACATATACGTGCATATGTGTTTATGGTAGAACGATTTATGTTCCTTTGGGTATGTACCCAATAATGGGATTGCTGGGTTGAATAGTAATTTTGCTTTGAGTTCTTTGAGAAATTGCCAAACTGCTTTTTTTACAGTGGCAGAACTAATTTACATTCCCCCCAGAAGTGTGTAAGCATTCCCTTTTCTCCACAACTTGCATCTACTATTTTTTGACTTCAAGACAACATTTAAACCTAGTTGACTTAAAAGCCCAAGACTTTGCACCCTCAAATATATCTCAAGCCTCACACATCTGTACATCATTCAGTTGCCAAGTATTTTTCATCATAACCTAACTTCACTGAAGTAAAAAACTTACTTATTTTTCCTGCCATGTTGTATCCGTCACCTTCACAAATGCACCTATAACCTAAGCTGCTGCCAGCAAATAGTAGAAATGAAAGCCTGTTACTTCATTTTTTGAGTATGCTGAGTTTTTTTTTTCTATACCATAAACAACATAGGATAATGGGATTTGAAGTTAGGGAACTTGACTCAAATCCTCTTTCTAAATCATGCTCCTTTTGTGCTCTCAGAAAAGCTAACCACTTTGAGCTTCAATTTTTATGACTATGACAAAAGACATATCTACCCTGAGGGCTGTCAGGACAAGTGAGATGATACAGGTGAGACCTCTAATACTTAGGAGGTATTCAGCCAGTGAGAGGCAATACCATATAAGGTAGTGGTTCTCAAAGTGTGGTCTCGGATTTCCTGGGGTCCTTGAGACCTTTGTAGGTGCCCTATAAGTTCAAAACTATTTTTGTAATAATACTAAGACCTTATTTCTCTTTTCACAAGTTTACAGTAGTATACTCCATAGGCTACAGAACACGAGATATCATAACAGATTGAATGCAAAAGCTGCTAAGAGAATCCAGAGGAAAGTAGTTCCTTCCAAACTTTGCTTGGCATTGGAATTAAGACCTTGGATTCTGGAACCGGCTGCCTGTTGATACTATGGCTCTGCCATTGCAAACTTTATGACCTTGAGCAAATTACTTACCCCCTCTGTGCTTCAGTTTCCTTTTCTGTAAAATGGGTATAATAATACAATTCACCTCCTAGGACTTTTGTGAGATTAAATGAGTAACACCTATATAATACTTAGAATGATGCCTGGAATATAGTAGTGGTTCCACCAATATTTGCCTTCATTATTTTTACTATTGTTAGTATTCTAGTTGATCAGCTCTTTAACATTGATGATCTTGCAGCATTAATGTAGAATTTATGGGCCAAACCATTCCACCAACCAGCTCATCTTTCCACACACCACTGGAGTAGGAGCCACTGGGTGGAGTCTCTTAGTGAAATCAACAGGAGATGTCATCAACCAGAGAAGTTAGATGACTGGGTCACCCCAGGCCTTGGGCTTTGGTTCCTATCTTTGCAACACCACATTGCTGTCCTTTAGTTGAAATAATGCATGACTAACAGAGGTGACAACACCAAGGTGACCATTTGATTTGGGGAGAGGTGCAGATGGCATTGCCAAGAGGCAGAATGTGCTTTATCAGTCAAAATGTCCCCAGAACCCCTTCACTTGAGCCACTCCCCTTTGCTTCAAAGAGTTCCCAGCCTTAAGATTCTATGTGTCCTTTGGCTTTCCCTTACAAGCAGAAGTCATTGCTACATAATATTTTAACACATCTTTATTCTCACAGTGCTAGTCAACAACATTGTTCACAATCACAATCCTCTGAGTGGCACCCCAAAATTGAGAAAGGCAGAGAAATGAATAATTCAATAATGCTGAAAGTCATCAATGTAATCAAAATTCCCTGTAATAGAAGAAGAAGAAAAAAAAATGAAGAGTCATGATGTTGGCACAGTAACGGTTTTCCTGATTATAATGACATAGTGATGCCCAGATAATAAAAGCTTCCCCAAATATCTCAAGTGTATCTGATGCTTAGGAATCAAATCAGTGAAGGATTTTCAGAGTATGCATCTATTTAAGCATAGGATAGCATAGCATAGAATAGGATAGCATAGCATAGCATAGCCTAGGATAGCATAGCATAGTACAGCACAGCATAGGATAGCATAGCACTGCATTGCATAGCATAGCATAGCATAGCATAGCATAGCATAGCATAGCATAGCATAGCATAGCATAGCACAGCATAGGATAGCATAGCATAGCATAGCATAGGATACCATAGGATAGCATAGCATAGTATAGGATAGCATAGCATAGCATAGGATAGCATAGCATAGCATAGGATAGCATAGCATAGGATAGCATAGCATAGCATAACATAGGATAGCATAGGATAGCATAGCATAGCATAGCATAGCATAGGATAGCATAGGATAGCTAACATAGCATAGCATAGCTAGCATAGCATAGGATAGCATAGCATAGCATAGCATGGGATAGCATAGCATAGCATAGCATAGCATATTATCTTTTTAGAGAAAGGCATATAAAAATACATTTTTGATTTATATATGTAGGAAATAGTCCATTTTATAAATGCATAAAATGCAAAGAAATGCATATATAAAAGGTGGTCTAATGAAGGGGAAAGAAAGAAGGTGAAGAAACAGGAAAAAGAACTAAAAATAGAAAAGAAAAAGAGGGAAAAAAGAAAACTATTGGCTTAGTAAAAGAGAAAGCGAAAGAGACATAAGAAGCATACGCTAGTAGTTCACCGTTTTTTTGGTTTCTTTTTTGTCTTTTTTTTTTTTTTGAGACGGAGTTTCACTCTTATCAGCCAGGCTGGAGTACAATGGCAGGATCTCGGCTCACTGCAACCTCCAACTCCCAGGTTCAAGCGATTCTCCTGCCTCAGCCTCCCGAGTAGCTGGGATTACAGGTGCCCACCACCAAACCCGGCTAGTTTTTGTGTTTTTAGTAGAGACGGGGTTTCGCCATGTTGGCAGCGCTGAACTCCTGACTTCAGGTGATCTGCCCACCTTGGCCTCCCAAAGTGCTGGGATTACAGGCATGAGCCACCATGGCCCGGCCCCACCTGTGTTTTTTTCAATCACAGCAAAAGACCTTCAAAATATTTTGTATTTTGGCAACTATGAGCACAAATAGAGATACACATCTTGTCAGTAGCCCAGAGGCTGCAGACCTGCACTTACCAGTTAAAGTTTGCAGTCTTCTGAGAGCTTTACTTTATACTTAGGTTGCAAAGGTTAATATGGTTAACATCCTCTCCTGAAGCCTTATTTGTCTACTATATTTTAACTATAGATTGAAGAGCTATTTTAGAGCCACATGGTTTTTAATGGCCACTTAATATTTCATGGTGTAGTTTGTCATCATTCATTTATTCTTTTGTGACAGGAACTGATTGATTTCCTCTTTTTTTCTGTGTTTTTTTGTTTGTTTGTTTTACCCCTCTGAACAATGCTGCAATAGCATTGTTGTACATATACCATTATATACAGGTGGTTTAATTACTGTAGAGATAGACATCTGGGTTAAAAGGTCTGTTTATCATTCAGGTAGGTAAATGTTGTATCCTTGCTTCCCAAAATGGCAGTGACATTGCACACTTCTAGTCCTGATATACAAGAACATTGTTTTCACCAGTGATAAATACCAGCCATAAATTATAACTCATTAATTTTTGCCAGTCTAGTGATGTAAATATTAGTTCATTGTTAAATTAATTGACATTTCCCTGACTATTAGTGAATTGGAGCATTATTGTATGTTTGGCCATTGTAGTTTCCTTTTTGTAAATTCTTTCCTCATATTCTTTATCTTTTAAAAAGAAAATTTTTTCTTGACTTCTTGTCAGTTATATGCACTCTGTATATAAACACATGAAAATGTTGCTGTTATCTGCTTTAAAACTATATTTTCCATTTTTAACTATATCAAAGTTTATATATAAAGAAGTGTATTTTGGCTGGTTGCGCCAGCTCATGCCTGTAATCCTAGCACTTTGGGAGGCCGAGGCTGGTGGATTGCCTGAGCTCAGGAGTTTGAGACCAGCCTGGGCAACATGCTGAAACCCCATCTTTACTAAAATACAAAAAATTAGCTGGGCATGGCAGCATGAGCCTGTAATCTCAGCTACTCGGGAGGCTGAGACAGGAGAATCACTTGAACCTGGGAGATGGAGGTTGCAGTAAGCCGAGATGACATCACTGCACACCAGCCTGGGCAACAGAGTGAGACTTCATCTCAAAAAAAAAAAAGAAGAAATGTCTTTTATCTCTTTTTCTTTCCACGTCAAGATATATCACATTTTTATCACCCCAGTAGGTTCTCTTGTGTCCCTTCCCAATCAATCCTCCCACCCTATTGAGAGTCAACCACCCTTCTGATTTCTAGCATCATGTGTTAAATTTGCCTGTTTATTTTTTATCTGAAATTGTTTGCCTCGGTATAATAAATTGAAATTCATTCATGCTCCTCTGTGTCAGTAGGTTGTTCTTTTATATTGCTGAGAAGTATTCTATTATTTGAATAATTAGCCATTTTGTTGTTGATAGAAATTTGAGTTCCTTATCAGTTTAACTATAATGAATAGGACTGCTATAAACATTTTTGTCTATATCATGAGACATAAAGTAGGTGTATGATTAACTTTTTAAAAAACCACCCAATAGTTTTCCAAGGTGGTTGAACCATTTTCCGTTTCCCATTTCCATCAAAAGGGTATGAGAGTTCCAGTTGCTTCACATTCCTTCCAACACCCGGTATTGGTGGTCCTTTTAATTAAAATGATTCTGGTGTGTGTGGAGTAGTGTCTTATTGTGATTTTAATTTGCATTTATCTGATGATTAATAATGTTGAGCACGTTCTCATATGCTCACTAGCCATTTATCTATCTTTCTTTGTGAACTGCTTGCTCAAGTCTTAATCTTTTTTTGGCCTTTTTATTATTGATTTTCAGGAGTGCTTAATATATTCTGGATGTGGGTCTTTTGTGAGAGAGAGATATATATAGAGAGAGGAAATTTTCTCCCTTTCTGTGCTTTGGTAGTCCATTTTATTTTATTTTTCCCCTATATTTAGTCCCTTTTATGTTTTATCTAAGAAAGCTTTGTCTACTACCATGGTCGTGAAGATATTCTCCTAAGTTCCCTGCAGCCCACCCACTCAAGCTTTATAGTTTAGGATTTCACATTTAGGTGTATCACTGATTGATGTTTGAATGTGAAATCAATTGTGTACTTCTGATATCCACTGACTTGGCCACGGTATATTATCATATATTATGCTGAATTTGATTTTGTTAATATTTTATTTCAGATTTCTTCACAAAGTTTACAAGATAGAGTTACCCGTAATTTTTAAATATTTTATAATGTCCTTATGTTTTCATGTCAAACTTGTGACAGCCTCACATGAATACTCGTGAGTTGGGAAGTGAACTGAAAGTATTCAGTTTGGTGTTGTTTCTTTTCTAAATGTTTGGAAGAAATTAGTCTGCTCCTGCAAGGCTTTGCTTTTTCTTTTTTGAGAGAAAGTTTTAAATTATGTATTTGATTTTTTATTAGATATAAGCCCAATCAGATATATACATTTTTTCCTGTGTTAGTCATGGCGGGTGGTTTTGCATAGTTTTGGTAGGTAGGTTTTATAAGGAAACAATCATCTAATGCATCAAATAATTTTTATGTTAATAATTTCCTCATATGTTCTTGGCTATTGTATTGATAGTGATACACCTTCATTTCTGATAATGATAGTTTGTGTTTTCTCTTTTTTCTTTTTAAATATCTAGGGGTTTACCAATTTTATTAGTTTTTCAAACATCCATATTTTAGCTTTATTTTATCTTATCCATGGTTTGTGTTGTATTTCATTAGTTTTTATCTCTATTCTTTGTTATGTCTATTATAGAATACTATATCTCAATTCTTTCATTTTCTTTAAATTTAATTTTTTAATCTAATTTCTTGGTATGAATATTTAGATAATTTACTTTTTAGTCTATTTTCCTTCCCAATACTTGCCTTTGAGGTCGTAAAGTTTCCTCTAAGCACACTTTAGTTGTAATCAATTTATATAAATATTTCTATTATTTTGTTTTTAATTTTTTTATGTCTGTTGTAAATTCTTTGAGCCTTGTATAACTTAGAATTTCAAAACAGTTTTGGGGATTTTTTTTTTGCCTTTTTAAAATTGACATTTAATTCAATTCCATTGTTTTCAGACAATATACTGTATATGATTTCAATTCTTTGAATTTTGTTGAGGCTTGTAGGCTCAGCACATGGCTAATTCTTGAAAATGTTCTAAGTGAAATCTGTCAATTTTTTCAGTTGTTTTTATTTCACTTTCATTGTGTTTTTGTTGTTGTTGTTGTTTTTGAGACGGAGTCTTGCTCTGCTGCCCAGGCTGGAGTGCAGTGGTGCAGTCCCGGCTCACTTCAACTTCCGCCTCCCAGGTTCAAGTGATTCTCCTGCCTCAGCTTCCCGAGTAGCTGGGATTAAAGCTGCCCACCACCATGCCCTGCTAATTTTTGTATTTTTAGTAGAGATGGTGTTTCACCATGTTGGCCAGCCTGGTCTCAAACTCCTGACCTCAAGTGATCTGCCCACCTTGGCCTCCCAAAGTCCTGGGATTACAGGCCTGAGCCACTGCGCCTGGCTATTTCACTTTCATTTTTGAAGAACATTTTCACCAGGCCTAGAATTCTGGGTTGGCATTATTTTGTTTGAGCACTTTAAAGATGTAATTCTATTGTCTTATCACTTCCATCAGTTAGTTAGATAGGAGGAATAAGTTCAAGAGATCTGTTGTACAGCGGGGTGCCCATAGTTAATGACAGTATATTGTATTCTTTTTTTATTATTATTTTACTTTAAGTTCTGGGATACATGTGCAGGACGTGCAGGTTACACAGGTATACATGTGCAATGGTGGTTTGCTGCACTTATCAACCTGTCATCGAGGTTTTAAGCCCCACACGCATTAGGTATTTGTTCTAAAGCTCTCCCTCCCCTTGTCCCACTACCCCCCAACAGGCCTTGGTGTGTGATATTCCCTTCCCTGTGTCCATGTCTTCTCATTGTTCAACTCTCACTTATGAGTGAGAACATAAGGTGTTTGGTTTTCTGTTCCTGTCTTAGTTTGCTGAGAATGATGGCTATTGTATTCTTAAAAGTGCAAAGATAGTGAATGTTAAGTGTTCTCACTGCAAAAGTGATAACTATGGGAGGTAATGCCTTTGTTAATTAGCTAGATGTAAACATTCCACAATGCATATATGTACTTCAAAATATGTTATACATGATAAATACATATAATTTTATCTGTCAATTAAAAATGTCAGTTGACAGTATTATAATTGTAGTTATTTGGTGTAGTGTTCATTCTATATATGACATTTAGGTCAATTTTATCAATTGTATTCAAAATTCTGTAATTTTATGGTCTGTCTACATATTCTTTCAGTTGCTGAGAAATGTGTGCTAAAATTTCTTATGATGATTTTAGCTTTCTCTACTCATTCAGCTGAGTTAGCTTTTCCTTTTGGCTTTGAGTTGTTATTAGGAGCATTCAAACCTAGAAATGTAATATTTCTCTTGTGAATCGACCCTTTTATTATAGAAAGTCCCCTATTATACGTTTAGCAATGCTTCTTGCCTTAAATCTATTTGTTTGTTACTAGTGTAGCTGTTTCTTGTAAACAGAATGCAGTTGTGTTTTGTTTTTTAAACTCTTATTTACTGGGACCATCTTTTTTTAAAATTTTAAATTTTTTAATTTTCTATTTTTATGGGTACATAATAGTTTTACACAGAAAATCTTCTAGTTCACTTTCTTTTATTTTATATTCCCTGAGGTATTTTAAAGTTTATCATTTCTTTCTTTTTTTTTTTCAAGTCTTGACATTTTTATTATTGAGGAGTATTTCAGACTGACAGATAATAAGAGAAGGTAGGTTATGCTGACAAATAGTAAGGATATACCCATTTTTTTTGTCGAGTTTCTAAGTCAGCTTGGAAAACTATTGGCTTATCTCCTTTCTTTTTTTTTCTTTTTTTTTTTAATGGCCTTTTTCTTTTTCTTTTTTTTTATTATACTTTAAGTTTTAGGGTACATGTGCACATTGTGCAGGTTAGTTACATATGTATACATGTGCCATGCTGGTGCCCTGCACCCACTAACTCGTCATCTAGCATTAGGTATATCTCCCGATGCTATCCCTCCCCCCCTCCCTCCACCCCATAACAGTTCCCAGAGTGTGATATTCCCCTTCCTGTGTCCATGTGATCTCATTGTTCAATTCCCACCTATGAGTGAGAATATGCGGTGTTTGGTTTTTTGTTCTTGCGATAGATTACTGAGAATGATGATTTCCAATTTCATCCATGTCCCTACAAAGGACATGAACTCATCATTTTTTATGGCTGCATAGTATTCCATGGTGTATATATGCCACATTTTCTTAATCCAGCCTATCATTGTTGGACATTTGGGTTGGTTCCAAGTCTTTGCTATTGTGAATAATGCCGCAATAAACATACGTGTGCGTGTGTCTTTATAGCAGCATGATTTATAGTCCTTTGGGTATATACCCAGTAATGGGATGGCTGGGTCAAATGGTATTTCCAGTTCTAGATCCCTGAGGAATTGCCACACTGACTTCCACAATGGTTGAACTAGTTTACAGTCCCACCAACAGTGTAAAAGTGTTCCTATTTCTCCACATCCTCTCCAGCACCTGTTGTTTCCTGACTTTTTAATGATTGCCATTCTAACTGGTGTGAGATGGTATCTCATTGTGGTTTTGATTTGCATTTCTCTGATGGCCAGTGATGGTGAGCATTTTTTCATGTGTTTTTTGGCTGCATAAATGTCTTCTTTTAAGAAGTGTCTGTTCATGTCCTTCACCCACTTTTTGATGGGGTTGTTTGTTTTTTTCTTGTAAATTTGTTTGAGTTCATTGTAGATTCTAGATATTAGCCCTTTGTCAGATGAGTAGGTTGCAAAAATTTTCTCCCATTTTGTAGCTTGCCTGTTCACTCTGATGGTGATTTCTTTTGCTGTGCAGAAGCTCTTTAGTTTAATTAGATCCCATTTGTCAATTTTGTCTTTTGTTGCCATTGCTTTTGGTGTTTTAGACATGAAGTCCTTGCCCATGCCTATGTCCTGAATGGTATTGCCTAGGTTTTCTTCTAGGGTTTTTATGGTTTTAGGTCTAACGTTTAAGTCTTTAATCCATCTTGAATTGATTTTTGTATAAGGTGTAAGGAAGGGATCCAGTTTCAGCTTTCTACATATGGCTAGCCAGTTTTCCCAGCACCATTTATTAAATAGGGAATCCTTTCCCCATTGCTTGTTTTTCTCAGGTTTGTCAAAGATCAGATAGTTGTAGATATGCGGCGTTATTTCTGAGGGCTCTGTTCTGTTCCATTGATCTATATCTCTGTTTTGGTACCAGTACCATGCTGTTTTGGTGACTGTAGCCTTGTAGTATAGTTTGAAGTCAGGTAGTGTGATGCCTCCAGTTTTGTTCTTTTGGCTTCGGATTGACTTGGCGATGTGGGCTCTTTTTTGGTCCCATATGAACTTTAAAATAGTTTTTTCCAATTCTGTGAAGAAAGTCATTGGTAGCTTGATGGGGATGGCATTGAATCTGTAAATTACCTTGGGCAGTATGGCCATTTTCACGATATTGATTCTTCCTACCCATGAGCATGGAATGTTCTTCCATTTGTTTGTATCCTCTTTTATTTCCTTGAGCAGTGGTTTGTAGTTCTCCTTGAAGAGGTCCTTCACATCCCTTGTAAGTTGGATTCCTAGGTATTTTATTCTCTTTGAAGCAATTGTGAATGGGAGTTCACTCATGATTTGGCTCTCTGTTTGTCTGTTGTTGGTGTATAAGAATGCTTGTGATTTTTGTACATTGATTTTGTATCCTGAGACTTTGCTGAAGTTGCTGATCAGCTTAAGGAGATTTTGGGCTGAGACAATGGGGTTTTCTAGATATACAATCATGTCATCTGCAAACAGGGACAATTTGACTTCCTCTTTTCCTAATTGAATACCCTTTATGTCCTTCTCCTGCCTAATTGCCCTGGCCAGAACTTCCAACACTATGTTGAATAGGAGTGGTGAGAGAGGGCATCCCTGTCTTGTGCCAGTTTTCAAAGGGAATGCTTCCAGTTTTTGCCCATTCAGTATGATATTGGCTGTGGGTTTGTCATAGATAGCTCTTATTATTTTGAAATACGTCCTATCAATACCTAATTTATTGAGAGTTTTTAGCATGAAGGGTTGTTGAATTTTGTCAAAGGCTTTTTCTGCATCTATTGAGATAATCATGTGGTTTTTGTCTTTGGCTCTGTTTATATGCTGGATTACATTTATTGATTTGTATATATTGAACCAGCCTTGCATCCCAGGGATGAAGCCCACTTGATCATGGTGGATAAGCTTTTTGATGTGCTGCTGGATTCAGTTTGCCAGTATTTTATTGAGGATTTTTGCATCAATGTTCATCAAGGATATTGGTCTAAAATTCTCTTTTTTGGTTGTGTCTCTGCCCGGCTTTGGTATCAGAATGATGCTGGCCTCATAAAATGAGTTAGGGAGGATTCCCTCTTTTTCTATTGATTGGAATAGTTTCAGAAGGAATGGTACCAGTTCCTCCTTGTACCTCTGGTATAATTCGGCTGTGAATCCATCTGGTCCTGGACTCTTTTTGGTTGGTAAGCTATTGATTATTGCCACAATTTCAGCTCCTGTTATTGGTCTATTCAGAGATTCAACTTCTTCCTGGTTTAGTCTTGGGACAGTGTATGTGTCGAGGAATTTATCCATTTCTTCTAGATTTTCTAGTTTATTTGCGTAGAGGTGTTTGTAGTATTCTCTGATGGTCGTTTGTATTTCTGTGGGATCGGTGGTGACATCCCCTTTATCATTTTTTATTGCGTCTATTTGATTCTTCTCTCTTTTTTTCTTTATTAGTCTTGCTAGCAGTCTATCAATTTTGTTGATCCTTTCAAAAAACCAGCTCCTGGATTCATTAATTTTTTGAAGAGTTTTTTGTGTCTCTATTTCCTTCAGTTCTGCTCTGATTTTAGTTATTTCTTGGCTTCTGCTAGCTTTTGAATGTGTTTGCTCTTGCTTGTCTAGTTCTTTTAATTGTGATGTTAGGGTGTCAATTTTGGATCTTTCCTGCTTTCTCTTGTGGGCATTTAGTGCTTTAAATTTCCCTCTACATCCTGCTTTGAATGCATCCCAGAGATTCTGATATGTTGTGTCTTTGTTCTCATTGGTTTCAAAGAACATCTTTATTTCTGCCTTCATTTCATTATGTACCCAGTAGTCATTCAGGAGCAGGTTGTTCTGTTTCCATGTAGTTGAGCAGTTTTGAGTGAGATTCTTAATCCTGAGTTCTAGTTTGATTGCACTGTGGTCTGAGAGATAGTTTGTTATAATTTCTGTTCTTTTACATTTGCTGAGGAGAGCTTTACTTCCCAATATGTGGTCAATTTTGGAATAGGTGTGGTGTGGTGCTGAAAAAAATGTATATTCTGTTGATTTGGCGTGGAGAGTTCTGTAGATGTCTATTAGGTCTGCTTGGTGCAGAGCTGAGTTCAATTCCTGGGTATCCTTGTTGACTTTCTGTCTCGTTGATCTGTCTAATGTTGACAGTGGGGTGTTAAAGTCTCCCATTATTAATGTGTGGGAGTCTAAGTCTCTTTGTAGGTCACTCAGGACTTGCTTTATGAATCTTGGTGCTCCTGTATTGGGTGCATATATATTCAGGATAGTTAGCTCTTCTTGTTGAATTGATCCCTTTACCATTATGTAATGGCCTTCTTTGTCTCTTTTGATCTTTGTTGATTTAAAGTCTGTTTTATCAGAGACTAGGATTGCAACCCCTGCCTTTTTTTGTTTTCCATTTGCTTGGTAGAACTTCCTCCATCCTTTTATTTTGAGCCTATGTGTGTCTCTGCACATGAGATGCATTTCCTGAATACAGCACACTGATGGGTCTTGACTCTTTATCCAATTTGCCAGTCTGTGTCTATTAATTGGAGCATTTAGTCCATTTACATTTAAAGTTAATATTGTTATGTGTGAATTTGATCCTGTCATTATGATGTTAGCTGGTTATTTTGCTCGTTAGTTGATGCAGTTTCTTCCTAGTCTCGATGGTCTTTACATTTTGGCATGATTTTGCAGCGGCTGGTACCAGTTGTTCCTTTCCATGTTTAGTGCTTCCTTCAGGAGCTCTTGTAAGGCAGGCCTGGTGGTGACAAAATCTCTCAGCATTTGCTTGTCTGTAAAGTATTTTATTTCTCCTTCACTTATGAAGCTTAGTTTGGCTGGATATGAAATTCTGGGTTGAAAATTCTTTTCTTTCAGAATGTTGAATATTGGCCCCCACTCTCTTCTGGCTTGTAGGGTTTCTGCCGAGAGATCCACTGTTAGTCTGATGAGCTTCCCTTTGAGGGTTACCCAACCTTTCTCTCTGGCTGCCCTTAACATTTTTTCCTTCATTTCCACTTTGGTGAATCTCACAATTATGTGTCTTGGAGTTGCTTTTCTCGAGGAGTATCTTTGTGGCGTTCTCTGTATTTCCTGAATCTGAACGTTGGCCTGCCTTGCTAGATTGGGGAAGTTCTCCTGGATAATATCCTGCAGAGTGTTTTCCAACTTGGTTCCATTCTCCCCATCACTTTTAGGTACACCAATCAGATGTAGAGTTGGTCTTTTCACATAGTCCCATATTTCTTGGAGGCTTTGCTCATTTCTTTTTATTCTTTTTTCTCTAAACTTCCCTTCTCGCTTCATTTCATTCATTTCATCTTCCATCGCTGATACCCTTTCTTCCAGTTGATCGCATCGACTCCTGAGGCTTCTGCGTTCTTCACGTAGTTCTCGAGCCTTGGTTTTCAGCTCCATCAGCTCCTTTAAGCACTTCTCTGTATTGGTTATTCTAGTTATACATTCTTCTAAATTTTTTTCAAAGTTTTCAACCTCTTTGCCTTTGGTTTGAATGTCCTCCCATAGCTCAGAGTAATTTGATCGTCTGAAGCCTCCTCTCAACTCGTCAAAGTCATTCTCCATCCAGCTTTGTTCCGTTGCTGGTGAGGAACTGCATTCCTTTGGAGGAGGAGTGGCACTCTGCTTTTTAGAGTTTCCAGTTTTTCTGTTCTGTTTTTTCCCCATCTTTGTGGTTTTATCTACTTTTGGTCTTTGATGATGGTGATGTACAGATGGGTTTTTGGTGTGGATGTCCTTTCTGTTTGTTAGTTTTCCTTCTAACAGAGAGGACCCTCAGCTGCAGGTCTGTTGGAGTACTCTGCCGTGTGAGGTGTCAGTGTGCCCCTGCTGGGGGGTGCCTCCCAGTTAGGCTGCTCGGGGGTCAGGGGTCAGGGACCCACTTGAGGAGGCAGTCTGCCCGTTCTCAGATCTCCAGCTGGGAGAACCACTGCTCTCTTCAAAGCTGTCAGACAGGGACATTTAAGTCTGCAGAGGTTACTGCTGTCTTTTTGTTTGTCTGTGCCCTGCCCCCAGAGGTGGAGCCTACAGAGGCAGGCAGGCCTCCTTGAGCTGTCGTGGGATCCACCCAGTTGGAGCTTCCCAGCTGCTTTGTATACCTAAGCAAGCCTGGGCAATGGCGGGCGCCCCTCCCCCAGCCTTGCTGCCGCCTTGCAGTTTGATCTCAGACTGCTGTGCTAGCAATCAGCGAGACTCCGTGGGCATAGGACCCTCCGAGCCAGGTGCGGGATATAATCTCGTGGTGCGCCGTTTTTTAAGCCCGTCGGAAAAGCGCAGTATTCGGGTGGGAGTGACCCGATTTTCTAGGTGCCGTCCGTCACCCCTTTCTTTGACTCAGAAAGGGAACTCCCTGACCCCTTGCGCTTCCCAAGTGAGGCAATGCCTCGCCCTGCTTCGGCTCGCGCAGGGTGCACGCACCCACTGACCTGCGCCCACTGTCTGGCACTCCCTAGTGAGATGAACCGGGTACCTCAGATGGAAATGCAGAAATCACCCGTCTTCTGCGTCTCTCACGCTGGGAGCTGTAGACCGGAGCTGTTCCTATTTGGCCATCTTGGCTCCTCCCCCCTCATTTATTTCTTAAAACATGATAAATATTGTGGTTTTAAAATCTCTTCTAATATACTTAGTATCAGAAATTTACAGGTGATTTTTTTTTTGCTATGTTCTGTTTCTATTAGTTGTTATTCGCATTGTCTTATTTCTTTTTAGGCCTCTTTTGAGTGCTTACTGTTAATTTTCAATGGAAAATTTGATGGGAATTTATTAAGATTAATGAATGTTTTTCTCCTAGATAGACTTCGGTTTTGCTTCTGCCAGGTACCAGGGGCACCACATACCAAGACCAAATTCAGGTAAAACATTCTTGCCTTATCCAGTTTATGCCTAGCAAAGGTCAGTGGGGATTGGGGCGTGCAAGGAGGTTGTCAAGGGGTTTGTTTGGCTTGTGGCCACACTTCTCAAATACTTTTCCTTTTTAAACTTTGTTCAGCGACTTTGCTATTTTGGGGCAGGGTACGTTGTATATCTTTTTGCCCTTACCTGAAGAGCGTAGTAGCCTATCAAAGACCTAGTTTAATACGGAGAAAATCTCTCTTAAGTCTTTATACTTTGAGTGGATGTGAAACCTTGACTTCTTTCTCTTTCAGTCCACATGGGCCAGGGATTGGATTCCAAATAAGCATCACTGGCAAATGGGTCTGAAGGCATAAGTAGCTTTCATGCTCTTCAGAGTTCCACTTGTAAATTTCAGGTTGCAGGCTTTCATCTAAAAATTGATCTAGTAGTTCCAGCTGACCTTTCAGCTTTTTAATGTCTTTAAGGTTGTTTTGTTTTTTAATAAAAAGACTTCTGTTTTCAGAGAAGAGTTAATCCACATAGCCATACTTAACCATTACCAAAATCAGTCTCCCTATTTTCTGCTCTTTAGTCCTGCTTTCTGTGGACCTGGTGCATTCAAATATTAAGTATTTCTTAGGCTCTGCTGTAAGAAATATCTTCTAATATGACTTCCCCCTGCTTTGCCTTAGATGGTGGGTTTTCAATTTCCTCAGCAATTTTTGTGTGTGTTTGGTAACTCTCTTTTTCTCTCCATGTGGATCAAACCTTTTACATTCTTTTACACTAATCTTAGTGGTATTTTGAAGGCAGCTAAAATAAATGCCCCTTTTCAATCTTATCATGCTTTATCGGAAGTTCAGCCTGTTAAAACCAAATCAAGAACTGTAAAAACACACCACTGTGATTCTAATGTACATATAGGGCTATAAACTACAGCCATACTGCTGTACCTTTTTTTTTTAGATTTATATTTGTATCATACTGATTTGTGTATGTTTTATCTCTTGTGCTCCTGTGAATTCCTAAAGGTGGGAGTTATAATGTGTTTATTTTTCTCTTCCACAATGCCTGGTGTAATGTCTATCAAATATTATGGATTTCATAAATGTTTGTCAGTAAAAGAAAATACATGTGTCCACAACATGATCTGAATGGTGCTGATTGAGTGCTAATAAATATTTTCTATTAAGCCCTTTACTCATCACTCTATAAATGCAACATACTTACCAAGAACAGGACAGTAACAGCCTTACACTGACTATTTTGGTGAGAATAACCACAAATGTAGTTTTGATCTAGGATGAAACCAAATGTGAGGAGAATGATTCCAGCTATTGCTCCCAGGGCACTAAGAAAATTCATTATTCGGCTCAATATTATCTGAAATAGAATAAGAACATAACAATGTGACTGAGGTCCAGCCTGTACTACAAACAAAGCAATGAGTGCGGAGAATGGAGAGCAGGATTTTAGTCACAGCATCTTAATGCCACGAGGCAGCTCTGTGATCCTGTGCGAATTGCTTCACATCTTTGGGCTTCAGGCCTTCATCTACACAATAAGGGGATCTTGTGAACTTTTAGTAACCTTTCCATTCCCCATATTCTATGCCTAAGTTAACTCTTATTCAGTTGGGAGGAAGGGTGTGCCTGTAACAATTGCATTTTGATTTTCTGGTGAAAGTCATGGTCTGTTTACATTTTTATTTTAAGACTCCTAAGTTTAACTGAATGCTGCACTTCTCTGCCATTTTTAATTTCTCCCTAAAATGACAAACTAAGGATTTTCAGTCCTTTGCTAAAATCTTTTGTTGGCATAGTAATATCTTATGTCTTCAATTCTTTGAGTAAAGTAAAAATATTCTACTTATAATTTATCTATAACTTTACATTCAGTAGCACTGTATTCTTTATTTTGAGATTCTGTTTATGGTTTAATTAGATTGTCTACAGTTTGCCTTTCGTATGAGTCAAAGTAGTGCCTGTCAAAGTGCCTGGTATGCCGTAAATACCCAGAAAACAAAAAAGAATGAATAAGTAACTGGAATGTTGAAATAATTCTACCATTAATTGGCTGGGAATTTGGACAAGCTATTTAACGATTGTAAGCCTCAGTGTCTTCATACATAAAATAAGAGCTAAACTAGATGACCTAGAGAAACTTTCTCCTCTAGCATAATGGGTTATAATTCTAGGAAAACAGGAAGCAAATGCTGTTTATTGGTATTAATACTTGATAGTTTGTGGAATTATGGTGACCTAATGATTTTACAAATTTTTTTCAAGGCCAGGATAAATTATTTGAAAGTTATATATTTTTAATAAAGTGGAAATAGTGAAAATGTAACTCATTACTTTTTTTTGTTTTTTTTTTTTGAGATGGAGTCTTTTCCGTTGCCCAGGCACGATCTCGGCTCCTTGCAACCTCCACCTCCCAGGTACAAGCAATTCTCCTGCCTCAGCCTCCTGAGTAGCTGGGACTACAGGTGTGTGCCACCACACCTGGCTAATTTTGTATTTTTAGTAGAGATGGGGTTTCACCATGTTGGCCAGGCTGGTCTTGAACTCCTGACCTCATGATCCACCCGTCTTGGCCTCCCAAAGTGCTGGGATTACAGGTATGAGCCACCATGACTGGCTACAAAATATATTTTTAATAAAGTAAGAATATAACTCACCAGAGTTTCTGTGGTTTTTCTTTTCACTGCAATTAGGAAGGCTCCAGAATTAATGAACTGTTAAGAGGAATAAATATGTTAATGATGACCATGTTTAGCTGATGTTGAGTTCTTACAGAATAGACCTCTATGCATTTCTTTTACAGGCCCGCCTTCTAAGTTCACACACTCCTCAGGGCAGTGAGAAGGGTGAGTTGCTTTATATGACTTTCCACAAATGGAATAGTGGACAAAACACTGGTCTGGAAATCTCCTTTAGCCCTAACTATTTATTTGAACATGAACATTTTTTTTAACCGTACAGGGCTTTGGTTTACTCATCCATGTTCTTTTTATAGCTATTGTGGACTCAGCTTTGATCTCATGACAAAGGGATTTCAAGTCAGTTTATAATCATTAAGATTGGATTCCATCTTACTGCAATCCAGTGTGTTCTCTTGGATGGGAACATAAGGTGGGGTTGCAGTGAATGTGCTGGTAGTTCTTAAAATCTCCAAGATTTTTCTTGGAAGTGGGTCACACGTGGTAGCATTGTTGTCTAGTGGAAATTTCAAATCTGATTACAGCACTTCCATGTTTAAATTTCCAGCCCCTTCATGGGTATTTTCCAGCCTCATCTCTCCATCCTCACTCCCTGTGCTGAACTCTTATAGTTCACATAATAGAAAATGCTCTCCCATACCTTCAGCCTGTGCTCATATTTCTCCCTTGGCATGCAACAAGACATCCCTAATCCTTACACTTGGGTATCCCAACTCCCATCTTCTGTGTGTGTGTCCTCACCTGATTAACCATTCACCCTTTAAAACTTGGTCAAGCTGGAAATGTCTCTGGGCGTTGTCCCCTCTGTTTTGTTGATGCCTTTCCTATGGAGGCAGCCCCTGTGTTTATTCTCCCTCATCACACCCTGTGTTAATTGTCTGACTCCTCACTCAACTGAGACCTTGAGCTCAGGCACTGCTTTCTTTTCCCTGAAGCCATTGCTCTGCCCATTCTCTGGCACTAAATTAGGTCCTAAGTTAATGTTTATTGATTGTGACTACACTGGGTTTAATAAATACCTCTCCGCAGCTCAAAAGGTATATCTGAGAAACCCTTCCCACTTCACTTCTGTAAAGAATAAATTGCTCCTTCATCTCTGCTTACATAAGCATTTCCTGCACCTCTGTGATAACATTTATCACACTGACTTGAAGTGACCTGTTTACATGTTTTCTTGCTAGACTGAGAGGTCTTTGGGGGAGAGGCCCATTGCCTTTCTCTGTGTATCTGGCTTATAATAAATAGTAACTAATTTCAAATGAATGAATAGCCAAATAAACAACTGCAAGCCTCAAAAGAAGTATTCCCAAAGGAACTTCAAGACCTAATGATGGAATATCAGTGACTGTGATGAACTAATGGGGAAATAATTTCAACAAGGTTAGTTTTTTGCACTTTTGAAAGCATGTCATACAACTGGATCTAGCTTATTTCATTGTGAAGAATTCCCTAACATCCTGGTTGGCATGGCTTCAAATTGAACTTGATTGACTATACTCACCAAAACAGAGCCCCAGAATGGATATCCTGAAAGAAATATAAAGGGAAACCTTGGATATGGTTTTAACAAGGTGAAAAGGAAGATAACTCCAAAAGAAAAGGTCATAATTCCAAACAGGATCTGGATAGTCTGCAAATAGAGGAAAAAGTCATGGTGAGGAAAAGCAAAGTGATAGTTTCCCTTCTGTTTAGAATATCTTCTTTTGGTCAAAAGGATTTGGCAATTACTCTCTTTGGTAATTAGGGGAAGAATAATAGAAGTCCCTTTATGATGCTCCTGGGTACTTTCTTAATTCCTCTATCTGGTATTTGGTGATAGGTAAAATGATCTAAATCAGTGCTCCTGAAAATGTGGTCCATGGATTGGCAACATCAGGATCACTTGGGAGCTAGAAATGCGAACTATCAGGCCCTATCCCATACTTACTGAACGGTCTCCAGGTGAGGCTGGGAAACCTGTGTCTTCATAAGTTCTTCAGTTCTTTAGCCCATAAATGTGAATGTCTGAGAAACACTGAATTCTAAATGAGTATACCAGGCTGGCCTCAAGCAGAATTGGACTGTGAGGAGCCCTGCCTGGAGATGGCCAATTCTCTGAGCCTCTTGAGGTATTGTCACACTCTCAGGCCCAGAGGACTCTCCATCTCTTCGGGTTTTTTTTTTTTTTCTCTCCCTCTCTGAGCCACTCATGTGATGCACTGTGACACCAAGCAGTGGTTTGACAAGTGCTGGGAAAGACTAATGAGGACAATATACAAAAATGGAAGGTATACAATATACAAAAACGTGTGAGTCTATGTGCTCTGCTCTCTTCTTCTCAGTCCACCTTCTCAGTCTGAGTAATCTCATTTACTGCCATAGCAACTATCACTTTTTAAGTAGGTGAGTCCTAAATGATAGCATTTTTTGTCAAGTCCAGACCCACATGATTCGTTCTTCTCAAACATCCTCTCTCAAATGGCCCACCAACACTCTATATTCACATTGTCTTAAAGAAGAATTGGAATAGGCTCCTACCTTCAAACATGTGCCAACAGATAATTTCCCTAGCCTTTCCCCTGCCTCAGTAAAATATACATAGGGGCAAGTCTTACTTACCCCTAAGATTTTCATTTTTCTAGCAAATAATTTTTGCAAGGGGCTTTGAGTTGAAAAGGTCGTGGCTGAAAGTTCTGTGGACTCATATTCTGAAGCAGTGATTTCTGGAGGAAATACCAGAAACACCGGACTGTGTGCGGTGCTTGAATCCATGATGGTGTCGGTGATAATTTGAAAGGAGATGATTTAGTTGGTACTTCAGTCTAGACCATGTTCTTTTCTTGTGCTGAGGCTGCCTGGAGCACTGGAATTGTTTGCTTTGTCTTGGAATTATAGAACCATAGAGTCACAGAGTCATAGAATCTCAGGACTGCTCAAGATCCCAAGATGGCTATAAGTAAAATGCCTGGGACTGGGGATCAGAGAACCTGACAAGTAGTCCTGGTTTAGTTAGGAGTTTACTGTGACTTTTGGCAAGTCACATCCCCCTCTCCTGGTTTCTGATTCCTCATATATACATTGACCAAATTGGACTAGATGATCTACATATAAAGACATTTTAGGGACCGCGCATGGTGGCTCGCGCCTGTAATCCCAGCACTTTGGGAGGCTGAGGCGGGCGGATCACCTGAGGTCAGGAGTTAGAGACCAGCCTGGCCAACATGGTGAAACCCCATCTCTACTAAAAATATAAAAAATTAGCCGGGTGTGGTGGCACGTGCCTGTAGTCCCAGCTACTCGGGAGGCTGAGGCATGAGAATCACTTGAACCCAGGAGCCGGAGGTTTCCTTGAGCTGAAATTGCACCACTGCACTCCAGCCTGGGCAACAGAGCAAGACTCTGTCTCAAAAAAAAGGACATTTTAGTTACCAAATGGCAACTAGATACACATTTATTCCAGTTCCATATCTTCAGACACAGGTAGAACGCAAAATCTCTCAGGCCACGGAACAAATTAACCACTTCTTGAAGTATAGATAACATCCATTTTTCCTGTCACTTTGTGGTTTTGCCACCTGATTTAAGTAGCTTTAGCTGTGTAACAAATCCCTCAAAATGTAGTTAGTTCCAGCAACCACCATCGGCTTTTGTTTACACATCTGTGGGTCCTGTGTGTGGTCTGTCTCATCTAAGGCTGCTCAGCACTTCTCTACCAGGCTGTCTCATGCAACTGTGGTCACCTGGTGGAGTGTCCAATTACATGAATTAGGATGGCCTCAGTCATGTCTCTGGCAGTTGGCAGACTCTTGGTTCTCTTCCAATTCACAAATACTTTTCAAACCTCTGCTGAGTCATGTGTGTTAATGTCATATTGGCCAATCAAATTTCATAGACAACCCAGATTCGAGGGGTAAGAAAATAGGCCCCCTAATGTCTTCATGGGAGGATCTGTACTTTCATCTTGAAAGGACAAGAAAGAAAGGGAAGGGAACAATTTGTGTCTGTTTTTAACTGTACCTTGTCATTTTCTGGTGTTTCCTATTGAGATCAGGTCTTCCTTAATTGAACCTCATGATGTGACAGCCTCTAGCCACTTACCAGTTGCCAGTTAGAATATTTTAAAAGGCCACCCCTCCCTCACAATTTCTTTTCTCTGAACGTATCCATCTCTTGTTCAGTTTTCTATGGACGTTGAATCATAATGGTGATTATCCTTCATGAACATCATCTGATGTTGTGTTAGCATTCCCTAAGTTAAGCACACTATGTTGCAACATACTTTTATAAAACACCATTTCACCCTAATTACTCAGGTTTTAACTTTGCTCTATACCTTCCCCAGTTTTTGTTTTTTCTCCCTCTAAGCATGATGACTAGCACAGTGTTATAATAGCTATCTGACAAATGGCAGAAATATAACTTTAATTTTTTATTGTTCTTTGTTTTTTATTATTCTTTAATTCATGCAATCTGGTGATGCAGTGGAAGACTTACTCTTTGGAGAAGAGAAACCTAGAATGAACCCCAAGCCCTTTTATTTACTATTTATGGGGTCTAGGCTAAGTTATCTATTAATTTACATATTTATTAAAATATTACATTTCCTTTATGAGAATAAAAATTGTTATACAGTTATTGTGAGTAAATTTTAAAGTACCTGGAGTGTAGTAGATGCTAAGTAAATTGTAGTAGTAATAAAAATAAGAGTAATAAGTATTATTTCTCTTATTATTGCCATTTTTAGCATGGTGAGCAGATACTTTGTCTTGCTTTATGTTTGCACTCTTTCCAAAGTTCATTTTTTGTTGATTCTTTATAGGTTAAATGTGTTTCTATGAGCTTAGCTATAATACTGGAAATGTCACACTGAATCAGTGCAGACATTATTTTATTTTATTTTTTGAGATGGAGTCTTGCTCTGTTGCCCAGGCTGGAGTGCAGTGGTGCGATCTCGGCTCACTGAAAGTTCTGCCTCCTGGGTTTGCGCCATTCCCCTGCCTCAGCCTCCTGAGTAGCTGGGATTACAGGTGCCCGCCACCATGCCTGGCTAATTTTTTTGTATTTTTAGTAGAGACAGGGTTTCACCGTGTTAGCCAGATTGGTCTCGATCTCCTGACCTTGTGATCTGCCTGCCTCAGCCTCCCAAAGTGCTGGGATTACAGGCATGAGCCACCGTGCCCGGCCCCAGTACAGACGTTATTTTACAATTTCTCCATTTCAGGGTGGCTGTGGAACTCCATGGCCTCCTGCTAATAAATGCCCTAGGCCCCTTTATACATTGATGACATGTATCTGTTCACTACTTCAAAAATTTTCCATATCCTCATATTTCTTCTTATTTTCCAATCTGCCAAAACCTACTCTTTTAATGCAAATTACTCTAGTCTTAATGTGGTTTATGGAATAATATATAATATGTTTGTATTCATTAATGTTCTGAAATTCAGCCTTAATTTCAAGCTTCTTATTGCTAAGTATTCCAGAGAAGTTATGATGATCTGAGGAATCCAAGTTCTCTGAACCATAGTCAATGGGATTAGGCCTTTCCTCACAGCCTCTCGTCTGATTCCCTTGCTGGAAAGTTCCAAGAAAAACACTGTATTCTTTCTATCGTTCTTCTCTTACTGCAGCTGAAAGTCAATTTTCTTTGTTTTTAAGTTTCTCTTATTTTTCTCTGTTGTTAAAGCCCTCCTTTAAAAAGATCCATATCCATACTTTGGAGAGAACAACTCTGGGAGCAGAATTAGAGCAGTCAACTGTTGTGGCCAGATGTCACCCGCTTAGGAGTCCCTAAATCCTCTAGTTTTCTTTTGTTTTTAAAGTTTATAAATAATAATAGTGTCTTTAAATCTTATTCCATGAATAATGGTAAAACCCAGTGTCACTCTTAATGTCTCCAGACATTTCTTGGAAGGAGCAAGCGAATACGAGGGAAGGGGAACCACTGGGGCTTCTATCGTGTGGAGTGGTCTCAAGCTCTGATTTTCTGCATCTATTGAATTCTTAGTTTTCTCTGCATGTCTGGGCTTCTGTAAGTGATGACTGTTTTTCTCACTGCACTGTCCTGCTGGTTTTCATTCTGATTCTTCACTCCTCTAAGGTAGTAGTAGCACAGTCTTGCATATATAGCATACTTTAAAAATAAGATTAGAAGACCATTCTACAGAACCTACAAAGGCAGCAACAGGGATTTCCTACTGTATCTTCCGACATAAACACTCTAATTACTAATTTCGGACTTACACATAGGTATTAGATATTCCCTTTGTGACTACCTAGGAATTTTATGTTTAAAGAACAAAAAGTTTCTTTGTTTCATTGTGGTCAGATGGGATTTTTATGCCTTCACTCCCTTTCCCAATTTGCAAGAAGAAAAGGTGTATATTATTCTGCTTAGGGTGCTATGGTAAATTACCATGACTGCTTCATTTAAACAGCACAAATTTATTTCTCATACTTTTGGAGGCTGCGAATTCCAAGATCAAAGTGTCAGCTAACTTGGTTCCTTATGAGAGCTCTCTTCTTGGCTTGCAGATGACTGTATTATTTCTGTCCTCACATCATCTTTCCTTTGTGTGTACACAGGCATGTGAGCACACACACAAGGACACACACACAGAAAAAGAGCAGGAGACAGAGGCCTGGTGTCTTTTCATATAAGGACACTAATCCCGTCATGAGGGATTCACTCTCATATCCTCATCTAAACCCAACAGCTTCAAAAGCCCGTCTCCAGATATCACACTGTGAGCTAGAACTTCAACAAATGAATTTAGAGTGGGATGCAGTTCACTCAATAGCAGGGAGATAATTTGTATAATTCAGAATAAAGAGAGATACTTTGGTGGCATAAATTAGATCAAGTTTATGCCATAAGAAGTAATACCGACTAGTAAAAGAATTAGCTTTATAGATGTTTTATTATGGAACAAAATTGAGCATCTACTCCGTGACAGATATTTTAAACACTATACATTCTTTAATTATCCAATCTTCTTGACAACCCTGTGCTGAGTACTACTCAACTTAGGCACGGAAATTTTAAGAAACTTTCCCAAAGTATCCCACTAGTAATGGTGCTGGGTCAAAATTATGATCCAGTTGCTTTACCTTTAGATTCCATGTACTCAATTTGATGCTTCAGAGCTTTGCCTTGACAACTAAAGCTTTCTCCAGTGATGCATAAAACTTTAACTCTCTGACCAGAAACTCCACATTTGAATCCTAGGGTAGGTCAGAGAAGTAAAAAAAAAAAAAAAAATCACAGGGACCACAGGGAAAGAAAGGTGTATGTGTGTATGTGTTAGTGGGGGAAGCAGAGTGAGAGATGAGAATTTCCAAATGTCCAAAGAGTACCTTGTGAACTGATGGAGGATATTATGGCTGCAAAGGAGATCTGCACTTTCCTCAGGACTCTTTGTGTCTGTGTGGTTCACTAACAGTAACAGCCTTTCAGAAATGTGATGGGCCTGCATGCCTTTCTAGGCATGATAACCACAAGTGAGAGGTTGCATAAATATAGATTATTATTTTCCAGAGAAGATCTCTGGATCCATGTTTTAAAATAATACATTTTTGTTCCTGCTAATGCTATATCTCAATGAGTACTTGCTTAGTATACATTTGCATCCCAGCAGCTCCTCTGATCTGTGCAGGTGATTTCGACTAAGACTCATTCCAGATTGTGGCCCCAAGACTGTGAGTATAAACAAAATACGATGGTTAACTTTATGTGTCAACTTGACCAGGTCATAGACTGCTCAAATACTTAATTAAAACATTATTTTGGCTGTGTCTGTGAGGGTGGGTATGGATAAGATTAATATTTGAATCAGACCTATGGTGTGGGTGTGGGCTAGTTGATTATGGTGTTCCTAGAGGTAAAATAGACAGAAATCCTTTTAAATTACCCCTTGATCTATATAAGCAGAAAAGTTCTAGGTCATTGAATGAAAGCCTAACCTGAATCATAAAAATATAGACTCATAGCCCCTCAATCCATTCCCAGACCTGAGCCAGTTTACAGACCTGCAATAAAATTTACAAACCCAGAAAGAACTCCTTGAATGAAAGGGGAGACCAGGTCTCCTTAAGGAAGGACCTGGTGCATTACCAAGAATTTGTACTGTTGATCTTTCTCACAGCCTTCCTCAAAGGGACCTGCAGCCTTTTTCCAGGGTACTGAGCATTGGGGAAAAGGAAATAACCAGACCTCTCAGGGACTACTAGACACTGATTCTGAATTGATACTAATTCCAGGAGACTCAAAGCATCACTGTGGCTTACCACTCAGAGTAAGTGGTTGTGGAGGTCCGATGATCCATGGAGTTTTATCTCTGGTTAATCTCACAATGGGTGCAGTGGGCTCCCAAACCCATCCTGCGGTTATTCCCCCAATTCCAGAATGCATAATTAAAACAAATATACTCAATAGGTGGTAGGATCTCATATTATTTTCTTACTCTGTGGAGTAAGGACCTTTATGGTGGGGAATACCAAGTGGAAGTTCTAGTACTGCCTCTGCCTAGGAAAATAGTAAAGCAAAAGCATCACCACATTCCTGATGGTACTGCAGAAATTAATAAATCCATCAGTAACTTAAAAGATGCAGGGTTGGTGACTCCCAACACATTCCTGGAGGGGCTACAGAGATTAATGACACCATCAGTAACTTGAAAGTTGCAGGGGTGGTGATTCCCACCACATTCCTATTCAACTTGTATGTTTGGCATGTGCAGAAGACAGATGGATCTTGGAAGATGACAGTGGATTACCAATTGGAGGTGACTCTAATTGCAACTGCCTTACCAAATGTGGTTTCATTACTTGAGCAAATTAACACATCCTCTAGTACCCAGTATAATGTTATTGATCTGATAAATGCTTTTTCTGGACAGCTATTAGTAAAGACCACCAGGAACAGTTTGCTTTCAGATGACAAGGCCAGCAATACACATTCACTGTCATACCTCGGGGGTATATCAACTTTATAGCTCTATGTCATAATTTAGTTCACAGGGATCTTAATTGCCCTTTCCTTCCACAAGATATCACACTGGTCCATTAGGTTGATGACATTATGCTGATTGGACCTAGCGAATAAGACGTAGTAACTACTCTAGATTTATTCATAAGATATTTACATGCCAGAGTGTGGAAAATAAATCTGATAAAACCTCAGGGTCTTGTACCTCAGTGAAATTTCTAGGGATCAAGTGGTGTGGGGAATATTGAGAATCTCTTCCAGCATGAGGATAAGTTGTCGCATCTGGCTTCCACAATGAATAGGAGGCACAGCATCTAATGAGTTTCTTTGGATTTTGGAGGCAACATATTCCTCACTTGGGTGTGTTGCTCTGGCCAATTTGCCAAGTGACTTACAGAGCTGCTTTTGAGTAGGACCAGAAGAAAAGCTTCACAACAGGCCTCGGCTTCCGTGTAAGCTGACTTCTGCTTGGACCATACCATCAACAGATCCAATGGTGCTTGAAGTGTCAATGGCAGATAGGGATGCTATATAGAGCTTCTGGGAAGGTAGGCTCCTATAGGTTTATTGCTGAATTTTGGAGCAAAGCCCTTCCATCCTCTTCAGATAACTGAAAGGGGTTACTGTGCTGGATGGGGTGATTGTTTCTGATGACTAAGGGGAAATTAGACCACTATTCCACAATGGACATAAGGGAACACTATGCTTGGAATATAGGAGATCGCTTCATGCATCTCTTAGTATTACCATGATCTGTGATTAAGGTCAATTAAGAAAACCACAACAACTCAGTCCAGGCAGGACCACTAATTGTCCAGGCTTTTCAGGAATGAAGGTTTGGGTCATTCTACCAGGTAAAGAACCATGGCCAGCTAAGGTGTTTGCTGAAGGCAAAGGGACTACAGAATGGGTAGTAGAATAAGGTAGTTATAAATATGAGTTACGTCCACATATCCAGTTATAGAAACTACACACACACACACACACACACACAATCTGTTCTTTCTCATTCTCTAATCATGTAACATAAGGCATGTTTATATTATAGTATTGTTAACTTTACATCATACAATTTAAATCATAGAAGTTGCTAGACAGTAAGGAGAAGAGTAAACATCATTCACAGACTTTACCCCTTCTTCTGAGAAGAGGTTGGTACATTTCCAGTTGTATACATGATAGTTGTAACATATTATGAAGAATTATCACCTTTTAGTCTTTATTTGGAGATTAAGTATGGCTTAAGGAGATGCATATGAGTGTCAGGTTCACAAAGGATGGCCTTTTGATGGTTAAATTATGCATCATCTTGATTGAACAATAGGTGCCAAGACTTTTGGTTAAACTTTATTCTTAGTGTGTCTATGAGGATGAGTCTGGATGAGGTTTTTACATTGGTAAACTGAATAAAGCAGATGCCCTCCCCAATATGGGTGGGCCTCATTTAATCTCTCATTCTTCTGTTACTGCAGCTGAAAGTCAATTTTCTTTGTTTCTAAGTTTCTCTTATTTTTCTCTGCTGTTAAAGCCTTCCTTTAAAAAGATCCATATCCATACTCTGGAGAGAACAACTCTGGGAGCAGAGCTAGAGCAGTTAACTGTTGTGGCAAGATGTCACCTGCTTAGGAGTCTCCAGATCCTCTAGTTTTCTTTTTTTTTTTTAATTATAAATAACAATAGTGTCTTTAAATCTTATTCCATGAACGGTGGTAAAACCCAGTGTTACTCTCAATGTCTCCAATGAGGGCTTAAATAAAACCAAAGCCTGAGCAAGAGAGAATTTGCTTTCTCTGCCTGTCTTTGAGCTGGGACACTGGTCTTTTCCTACCTTCAGACTAAGACTTGAACTGGAATTTAAACTCTTGGTTCTGAGGCCTTCGTACTCAGGCTGGAACTATACCATCAGCTCTCCTGGGTCTCCAGCTTTCAGATCTTGGGACTTCTCAGCCTTATAATCATGTGAGCCAATTCCTTATCTATCTATCTATCTATCTATCTATCTATCTATCTATCTATCAATCTATCTATCTATCTATCTATCATCTATCTATCTATCTATCTTCTATATATCTATCATCTATATATCTATCTATAGCTCTCTGTCTATCTGTCTAATCCTCTTGGTTCTGTTTCTCTGGAGAACCCTGCCTAATACACTACACTAGAAAGAACTGACTATGCCCCTTACTCTTGCTGCAACCTGTGCCTCTTCGTCTGTTTTGTTGATGGTAATGATGTCTCAGCCAGCTAATCTTTTAAGCTAGAGCAGATGGTTTATTCTTCATTTTCTTCAATTCTACACCTCTAGTTTCTGTCCCATCCTGACAATTTTACTCTTGAATTATCATTTTAGTCTCTACTCTTCTATACATCCCTACATCACTTAGCACCTCTTTCTTCACTATTTTAAGAGTTTCCTAATTGACTCCCTGCTGCCATCTTTCTTTCTCCAGTTCATCCTCCAAACTGCAGCCACAGTAATCTCTTTAAAACACCAATTCAGTTAGTTCCTGCTTTAAAAGTCAAACATGTTTCTAAGAAATTAGGAAAACATTAATTTTTAAAATTGTGTGTATTTTTCCATGTGACTATTTATGGGAGCCCATAATCTTTCCTAATTGTGGTTATCTTCAATGAGAAAAGGAACTTTGCACAGAAATTTAAGGTTATTAATCAATTTATCCTAAAATAGGTTATCTTGGATTATTCCAGTAAGTCTAGTGTAATAAAAGGACTCCTTAAAACCAGATGCAGGAGAGGGAGTCAGATTTGGGTTTGAGAAGACTTGACACACTGTTACCTGGTTGAAGATGGAAGGGATCACATGAGAAGGGATGCAGGAGCAGTTCCCAGTTGACAGCCAGCAAGGAAATGGGAACCTCAGTCCTGCAGCCGTGAGGACTGGATTCTTCCAACAATGGATGAACTTTGAAGAGGAGCTCAACCCCAGAACCACTGCCCTGGCCAGTCCTCTGATTTTAGCCATGTGATATTCTGTACAAATAATTTAACCAAGCTTTCCTGGGCTTCTGAACTGAGAGATAATAAGCTTGTTGTTTTAAGCAGCTACCTTTGTGGTAATTTGTTATGCAGCAATAGGTAACTAACACAAGGAGATACGAGTAGGAGTCCTGCCATTTTGAGCAAGATTTGACTTTTTTGTGCCTTAAAGACTCTATTACTCAGCTTAGACTACCTTCTAGCCAAACAGCTCCATGCATTCCTTGCCCTAATATGGGTTTTTCTTTTAGATCACAATCCAGTTGAATATTCAAACTGGAAGTAATCCACACCACGATTTATGGACCAGGCTCCATTCTCTAGAGACTCAGGGTCTTGTGGATCCTAGATTCTCTGCATCTAGCCAGTGCATGAGGGAAAAAAATATTGTAGATATAATGTTGGTGATTTTAGGAGTCAAACTTTACATTCCATTGGCAATAGTTACCATCTCACCTACCTAGATGCAAGGTGGCTGGGAAGTATAATTTAGCTGTAGGTTGTTGATTCTAGTAAATGAAAATGCAATTGTAAGCAGCCAGCTTATTTTTTTTTCCACAGTTCTTGGGAACTGAGTGTGTAAGGTAGCAGTATCTCAAATCAACTTTTCCCAATTTTACTACAAAGAAGCCTGACATATTCTAGGAAACACATATTATATTTGTAATAAGACAGTTTTTAATAAAAAAATTAGGTTGCCTTTAAGCAAATCATAAATTTTCTAGTTTCCCACAGCCTTTTGCATTTTGTCTTTTAAACAGATACTTCAAACATTATTTTTCCTTATGGGTCTTAAACACATTTGATTTTGTCAACTTCAGACCCAAACTCATTGATAGGACAGTATTAGGTGTCTCAGAAAGGGGAGGTCAAGGGAAAATGCCTTCAAGAAACAGAGAGAAAAGAGAGTCTTCTGTAGACTAGAAAGGTTACTATGGGTTCTGGGGGCCTTGGGAGCTTCTGACTTGCCCCTTAGCATCTCCCTCAGTGGGATGGAAAGGCCTCAGAAGAAGTGGTTTTTTACATTCTTCCATTCTCATATTGTAAGTCTAACCTATAGGCGTTGTATTCTTGCAATTTTGGAAAAATTTCCATGTTCCAAATGTAGCATAGAAGCAACAAGTTCACAGGACACATACGGTATATTTGAACTTGGCCTATAAGTTTCTCAGTGGTAACTGGTGTGGACTAGTCGCTGATGATGGAAATTGCCTCTCCAGTGACTTGGCACTATTTAAGATTCCAGGATCTTTGTACATTTCTGCAGAAATGTATTTGTGTATGTTGGGTAGATATAGGGATGAACTGGCAAGAGTAACTGTGTGGGCTGGATTCTCAAAGAATTTGATACAAAATTGTGTGTGTGTGTGTATATATATATATATATATACACTCTCTCTCTCTCTCTCTATATATATATATATACATACATATATATATATATATATATACATACATATATATATATATATATATATATATATATATACTTCCTAAACACCCAAGTTTGTAGACTGAAAGTTAAACTCTACATAAGCACTGTAGAAACGTGCTAATCTAGCTAAAGGAAAAGGTAGAAATTATTAGTATTATTCAGAGTAAGTTAAATACCAGGTGGTGGTCATTCAGGAACTAAAGGCTAACTCAGGTAAGGACTCTATCAAGGTCAAGCAATCATGTGAAGCTCAGGAAGCTAATATTTTACTACAAAGGCACAGGCAGCAAGGAACATGTAGCCAGTCATAAGGAGCTCTGTATCTTATTATACTACTACATATAACTTCTCTGTTCACCTCTAAGTAGAGACTCCAAGCTCCCATTTATGCCCTTAAAAATGTTTTATTGAATGTATTCTTGAATCAAGCCTTTGTGCTGAAATTCTGTAGAAGACACAAATATGACACAGTCTGGATTATTCACAAGAAGGTGAGAGAACTGTAATAGTGAATTGTCATTACAAAAAATGAATAAAGTTGGGGAGAGATCCCTAGAAATACCTATTATAGAATTTTTGAAACAGGAAGTGCAAAACACAGAAGTTAATGGGGGTGATAAAAATTGAAAGAAAAGGGATTGTTAACCTTTCCAAATGTATCAGAGATAAAGGGAAAGAGGATTGAAAAAACACGATTAGGCTTGGAAGATTGAGGTAACTGATAGCTTTTGATAACACAATTTCCTTTGATGACAGAGGATGAAATTATGTATCATAAGGGTTGAGAAATTATAATCAGTAAATGCAGGCATAAAGAAGGGAGCTGAAGCTTCACTGAATACAATACAGTATGTCATATTTTCTATTATGACATCTGCATCTCTGTTCTTCCCTAATTTCTACTTTCCTGTCTCTAGATATCTCTTAATCCCTCCCACTCCATCATCACATTCTGTATTCATTGCCACATTCTACCTCATTAATAATTGAGCAAACTCAGTCCATATATCCTCAACATAAATATGAGGAGGGAGAGTAAATAAGAGGATTGGAAACAGCAAGACAGGGAAATGGGAGAAATTTTTGTTCCTTGCTGACTCTTTTGGTTCTTGAACCCTTAGAGAGCCTTCATAGACTTCCCTGTGGTTGATTTTCTGAACTCCTATAATGCCAAAAGGGGGAGATGAAAAATACTAGCATCATACCAAAGTAGGGCCATTAAACATTAAGTTATAAAATGAAATCGTGATTATAAACTGAAACACTAACTTTGATGACAAGGAATATACATGTGAATTATTTCTTCACATACATAAAGTGATGATACAGTGTTAACATTTGGTTTGTTGTCATTTTATTTTAAGTAAGAACAAATTGTTTGAGTGCTCAGCATGCCCTTCATTTTTTTGTAAGTTAATGAGGTGGCAACCACAGTTGAGAACACAGATTGGAGGAGGCAATATTGTTTTTCCCAATTTAATTCCATTAATGGGGGCAGTGTGGTATTGGGTAGATTCTGCATGTTAGTCAGAGTCTTCAGATTGCTGTTGATCTTTTGGATCACATGAAGTAGAAGTTAAATTCACATCTTCTTTATATGAATTTGAGGAAGCTGAAGTGTCTGGTTGCACATCTTGTTCTGAATCTAGATTGGACAAATAGGCTAAACATGTGTCTTGTACTGAGCTTTGGCCAGAAGAAGAATGAAAATCTGCCTTCACGTCTTCTGATTGCAGGTCCCCTGAGGTTTGCCCTATACATTTCATGTCCCCTGGTTTGATGTCTCTAGTGTACATATCTCCTTTTTGTGTAACTCTGGATTGAAGGTCTTGTTGGTCTTTATCTTGAGTGTCTTGACATTCTAGGTTATGTTGGGCTGTTGCGTGCTGGGTTTGGACTTCTTGGTATAGAGCTTTCTGCTTTAGGGCTTCTTTCTCTAATAGATCCTGTGTTTGCCAGTGCTTCATTTCAAATTGCCATTCTCGTGCTTTATAATCTTTGTTTCTCCAGCCCTGAGTTATCCAGTCAGGGGATTCTTGGCCAAAAGATTGACAGTCCTGGGTTGTCCAGCCTGGAGATTGCCTTTGTGGAATTGCCAGAATTGGTATTGCTGTATTTGGGATTCTGAATCTTGGCATAACAGTTTTGGCACTTTCTCCACCTGAGCTTGCTGTCCTTCGGCTTGAACATTTTGGAATTGTCCTTTCGGGGATTTCTTCTCTTGGGCCGGCTGGTCTTCAGTTTGCTGATCCTGGGTTTGCTTCTTTGAGTTTTGCTCCTTATCAGTCTGCTGGTCTTTAACTTGTCCATCTTTAGATTGTCCTTCTGGGTATTGTTCCCCTTTGGCTTGCTGATCTTCAGCTTGCTGATCTGGGAGTTGCTCTTTAGTTTGATTAAGTTGAGCTTGCTTATCTACGGAGTGCCTCTTTGGGGATAGCCAGTCTTTGATTTGCTGGTCTAAGGATTTCTGCTTTGGAGATTGCCAGCCTTTGCTTTGCTGATCTAAGGAATGCCTCTTTGAGGATTTCTGGCCTTTGGCTTGCACGTCTAAAGAATGTCTCCTTAAGTATTGCAAGGCTTTGGTTTGCTGGTTTAAGGAATGCCGTCTTGAGGATTTTCTTCTATGGAGTTCCTCCTCAGATTTCCATTCTTTGGTCTCTTCCATAACTTCTGATCTAATATCTTGATATGACATTTGTAAAATTTGCTGGTTTTGAGGTTCAGTGTTTTCTGGTTGAAGATCTGGGGGCTGCTGAAGTAGGTGTTGTATTTCAGGGAACTGCACAATATGGGATGTTGAGGCTTCAGGTAATATGGCATGCGCTGATAGAGCTTGGGATAGCATATCTTGGGAAGGTATGTCTTGAGGTGGCATGGCGTGGGATGGTGTGTCTTGAGATAGCATATCTAGGGATTGCATATCTTGGGATGTCATGTCATGAAACAGCATATCTTGAGATGATGTGTCTTGGGATAGTATGCCTTGAGGGGGCAGGTCATTAGCTGTCAGATTAGAAGACTGTTTGACATGGGATGATGTAGACTTAGATGGCATGGTTTGTTCTGACAGGCCTTCTACTGGTAGAGCTTGGGATGGCAAGTCTTCAGGTGATATATCTTCGAGTTTTAGTGCAGAATGGGATGGAAAAACTTGGAGTGACGCAGCTTGGTCCTGCAGAAGCTTGGTTTGCATTTGAGAAGGTTGTACAATAGCAGATTGTAGATCTTCATCTTTCATTTGTTTAAATGTAGAGTCTAGCTGAATGGACATATTTTCTGAGGGCTTTTTCTCTAGTGTGGGAGGCAAAGGTTCAATTTCTTCCTCTGAAAATTTGGGAGATGGAAGGATACTTTGCTTTTGTTCATCTGGCACAAATTCTCTACCTTTATTACCTGGTTGGGAGACTAAAGGACTCCTAGAGAGTGTTAACTTGAAGAAAGCATAGCCTCCAAAGATAACAGATTGTGCATTTGTTGTTGAATCATCACTGGAAAACTCTTCTTGAAGCACAAATTGTAATTGATCATTTTCTTCTGGGGCAGGTTGTTCACTATTTTGAGTAACATCCGAAGGCAAGAAAAACAGAACCTATAAAAGCAAGGATGAGGGTAATTAATATGACAGAATCATGTCTGATTTTTTTTTTGTTTTCCAAGTTACTTTTCATTTCTGACTTAAGACAGTAGATAGGAAATAACATCTAAATGAGAAGGCAGAAAACGAATGCCAGTCCTGCCTTTACCATTAACTTATTGGTATTATTTTAGAAGTCATCACCTTTTAGTCTTTCAAATATTGAACAGAGGAATTTGATTAAGATTGCCTCAAAAATTCCTCCCATACTTAATATTATAAAGCTTCTGAGACATTTTATATCATCTAGTCAATATTCATATATTCATGCTTAATCTATAATAGTTTATTGATCACCCAGATGAACTAAATGCTGGGAATCAAAGACAATTAGATGTGGGATTTTCCCTTAAGGTGCTCACAACTATCTGTACATCAACATATAAATAGATAATAGTAATACAATTCAGCAAATGCAATTACATAAATAGGTACTTAGTGCTTTATGGGAACATAGAAGATGACCTAATTCTGAGACAACCTGGAAATGCTTTACAGAAGAGGCAATATTTAATCTATATCTTAACAGCTGAGTAGGAATTACTCAGGCATAGACGGTAAGATGAAATAAGACAGGAGTCAGAATCCAGGTAGAAGCAGCAGTGGAATAGCGGGTACAAAAACACAAGGTTGTGATATAGCATGGTGTGATGGCAGATGGTAAGCAGTTAGATATTACTGATATTATTAGATGGTATGCTAGGCTAGGAAATTTGGACTTTCCTTTACAAATAAGAGGAAGCAATTGGAGTTTTTTAAACAGCTAAGTGACCACATCTGATACAACCTGCAATGCTTCCCATTAGTTCTCATTTTATTATTATAATTTTTAGGAGGTTGTTACTGCAGCACAACCTGCTGCTTTTTATTCTGACTCCATGAATTACACCTTTCTGAGATAATTCATAGTCAGAATAGACTACTTGTTCTATTTGATGAAGTGGATCAGAACTCAGTGATTAAATGAATTAATTATGCTTACCTCGTTTGCTAATAGCAGGCCTAGATTGAGAATCTACACATTCTCTGAAATAATACATTGCATTTCCCATTCTTCTAATTAGTTTTTCACACCTATATTTTATCCCTATTGAAGGACTATTTATGTGAGTATAAATGGTACTTTGGAAGAGATTTCTATATTTCTAAGAATCCTCAAACTTTGTTTCATGTGAATTTTAATTTATTCTTCCACTTAAAAAGAGGTTTGGAAGAAATAATTATAGTTTCTCTGTTTATTAAAGCTCTTAAGTGCTATGATTTTAAATTTCCTCATCCATTAATGAGAACTCAGTGATTACCAGATGCTAGACAATGTTCCAAAGTCATCACAAAAATTGGTATGACATCCCTATGAAGTTATTATCCTTCTTTTAGAATTGAGGGAATTGAGGTTCAGAGATGTTAAATAACCAGACCAGTATCGTAGAGCTGTTTACTTGGGAAGGATTTAAAAATTGTAGTTGAATCTGAGGTCCTGTGCTTTCCTCTCTGATCTATGCTTCTTGTATTAATAACGTCACCTACTTCCTACTTCAGGGTGGCTAAGACTAAAGACCAAATGAAATAATACTTTCAAGCACAGAAACTGGCACAGAGAAATTTCTCCGTAAATGTAGAGTTCACTTTCCCTTTCCTTTTCTTGAGATCAAGGTACATATTTTATTATTTTTGAATCCCCTGTTGTACTTTGCACATTACTGTGCCATTAGTGGATTAAAGATCTGTATTCACTAAATTCAATTGAAGAGTTATTTAGTGTAACTTATTTTAGTATTGTTTCTAAAGGGCTTAAAACAGGGTTTGTACTCTCCTCTAGTTGTGTAATATACAGATAATACGATAAAGATGAAAGCATGAGATGAAAAATGACAAAAGCCAATACCCATTCATGATTTTAAAAAATCTGCGCAACAGGGTAAATTTACTCTGTAAAAAACCTACAAAAAACATCATATTTAAGGGTAAAATATTGAACATTTTCACCCTAAGATCAAGAACAAGGAAAGATTGCTATTTTCATCACTTATTTTAAACATTGTATTGGAGACTACACAGTGTAATAGGGCAAGAAAAATGAGGCATAAAGTTTGGGAGTAAAAATGTCTTTATTAATACTTAAAATGGTTATCTACTAAGAAAATTCTAGAAACTCTATTAAAAAAAAGCTATGGGAACTAATAAGTTAGTTTAGAAAGGTCATAGTAGACCAGTATATAAAAATAAATTGCATTTCTATATGTGGGAATGAACATTTAAAAAATAAAATTAAAAATACCATGTACAATATCAAGAAAAAATGAAATAATTACAGATACATTTAACAAAGTATGCATAAGGCTTATACATTGTAAATAATAAAATAGTGCTGAGAGAAATGAAATGAGATGTAAGAAAATACAGACATGTTTCATGGACATGGATCAGAAGACTACATATTACTAAGAAGTAAATTGTTTATAAATTATCTATAGGCTCAGTACAATTCCAACCAAAATCCCAGCAAGATTTTTGTAGCAATCAATAAACGAATTCTAAAACTTATGTGGAAATTCATATGACCTAGAACAGCCAAAACAATTTTGAAAAATAACAAAGTTGGAAGATTTATACTATCTGATTTCAAGAATTACTCTAGCATAATTTTAGTGGGGCAGAAGAGAAATCTCCATAGAGAATTGAAAAACAATAGAGAAAATCAATGAACCCAAATGTTGATTCTTTTAAAAGATCAACAAAATTGATAAACCTTTACCTATACTGAAAAGCAAAAAGACAATAAAACAATTAAAACAAGACATAAAAGTAAGACATTATTACTGACCTTATAGAGAGTAAAAGTATAAAGTATTGTAAAAGAATACTATAAAAACTTATATGCCAAGAAATCAGATACTGTATAAGAAATGGGCAAATTCCTTGCAACACACAAATTACCTAAAATGATTCAAGAAGAAATAGAAAATCTTTACAGATCCATAACAAGTAAAAAGATTCGTAATCTAAAAGTTCCTAACAAAGGAAACTTCTGGATCAGATGGCTTCACCAGTGAATTCTACCAAAATTTAAAGAAAAAAAAAAAACAATTATTCTCAAACTCTTCTGAAAACTTGAAGAGAAGGGAAAATTGCCTAACTCATTCTATGAGGCCACCATTACCTTGATACCAAAAACAGATAATTATGCTGCAAGAAAAGAAAATTACAGATTAATATCCTTTATAAGTGTAGATACAAAAATTGCCAACAAAATATTAGAAAAGGATTATTCATATGATGAAGTGAAATTGATAAGCAAAATACAAGGATGGTACAATAAGAAAATCAATAAATGTAATACATTACATTAATATAATGTTGGAAAACCCCCACACAGTCATCTCACTTGGAGTAGAAAAGGCATTTGATGAAATGCCTTTCATGAGAAAACCTCTCATAAAACTAGGAAGAGATGGAAAATTCCTCAATATGTAAAGTTTATTTATAAAACACCCACAGCTAATATCATACTCAGTGGTGAAAGATTAAAAGCTTTCCCCCTAAGATCAGGAACTATATAAGAATGCTTTCTTTCACTGCTGCTATTAAATATTGTACTAAAAGTTCTAGCTAGAGCTATTAGAAAATAAAAAGAAATAAAATTCATCCAAATTAGAAAAGAGGAGATTAAGGCCATCTGTATTTCCAGATGACATGATCTTCCTATATAGAAAATCCTCCCAAATCCACAGGAAAGCTACTAGACCTAATACAGGATTGCAACAAGGTTCAAGATACAAGAGCAACCCACAAAAAATCATTGTTGTTTCTGTATAACAGCAATAAACAATATGAAAATAACATTTAAAAAGCAATTTCATTTATAATGCCACCTAAAATAATTACATACTTTAGAATAAATCTAACCAATGGGATGAAAGACCTCTATGCTAAAAAATATAAATCATTGCTGAATGTAATTGGAGACCTAAATAAATGAAAAGACATCTTGTGTTCACGTATAAGAAGATTTAAAATTGTTAAGATGTCAGTGCTGCTCAAAGCAATATACAGATTCAATACAATTTCTATCAAAATTCCAACAGTCTTTTTCTTATAAATGGAAAAATGGATCCTCAAGTTCATATTGAATTTTAAGAGGCCCTGAATAGCCAAAACAATAATGAAAAAGAATAATACAGTTTGAGTGATTATACTTTCCAACTTTGAAACGTACTGTAAAGCTACACTAATTAAAACAATACAGGGCCGGGCACAGTGGCTCATGCCTGTAATCCTAGCACTTTGGGAGGCCGAGGCGGGTGGATCACCTGAGGTCAGGAGCTCGAGATGAGCCTGGCCAATGTGGTGAAACCTCGTCTCTACTAAAAATACAAAAATTAGCCTGGCATGGTGGCATGCGCCTATAGTCCCAGCTACTTAGGAGGCCGAGGCAGAAGAATTGCTTGAACCCGGGAGGCAGAGTTTGCAGTGAGCTGAGATCTCACCACTGCACTCCAGCCTGGGTGACAGAGCAAGACTCCATCAAAACAAAAAACAAAAAACAAACAAAAAAAAAAACCCAAAAAATATGGTACCTGGCATAAGGGAAGATATATAGACCAATGGAATCATTCAGAAATAAATGCTCACTTATATCACATATATAGTAAATCAATTTTCAACATAGACACCAAGAATATTCAATGGGGAAAGGAATTTTTTCAACATATGATGCTGGAATAACTGGGCATCCACATGTGAAAGAATAGAGTTGGACCCTTACCTTATACCATATACAAACATTAACTCAAAATCAATCCGACACTAAGCCTAAGAGCTAAAACCATACATTTCATGGAAAAAAGTTGGAAGATATCTTCATGACAATTTGGCAATAATTTCATGGATGTGACAAGAAAGGCACAGAAAACAACAAAATAATAGATTAATTATACTTCATAAAGAACTTTTGTGCATCAAAAGTCATCAAGAAAGTGCAAAGACAACCTACAGAATAGGAGAAAATATTTGCAAATCATATGTCTACTGAGGGACTAAGATCCAGAATATATAAAGAACTCTACAATTCAACAACAAAAAACAAACAGCCCAATTAAGAAACAGGCAAGACTATAACAGTTATTTCTCCAAAGAAGATGTATACATGGATGCTCAACATCAAATCATTAGGTAAAAGCAAATCAAAAGTATGAGATACCACTTCACACCCATTAAGATGGCCATTATATAAGGCTGGGTGTGGTGACTCATGCCTTTAATCCCAGCAGTTTGGAAGGCCAAGGTGGAAGGATGGCTTAAAGGCAGGAGTTCAAGACCAGCCCTGACAGCATAGCAAGACCTTGTCTCTACAAAAATAAAAATAAAAATAAAAATTTATGTGGGTGTGGTGGCACATGCCTTTCATCCCAGGTACTCAGGAGACTGAAACAGGAGAATCATTTAAGCCCAGGAGTTTGAGGCTGCAGTGAGCTATGATCTTGTGCCACTGTAGCCTAAGTGACATATGATCTTGTGCCACTGTAGCCTAAGTGACATAGTCTTTGTATAAAAATTAAAGAAAGAAAGAAAAAGAAAGAAAGAAAGAAGGAAAGAAGGAAAGAAAGAAAGAAAAAAGATGGCCATGATAAAAACAAATATGATCCAGAAATCCCATTACAGGGTATATATTCAAAGGAAATGAAGACAGTTGGAGAAACATCTGTACTCCCATATTTACTGCAGTGCTATTCACAAGAGCCAAGATAAGGAATCAACCTAAATGCCTATCTACACATAAATGAATAAAGAAAATGTAATATATATATATATAAAATATACATTATATATTACATATATATAATGTACACACACACACAAACAATAGAATACTATTCAGCCATAAAACAGAATGTAATTCTGTCATTTGTGGCAACATGCATTAACCTGGAGGACATTATATTAAGTGAAATAAGCCAGGCTGAGAAAGACAAACACTGCATGATCTCACACACATTTGGAATCTAAAAAAGTTGACTTCATGGAAGTGAAGACTAGAATAGTGGTTACCAGAGGCTAGGGAAGGTAGGGAGGATGGGAGGACCGGGAAGGATTGGTCAATGGGTATAAAATTCTAGACAGGAAGAGTAAGTTCTTACTTACTATAGATAGTAAGAATAAGTTCTATACTTAGTAGCATGACTATAGCAAATTACAACGTAGTGTATATTTCCAGGTGACTAGAAGAGAAAATTTGGAATGTCATCACTACAAAGAAATGATGTTTAAAGTGATGAATGTGGTAATTACCATGATTTGATCATTAGAAAATGTAACATGCATTGAAGCATCACACTGTACCCCATAAATATGTACAATTATGTGTCAATCATAAATTGAAAATTAAAAATAAATGGAAAATAATTACTCCCCCTTTTCCCCTGTTGGTTGGTATTGATGGAGATGTGGAGAAATTGGAATCCTTGTACACTGCTAGTGGAAATGTAAGATGGTGCAACGAAGGTGAAAAACAATTTGGCATTTTCTCAAAACATTAAACACAGAACTCCATATAAGCCAGCAATTTCGCTCTTAGGTATGTATCCAAAAGAATTGAAAACAGGGACTTGAGCAGATATTTTTACACCAATGTTCGTAACAGCATTATTCACAATATGCAAAAGGCAGAAATATCTGTGTCCATCAACAAATTAATGGCTAAGCAAAATATGGTATATACACAAAATGGAATTTTATTTAGTCATAGAAGGAATGAAATTTTGATATATGCTACAACATGGATTAATCTTGAAAATATTATGCTTACTCAAATAAGCCAGTTAGAGAAGGACAAATATTGTAAGATTCCACTTATATGAGGTCTCTAGAAAAGGCAAATTCATAATATAGAAAGTAGGATAGAGGGTACCAGGGGCAATCAGGAGGGGAATCGGGGAGTGATTGTTTTGTGGTACAGAGTTTGTGTTGGGGATGATGAAAAATTTTGGGGCATAGATAGTGGTGAGAGTTACACAACATTATTAATGTATTCAATGATTTGAACAAATGACTAAAATGATAACTATTATGTTATATATATTTCACCACAATGCAAAAGAATTACTCTAAAGACACAGAAATGAAGAGAGTGTAGAATACGTGGAAGGATAGACGTAGTGGCCAGAGGGAAAAAGTATCCAAAAGAGACCTACAAATAAATAATAAGTAAATTGATTTTCAACAAAAATACCAAGGTGATGGAGGAAAGCATTGCATTTTCAACAAATGGCGTTAACAACTGGATATCTCCATGAGGGGGGATGTGCATTAACTTCTAACCTTACCCTACAACTGTACATGAAAGTTAAGATAGACCATACATCTAAACACAAAAGCTAAAATTATAAAACTTCTGTAGGAAAAGATAGAAGAAAACCTTCATGATTTGGGGGTAGGGAAAACCTGTTAAACAGAACACAAAAACCATAACCATAAAAGCAAAAATGATAAATGGAACTTCATCAAATTTGTTTTTTTCAAAGAAGCTATTAAGAAAATGAAAAGGCAAGTCACAGTGTGAAAAAATATTTGTAAAGGATTTGTATTAAGAATTAATTAGGCTGCTATAAGGCCAATAAGAAGATAATCCAATAAAATTCAGCTAAATATTTGAACAGACATCTCAAAAGAAGATACACAAATGGATAATAAACATATAGCAAGAGTGTCATCATCATTAGTCATTAGGGAAATGTAAATTAAAACTACAATGAGGTGCCACTACATACCCACTAAAATAGCTAAATTATTAATAAACTGACAGTTTCAAGTGTTAATGATATGGAGCAACTGTCCCTCTCACACATTGTTGATGAGAATGAAAAGCAATACAGCCACTTTGACAAACTGTTTGGTATTTTCTTATAAAGTTAAACATCTGGTTACCATACGATCTCGCAATCAAATCCTAGATGCAACACTCCAGGAGAAGTGAAAATATGTCCACACAAATATATGAACTCAAATATTCTTAGTAACTTATGATAATAGTTCAGAACTTTAAACAATCTAAATACCCATCAAAAGGTAAATGGACTGGGCGCAGTGGCGCACACCTGTAATCCCAGAACTTTGGAAGGTCATGGTGGGTGTATCACTTGAGCCAAGGAGTTTGAGAGCAGCCTGGGCAACGTGGCAAAACCCTATTTCTACAAAAAAAATACAAAAAAAATTTAGCTGGGGGTGGTGGCGCATGCTTGCAGTCCCAGCTATTTGGGAGGCTGAGGTGGAAAGGTTGCTTGAGTCCAGGAGATTGAGGCTGCAGTGAGCCGAGACAGTGCCACTGCATTCCAGCCTGGGTCATAGAGTGAGGTCTCGACTCAAAAAAAAAAAAAAAAAAAAAAAAAAGGTAAATTGATAAACAAATTGTGGTGTACCCATACATAAAGGGAATGAATTCTTGATAGAGGCAACAGCATGGATGACTCTCAAAAACATATTTCTGTGTGGAAGAAGCCATATAAGCCATATACAGAGAGTACTTACTTATGATTCCATGAATATGAAATTTTGGAAAGTCAAAACCAATCTAGGTGATGAGAACATTGACTACAAAGGGGTTCCAGTGAACCTTCCGGGATGCTAGGAATGCACTATACCTTGATTGTGATGGTAGCTAAACATAGGTACATTTTGTTGTTTATAAATGATACTTCTATAAAGTTGATGTAAAAAAAAGAGAGAGCTAGAGAGAGAAATGAAATCTCCATAAATCACAAGGCCTGTACTGGTATTTGGGACTTAGTGAGCAGGCTCTGGAGACATATCACAGGGGTCAGAATCCTGATGTTATGTGGTACTGGAGAGGTTAGTTTAGCCTCTTTGTGCCTTACTTCCTTCATATGTAAAATAAAGATGTTATAATAGTTTTGTTAAGATTAAGTTGGTGCTCAGTGATTATAACAGTGACTGACATAGTCAGAATTCAGTAAATATAATCTATAACAATTATTATAAATACTATGTAGTATCAGTAGTAACAGCTTTTTTTCCTATTTCTTTTGTGGTGGTGGAACTGTGTCACACATCTTATGATCCAAGAATATACACCCCATGTCACAGTAATTTGGGTTCCTGTTAAGTCTGATATTACATATTTTTGGCAGAGACATAAGGAGCTATGTCTTAACAGAGATGACTGAGTATAAAGCAGATAGTACAAGAAAGGAAAGCATAGTTGTTTCAGATGGTGGGGTGAGCTTCAATCTTAAGCTTGCCCCTCTCTGACCTTCCTAAATTTAGATGTTTTATTTCAGCATCTGAGCATGCTGCTTTTCCTACTAATAAATCAGACATCATTGTGTGCAGTATCCCAACAGGAACAGGAACCTGTTCTCTTAATAATATTAAGAGACATCAGAACACACCTCATCTGACTGTGTCCAGCACTTGCTTCTAAAGGATGCAATAGTCACAGAGATGCTGAGCTCTGCTATGCTGATGATCAGTAAGATTAACAAAATTCCCTGCAAATAATGAGGAGAAATAAATGGTATTTGAAATGAGAGCTGTTATTTTAAATATATAAGCTGAGAACCCCTTACACTCTATCACCAAGTATGGGAAACCCATATTTTGGATGGTTCTGTAGCCATCAGACACTGCACAATTTTCATCTTGTGTCTTTCTGATGAGGCAGGGATAACAAACTCCAATGTCCATGGGAGCTGGGCAGTCATTGTGAACTAAACAGGGAAAGAGTAGAGAGTAATAGTATTCATAGGAGGCATCCATTACTCAATTCCAGCCAATTGCTGTCATGTGGGAACATGGATACCATAATGCCTATTTTGTTTGTTTTTCCCTAAAGAGCCAGATAGAACATATATACAGGCTGGATATAGCCCACAGATTGCCATTTTGCCCATTTTGCTTTAAGGTAATGTTTATATTGAGAAGTAACATGGTACCTTATGGTGTCTCAAAAGTTTAAACTATGAAGACAGAAAGACCTGAGTTACAGTGAGTCCAAGGTTGGCCGGGCGCGGTGGCTCACGCCTGTAATCCCAGCACTTTGGGAGGCCAAGGCAGGAGGATTAACTGAGGTTGGGAGTTTGCGACCAGCCTGACCAACATGGAGAAACCCCGTCTCTACTAAAAATACAAAATTAGCTGGGCCTGGTGGTGCATGCCTGTAATCCCAGCTACTCGGGAGGCTGAGGCAGGAGAATTGCTTGAACCTAGGAGGCGGAGGTTGTGGTGAGCCGAGATTGTGCCATTGCACTCCAAACCTGGGCAACAAGAGCAAAACTCCATCTCAAAAAAAAAAAAAAGTGGGTCCAAAGTCCCACTTAACCTTGAACAAATAACTGTGTGTTTCTGAATCTTGGTTTCCCTGCAATACACCCAAAATCTTAAATATTCAATATTTGTTGGTAAAACTGAAATGTATGAAGACCCTATTGTATGCAATTTACTGACTTTCTCCATTGAACAAGATATACCTGGTCTTGGATTTTGTAGAACTTACATCATGGTAAGGGAGGCAGACAATAACAAGTAATTAGATAATTATTTACCTAACTAAATTGTGATAAATGCTGTGAAGAAGGATTGGGAGCTATGCGCTACTCTAATGGGGGATCTATGCAGATATGAGCATAGAGGTGAGGTCAGGAAGAACTTCCTTAAAGAAGTGGTATTTCAGTTGAGATTTAAGTATGAGGATGAGTTAATTGTATAACTGGCCTGGTGACGGTTCAAAGCCGGAAGAAGCTGATCCTCTGATCATCTTGGGGCCGTGGATACTTGACACATTAAGGGATTATAGGAAGTGGCTGGAGTGTGGAGGAGTGAGAAGGATGAAGTCCTGGAATAATGTTGGAAAGATAGGTAGGATAGGTGTTACAGGGTTTGGTAAGGCTGTTAAGATTTGGGTCTTAATCATCATACGTTTTACAGGAAGCCATTAAGTAATGGCTCAGATTTACATTTTTAAATGATTACTCTAGCCACAGTATAGACAATAGATTGGTCTTTAGGACAGGGGTCAGCCCAAGAGACATCTAAAGCCCACTGTTCTGGCTCTTTTAGCTTATGATGTTTGGGTTACAGCAAGAAATTGTTAAGTTATGTAAGTGAGAACTAGGAAGAGATTGTTCATGGTTCTGTATGCAGGTAACTAATCTTGCAATACCCATCCATGGACAGCAGGAAATACGGAATTTCATATATCTGGAGATTTAACCCTTTCGGGTATATACAAGTTCTTCCTCGTATATACGAACATAACAAACAGTAGTTGCCTCCTGTCCATTCAGCAATGGCCAAGAATTATAATGTTGTATCATGTTCTTGGCCCAGTTAGGACAGGGTTTTATCGCTTATGTTGTTTTCTGGCTTTCTTTAGTAATCTATCATGAGTCTAATTTTAGAATTTATCTCAGAACACATGAGAGAGTCCCTGGGACCATTTCACTGAGTGATTGTGAGGATTAAATTACCTCTTGTATTCAGGAACTAACTTCTCATTTCTTATTTACTGAGGAAGACCATTTTCTGTGATTCCACTTTATTTCCCTTCTAACGGATTCAAATATTCTTCAAATTATAGAACCCATGCTTCAAGATATAGCTGGTAGGAATAAAATAAAACCCCAGGACTTGCTTAGGGAACTAGAGAGAAAGGCCTATTGGAGTCACTGACATGCTTAAAAATAATGTCACTGATTACTTGTTAGATAAATACTTTAAATTGCACAGACAACTACATTTCCTGGTAAAAGATCTCTCATCTGCTTTAATGAATAAAATTGCCACAATTATGTGAAATAATGTATGTCTTAAGCTTATAAAAATCCTTATTTTTTTAAATGACTTCTAAATACCTTCCCCCACTGTATTTTGATCTCAGTGTTATTGAGCAAACTTTTAGATCATTTTGTTCATTAATGCTGAAACAGTAAAATTTAATTCAATCTATGGCCATAATAATTGTATTAGCTAAACCTACTGACTATTTAACTGTGCAAGGTACTGTTTTAATTTAAGCAATCCTCACAACAACCCATGAGGTAAGCATTCTCATTATGTTCATTTTCCACTTGAGGAAAACCGAAGCTTAGAGAGAATACAATATTAGGCCAAGGTGACAAGCTTGTGTGAACAGGATTCAAGTCCAGAAAATATCGCTCCTTAACCATTGTAACAGTAACCCCATGGTACCCTTCTCAACCGTCAGTTCAAATGCTGACACAACTTCATTTAATAAAATAAAAATCAGTGAATCATTACATCATGGACACAGTTCAGAGAAGATTTTAGGGATTCTTCATGCAAAATAAGACCACTTACAATGAAAAGAGTTCTACTGAAAACACATATTTCTTCAAAGGATGGCATCTGGCAGTACTTGTCTTGATGTCTGTAGCTGAGAATGGTGAAAGTAATCCCAGTTATCGCAACCAAGGAGCTGATAACATTCATGCCCGTGACACCTTGACCCTGAAAGATAGTTTAAAAATGATAAAATAAATAAGATCGAAACCAAAGCAAAAATATCTTGTAAGAAATTTTTAGTGCTTTTATCTTTCCAGATACTTCTCAGGGAAGAGTTGTTCCATCAGGTCAGTATGATTGGAAGGCTTAATAAACTAAATTCTAACTCATTAAAGTCAGAAGACAAACCAAGTTTTAGAATGGGCTAAGGATGCTCTATGGCTAATGCTAAAGAAAATGTTCATTTTATCCCATTTTATCTCATTTTATCACCACCATCTTTCATAATCTGGAAGCAGTACAATGTGTTAGCAAATATCTTTGCTTGGAAATGAAACCTCATTTCAAGTCCAAGTTTCACTAGGACCTTAGGCAAGTAACCTAATCTCCTGGAATCTCAATTTCTGCCTTTAAAAATGTGAATGTGTCACCTAACTTTTAGGGTAGTATCCATTTATTCATTTATTTCATAAATATTTAATGTGCACCAGATACATGTGAGTACTGCATTAGGCCCTGGAGAAACAAAAATGAACAAAAGAGGTGACATCCTGCAATCATGTGGTTTACAGTCATTCCCTGGGAGAATTCAAGCAATAATCAACAGAATCGTTAACATTTAAAGATGTTAACCTATTTGGACTGGAGTTTAAAGGTGTTTTTTCTTGAACTCATTGTTGCAATAAAAATATTTCACACTGCCCCACCCAATTCCCTTTATTCATTCTTATTTTTTTGGAGGGGGGTGTGGGTGGGTGGGGTAGGTATATCCGAGTTCCTTTACAGGAAGGGGGTCATCTGATTTCTTCCTTCTTACCCACTCCCAGGACTGATATCACTCTTTTAAAGGAAAAACAAAGAAAAGCTTCACATTTCCATTCATCAGGTATTTGCTGTACCTTTATTGATTGTGTTATGACTACCGTGGTGGAAAATACAATGATGCCTTTACACAGCCAGTCCTTTCTGGAAGTTTGTGGCTTGGTGTGGCAAACCTCAGAAGTGTACTTGTGACTTAATGTTTACCTCAATCCCAGGTTTTTATTGCAAATAGGCACTTTGGCAGAAAATGCACAGGAACATATAGATAGGCCATCTCTCTCTTGGTCTTTAGTCCCCTTGTTTTCTCAAGGCTCTATTTTGGCTCCCATAGGACATTTTATAGACTAAGATCTCTAGATAATCAATCCCTCATGTGTATTGGGCTTTACAAAGAACATGCCCAGCCTAGTCTCTTCTGATTCTCATTATACTTTTGTGCTGTAGGAAGGACACTTGTTGTTATCCACATTTTACAGATAAATGGAATTAAGGAAGTAAGTGACTGTGAGCAATCACTTTCACGGTTTGTGGAAGGGCTGTGATGAAAAGCCAGGTCTTCTGATGCCTGGTTCAGCATCCTGCCTCCATCATTCCTGCACACCTCCATCTGCATAGCTCTCAGTGAGTCAGGAGTAGGTTTTCCTTACCCATAGTTTATTTCTCAGCTCTGGAAGGAAGTCAATACAGGGAGAACAGCATTTGGGGCTTCATCTGCATTGTCTGCATGTATTTCCATAAGCAGGGATGGAAACATTTATCTGCCCTCCCCTCAGAATGTCTCTATGCCTTGTAACTATCCCTAGAGGAAACTGGCAGAGGACCATAAGAACAGAGTTCAACTGACTTTCAGAGAGGCCCACATCCCCAGGACCTTAAACAAGATCAGAGTGGTTAGAAAGGAGTATGAACATTTAAGCATCATCTTGCCTTTTATCAGTAATGTCTCATTAAACTCTCAAAATAACCCTTAGAAGTAGGCACTTTTCCCTTCAGGTTAACACAGAAGTGAGTGATAGCCTTGGTTCAATCCTAGAACAATCCAGCATTGATGCCCAAACTCTTTCTTCCAGACCTTGGGCAGGATCTAAAGAAAAGCCTCGGTTGGTATTGGAGATAGGGCTAGGATTGGGAGGAAGAATTAGTGAGAGCTTAGGATTGGTTTTGGTTAGAGCAAGGTTTCTCAACCTTGGTACTATAAACATTTTTTGTTGGATAATTTTTGTGTTGGGGGGAGGCTGCCTTGTGCATTTTAGATGCTTAGAAATGTCCCTGGCCTCTACTCACTTGTTGCCAATAACACCAGTTGTAATGACCAAAAATGTCTTCAGATGTTGTCCAATATTTCTGGGTCCTGGGGGGTGCAGGGCAGGGAATTACCCCTAATTACAAACAATGAATTACAGGGATGCAGAATGGTTTCCAATAAACAACTCTTTTAGTTTACTTGACCAGGGAAATGGGAACAAGTGTAAGAATGTCTGTCAGGCAAACAGTGGCACTGGCAAATAGGAATGATCTGAACTGCAACTTTGATGCATACAGATTTTCCTGAAAGGTAACTTTATTACTAAAGGCTTCATACATAAAGATGATATAAAACAAATAGAAGATTTTAAATTTTATGTAGTTTAAGTGGCTTACCAGAAGTTTTGATTTCTTATCGGTTACTGTGAGGTATCCTGTAAGAATAAACTGTTAAGAAGACAAGAGACAAAAGTTAACAGGTGATGTGTTTGACCACCTTGCAGTATAATTTCCCTTGGATTTGCAAAATATCTGTTTGTGAATCTCCAAGACCATCCCGTTTTTCCACCTGAGCATCAGGGAGTAGGGAAGGTAGGCGTAGGTAGGGTAGGAAGAAACTTTGTGCTGGATTTGCTCAGCACTGAACAAGCGCTCTCTGCCAGGGCCAACTGGGACAGGCAGGCTCCTCTAAGATCCAGAGGACCAGATGTTTGATCCGGCTGGGGCTCCAAAAAGAGATTCCTGAGCTCTGGGCCTTGAAGAGAAGAGGAGGAGCTGTGCCTGTTCTGAGCAGGTGAAGGGAGACTTTCTCAAGGAAGACCCCTCTAAAGGCTGATATGGGGACTGATATCTAGTGTAGTTATCAGAGTCCCTCATTTCCCATGATCGTAGAGCCTAGTACCACCTCAGGAAAATGAGAACTCTGTCACTCCATGTGGAGTCCCTTACTTTTTTAATGTTCTGGGGATGGGAACCTTCTCTGTGGGAACTGGCCTTGGACCTTGGGGACATCTGGGTCTTAGAGTCCAAGGATCTGCAGCTGACTTGCAGAGATCAGAAAGTTACCTTTGATACCTCCCTCCGCTTCACTCCCCACATTGGATTGCCAAGTCCTGTCACTTCTACCTCCGAGTCACTCTCAAGGCTCTCCATCTCTAGCTCCATTGCCACCAAGCTAGTTCGGGAAACTCTTTCCTCATCTGTGTGTTTGTAGCCTCCTCTCATTGGATTCTCCTAGGTTTACTGTTATAATTGAATTAATTTCTCACTCTAAAAACACAATGATACTTCAACAAGTCTTCAAGTGTCACTATCCTCTTTAAAAACGTTCAGTGGCTTTCCCATGCTTTCACATTGAAGTTCCATTTTCTTAACATGACTATAGGGGTTGGCACGACCTGGTTACACCCTACCTTTATAGCCTCATTTTATGCCATCACGATAGATTCATTGGTCTTCTTTTGGTTACTCTTTCCCACATCAAGCCCTTGGCTCATGCTTTATCTTTGCCAGGGATGCTTTCCTTCCACTTCGCCTAGTGAGCAGCTACGCAGAAAGCACTTGCCTGACCTCCATGGTCAGGTGAGTCCTCTATTAAACCCTCACATCGCACCTGGAACTCTCCTCTTAGAGCACTTAGCACAAGTGTAGGAACAAATATTTGGGGTTACTTTTGACTTTTTCATGTCTAGTCTCCCAGTTAGATGACAAACTGTCTAAATCTAAGAACAATTCACCACTTCTCTCAGAGAGGAGCTGTTTTCCAGTATTCTCAGTCTCAGCACCTAGGATGCCATTGAAGACGCGGTATGTGCTCAGTAAATATCTTTTAAGTGAAAAGTAGAGTTTTCAAAAGCAGCATGCCAGAATCTCATTTTAATTCACACATGCAGAGTACACAAAGTCACACTGGGACAATTCTGTTGTGAAATGAGAAAGTGAGGGGTTGGTCTGTTTGATTTTCTACAGTATGGCATGTATAGTTTGAAAATCATATTGAATATTACATTATTTATATTGGGAAAATGAAAACACTGCTGGTTGTTTCTGAAATGCACATTATAGAAAAGGCATGGAGTATTTCTGTTTATCAAAAGAGACTGTGGATTTTTAATAGTCAGAGATAGTGGCCTAATTTATTAATTATTTCACCTATTTGTTGATTGATTGATTGATTGATTCATTCGTTCGTTCATGCACACTATGCCTCAAGCATGATTCTAGGTTCTCAGAATATAACAACTAAAACAGACAGTAACACTGCTGTCTTCTCAGGAGTGTATGTTATAGTAGGAGAAGCTCTAATGAGTCTGTCCTTAAATATTATGGCACAAAATTAGGAATCCAGGCTGTGGGGATTGGATAGAAATAGCACTGTATTAAGAATAATATTTATGGCTATATGATTATCTAGATGAGTGCCACTCATAAAGTTGTCTCTGGGGCTAAGAAGGAGGATGAGTGATAATAATTTTAAAATTCTTTTTAAGCTTTCAGAGTCTGTGATTCCATGAGTGCTAGCTAGGCTAGATATGTTTAAGTTATTCTCTACTTTTGAGCTCAGTTTCCTTATTTGCAAAGGAATAAGTAGGATATTTGTGCATCTAGTCTCCCAGGTTGGTATTGAGGAGCAAATGTCTTACTATACACACAAGGGCTTTGGAAACAAATTTTAAGCACCTGAGAGTAGTTATTACAATGATGATGGTAGTGCAGTGACCAAATGGAGTTGCTTCTTTTGCCGTGAAGGGAGCTGCCTTTTTTGGTCTCCTGGAGGGCCATATTTATGGAATTCATTACCCTAGGACGTGAAGCAGTTCAAATCTATCTTTATAGCAATTTCTCCAAAGCTTCTAATCGACAGTACTCACAATAAGTGCTCCCCAGAATGGATATCCTGTGAGGACAACAAGGGGAAGTCTTTGGGAGAAACCGATGTAATTAAGTGCAAATATAGTTCCAAAGCCCACAATGATTAGAGCAAGCAGGATCTGGGTAGCCTGTGAGGAGAGAAATGGGTACATGAGGTTACAAGTATCCAAGACCCTGTGGGCTACCCCACGTCCCTCAGGGTGTGCCTCCATGGCACACCTTTCCCTCCATCCAAATGCCTTCCTCTCTCATTTGTCAATCATTCTCAGATTGTTAAGAGACTCAGTTCAATGTGTTTCCTTCCCACTTTGCTTGCCTGGATCCTTCAGGTTCAAATCCTTCACTTTTATTCTTTATTATTTTCTATCTTCCCTGGTGTTACCAATTAATCTTATATCAGACAGATTTGAGTACATGTCTGACTACCCCCAGATTATAAGCTTCTTGAGCACAGGGACTATAAACTATTCACCTTTACATTTGTTTTTTCGTCTGTCTCACCAGTATCCTATTATTATCCTAACAGCCCCCACCCCCACATTTTCCAGCACTCAGTATAGGCTTTTGGAATTGGGGCTCATCCCAGTTGTCTAAAAATTTAAAAAGTTTGATGACATAGAGTGGAGAACCTGGGATGAGCTTGCATTTCACCTCCCCTTCATCCATGGACCCAACTAGGGATGAGAATAGCCCAGTGGGCCTATCAGCTTGTAGGAATCTGCAGGGAAAAGAATAGCAGCAGTGGTTCTCAGGGCGCAACTTCTCTGGCAGTCTAGATTTTGTCCCCAGGCCACATCTCTGGGCTGTGGCACACCAAGTAATGATTTTTGCTGTTGTACAAAGGATGGAGGCTGTGCATACAGCTCTCCCCTGGGTGCATTTGTGATGAAAAACGTTTTGCATGCCTTATCATTTGGTTCACTGTGGAGCTTTGAATATGGGTTTTGAAGCACTCCCAATTCCTTTAAGAGCATGAAGGGGAAGTCAAACCTCTCCACTTATGGTTTCTTAGCTTCAAGGGAGGTGCCACCACACCCTGAAGTCACTTCCTCAATGAGATATTTTAAAAAGTTATACTAGTTTCTTGCTTCCCCCTCTGCTGGGATTCAAAGATCAGTACTAATTTCTCATGTAAGGTGAAGGGGGAAAAGTAGAATTAACTCCCTCCCTGAAAATAATCTCTGCATATCTCTGCAGACATACATGAATAAATAAACTTCTTTTCTCCCCTTCTGGAAGACCTATTGACTGGAGAGGACTTACCCCCAAGACTCTTGGCTCTCCCTTCAGAAAATCCAGCAGAGAGCTATGAGGTCTGTAGGGAAATGCAGTCAATACAGTTTCGTTTGGTTTTATAGTGATGACGTGAGTTGCCCTTCTGTCCTGGGATGTTGACTCCATGATTCTATGGCAGAACTCTAGTAAGGGAAAGAGTGAGCAAACATTGCCGCCCAAATCATGATCTACCTCTCCACCAGAGTCACATGGAGCCCTCAGAGATGAGCCCTTAGTGATGACTCTACTCAGTAGTAGAATCTCAGAATCATAGTTGAGTCACAGAGTTTTAGAATTCTAGAGCATGCTCAGCCCCCCATCTTCCTGGTGAAAAGTACTGTATCCAGAAGACTTACTCTCTTGTCAATTTGCTTACAAACATATGGTAAACAAAGAATAGATGGTATATACGAAACAAGTCCTTACACATATGTTCATGAGTTATAAAGGAACTAAAACTTATGGAATATTCCTTATGTTCTGGGAACTGTGTAGAAGGTGTTGACATGCACTAACATTTATTCTTTTAACAGTTCTACAATACTGAAACTGAGGAACAGCAAGGTTATGTCACCCAAAGACATACAGGACAGGGAAGGGGCAAACTCAACTTGACCTGTCTCCAAAATCTATGTTTTTTAAACTCAGCCACGCTTCTGCCCTCCTTTGAAAGGAGTTTCTTTTACTTGATGAATTTTCTAACTTACTGTTTAACCATATTTCTCTGTATTATAAAAATCAGTAGATAACTTTGAATTTCGATTTTTTTCCATCTTTATTGAGGTATATTTGACAAATAAAAATTATATATATTTAGGGTGTACTACATGTTTTGATATACATATACATTCCAAAATGATTACCACAATCCAGCTAATTAACATATCCATCACCTCACGTAGTTATCTTTTTTCTTTTTTTGTAGTGAGAACATTTAAGAACATTTAACAATTCTTTGCATTTTCAAATTAAACAAAAAAAAATCAGTAGTAAAGATGCTATAGGACCAGATGGAGTTGCCCCTTTATAACAGAGAATATTTTAGCTTTCATAAAGTTAAGCAAAATCTAATGATAGTCAAATCCTTCCTGGTTTGAACTACACAAATACTAATTAAAACAACAGAAACTGCCTTTAGAAATTTTGCTTCCCATATTGATCCTTTATATTCCTAAATTTATTACAATTTTAACTATGAGATCATGAAGGTAAATTGTTTCATAAAACTAAAACCAATGTATACACATAATAACTTGAGTATTTCCTGGTTTGTAGCGACCATCGATAGCAGGGTATCTCAAAATGAGCACTGATGACATTTGGACTCAATAATTCTTTGTTGTAGAAAGTTATAAGATATATATATTTTAAACTATGCTACTCCTCATTTATTTAGGAAACCTCATATGCATAGAGAGTGCAAAGTTAAACTGCAGCCACACTGGAATTTCCATAATTGCCCAAGAAATCGAGTTTAATGCAGAGGCTCACACAGAACATATTACACAAAGAACAGACAAGATAATTGCAGCAATGACTGGGAAGAAAGAATACGCCCATGTGGTACAAAGTGCAGGGGTGATGATCTGAATTACAAAACTGTGCTATAGATCAAAATAGAGCTAATACCCAAACAAAGAAATAGACATTATTCTTTTCAGCATGAGCAGCATTTAGCTCCAAGCTAGAAGCAGAAAACATGCCAGTCAGAGATTATCTGTAACTTGTTAAGACTAAGATGTCTTCATTGACTCCTACCCTGAAATGACAGAAGAGAACATAGTTTATGTGCCAACGACTGAATATTCTTTTTTATTTTATTTTATTCATTTATTTAAAATAAATGAATTCAAAGACTATATATAGTCTATTTTTATTTTTATTTATTTTTTTATTTATTTTGAGATGGAGTTTTGTTCTTGTAGGCCGGGCTGGAATGCAGTGGTGCAGTCTCCGCTCACTGCAACCTCCCCTTCCCGGGTTCAAGTGATTCTTCTGCCTCAGCCTCCCAAGTAGCTGGAACTACAGGTGCGCACCACCATGCCTGGCTAATTTTTTGTATTTTTAGTAGAGACAGGGTTTCACCTTGTTGGCCAGGCTGGTCTCAAACTCCTGACCTCGGGTGATCCGTCCACCTCGGCCTACCAAAGTGCTGGGATTACAGGAGTGAGCCACCGCGCCCAGCCAAGAAGGCCATTTTTAAACAATAGAATGAGCACCACTGGTTGGTGCCACAGGATTGCAGAGATTTGGATTTACATGGTAAGATTCATGGGAGGCAGGGACATGCTTGCTGTGTGTTGAGAGGTAATCCTAAGCACTTGAGAAGATCTCTTTGCTGTCTTCCACCTAATGGCTCATGAAAAAGGGCCCAGTAGATCTGTTTCTCAGAGAGTGTCCAGGGCAGAGTAGTTTAATTATATATAGTCTTTAATTTTTAATTAAAGTTTTCTTACAATCCCTAATATGTAATATTTAAGCAATATGAGTGTGAAAATAATACAGAAACAGCCTGCAGAGTCACGCAACTTACCAAATTCACACTAGCATGAGTGCACATTTTCCCTTCTGTGTATCACCTTCTGCTCAGTTTACCCAAAGCAGTTTATAAAGTTTATGACCATTTTGGAAGACTGGCTGATAACATTTATTGACTTGGGCTTTGAGGAAATTATTTTCAAGAGAAATTAAATAACGACTCATAGTAAACAAATACAAAACAAAAGCTTTTTTTTTTTTAGTTTGTTTCACAGTATCTAAAATGGCAGAGATTTCAGGAAAGTCTAATCACACTTGACCATGAGTGTTGAGTTGCTTTTCCTTCCTCTGAGGCCAAGAGTTACTTATATCCAAGACCGTGAAGAACTCTTTTTGACCTGTTGGATATGATCTTGTGACTGGGTCGAGGAAAATGAACTCTAGAAAATACATAATTGGTTAGAATTTTTAAACTTTGATTTCGGAGATTAAAAAAGATAACTCATAATACCTTTTCCCCAAGTTTTGTGTAGTACTAGTTCTTCCAACTTTGCCATAATATGTAATTGCAGCAATATTAATTAAAAATAATGCAATTCTCCAGTCTGCTAATTATTTTACTATTTTAAATAGGATCATAGTTAAATCATAATTCATCCAAATTCTATAAACATTTCTTTTGTTGTTGTAGCCTTTAGGGGAAATGAAAATATTTTAAAATTATAACATCAAGAGCTAAGGGGATGTAAGGAAGAGCACAGGGAAGCATAAACAGGACAGAGACATTCTAGTAAAGTCTCATCACATTAACAAGGAAACTTGGCTAGGGAGACTCTCTCGGGAGGCAGGTAGCTGTGTTCCCGATAAAAGTGAGGGGATACGCGTTCTCATTCTCAGCCCAATAGTCTGTGTCATTCATTTTCTATGTAATTTTATCCAAGCCGTGGTTCTTTCATGAGGGGTTGGGCTATGTGATTTCTAAAACCAACTAGCTTCATATTAAGCAATTCTCTAACTGGTCTGCTTCCCAGTAGACACCAGCTGATCCCAGATGACCAGAGTGTCCTCCAGAAGGAGCCCATTTATACAAACTCTTTTTTTTTTTTGAGACTGAGTCTCACTCTGTCACCCAGGCTGCAGTGCAGTGGTGTGATCTCAGCTCACTGCAACCTCCACTTCCTGGGTTCAAGCAATTCTCCTGCCTCAGCCTCCCAACTAGCTGGGACTACAGGCGTGTGCCACTGCACCTGGCTAGTTTTTCATATTTTTAGTAGAGATGGGGTTTCACTGTTAAACTCATTTTTTTAATTATAAAAGTGGCCTTCCACATGCACCTCATGAACAATAATTGATTCTTCTTTTTGCCACTTTTTGAGGTTGGATTATTGTAGCCTGGACCTGAGACACAGCAGGTATCAGGCGACATGTCAGCATACTCACCCCAGGGTTGTTGGAGTAGAGCTGTTTCCACCAAAAGACAGAACTGTATGCAGCTAATAAGAGCTCCAGCACAGTGAAGATGAGCATCACCACTAGGACACCCTGCAAATCAGGACATGAATGGCTGGTACCCAAGACAAGCTAGCCCTTGTGCCTGGCTAAGAGGAGACAGGGCGATGAGGCTCCAGCAATGCAGAGAAAAGGAGACAGGGAAAATTGCTTAATCCTCTTTTCTGCTTTCTTTTTCAGATTTCTTAATAGATGAAGGGAAATAAGCAGCAACGGCATCATCTCAGAACTTTGGTATCCCACCTAATGATAGATGAGAGTAATCTGCCACTTATCTCTGGTTGCTTTTATTATTTTCTTTTTGACTATGGTGTTTTTATTGTCATGATGATATTTCTAGGTGTGTATTTGATTCTGTGTATCCTGCAGTGGTCTCAATGCATTCCTTCAATCTGAAATCTCATGTTTTTATTAAATTCTAAAAAATTTCTAGTTATTTACTTTTGCATATACTCTCTCTTTTATAATCTCTCACTGGGACTCCTACTAGATATGTACTGAACCTCTCCACTTCCCTGCATCCATCATACCTTTTAGGCTTTCATCCATCTTTTCCAAACACACATAATGTGTTGTGTTCTGTGTGATTTAATCAAATCTAAATTCCATTTCACTCTTTGTTTCCTTGAATATATTGAATCTGCTGTTTAACTGATCTGCTCAGTTTTTAATTTCAAAGACAATTTTCATTTCCAAGTATGTGATTTCATTTTTTTCTCAAATGCACATATCTTTTTTTTCCTTTACTGTCCTTTTTTTTTTTTTCCATTTTGGTTTCTATTACTTTTTTTTTTTTTTTTAGACAGGGTCTCATTCTGTCACCCAGTCTGGAGTGCAATGGTGTGATCTCAGCTCACTGCAACCTCTGCCTCCCGAGTTCAAGTGATTCCCCTGCCTCAGCCTCCCAAGTAGCTAGGATTACAGGCATGTACCACCCTCCCTGACTAATTTTTGTATTTTTAGTAGAGACAGCATTTCACCATGTTGGCCAGGCTGGTCTCAAACTCCTGGCCTCGGGTGATCCACCCGCCTCAGCCTCCCAATGTGCTGGAATTACAGTTGTGAGCCACTGCACCTGGCCTGGTTTCTATTACTTTTTAAACATCTTTAATGATTTAAAATGTATTTTCATAATAGCCTTGTTCAAATTATTATGTTATCTCCAATTCTTGAGCTTCTGACTTTCATGTTTCCCCATTTGCTGCCGCTACTCATTTTTTTGTGCTGTTGTTATGTTTCTCATAATATTTTGGTTATTAGATAACTTCAGTTTGTAGATGGTGGTAGTGGTAGGGTTCTTTGATAGGGAGGCATCTTATAAGTTGGGTTTACGGACATCTCCTTAGATAGTAGTTTTAGATTTGATTCTGCTAGAACCTTAGAAGTTTCACATATCTCGTAACAGTTTTTAACTTAATGCTTTTATTTGAGGTCCCCCTATTTTATATGTAATTATGAATTCAGATGGCACACTTGCACAAAGCTTAGTGAGCTGACGGAAGGTTTTCTTGAAACTTCTTGGGATGTTGGGCAGAATTTTCCTTATATTATTTTCACAAATTGAGTAAATATTCAGTATCAGCTTTCAACATTTTTGCAGGGTACTCCATATGAGCTTTATGGCCCTGTCCAATGCCAAATCTTGTCATGGATGTTAAAACTGTGTGATCCTAGCCTCTAATACCAATATTCCTATTCAGACTTCCTTGGTATTTTGGCCTCAGCTCTTGTTTGATGATTTGGCTTTAGGATCCTTCTTAGCTTCTGGAACCTAAGTCATCTTTCTTCTTAGATTTGTTTTTCCTTCTGCCCTCCCTTCCTTTCTTCTTCCAACTTTGGCTATATATTTTTTAATTTTTAAAATTTCATTACTTTTGTTCAGGTAATTGCTGTGTTAATTAACAAAGAGTAGGCCTTTGGAGTCTGCTTAGTCTGCTATGTTGCAACTTCTCTCATATTGTAGGAAGTTCTTTTGGACTCCAGTTGTCTCAGAATGGGAAGCAGTTTGGGGTAATGAAATTCATTTTCTTTAAATTAAACCCCCAATATGCCTCTCCCACCCCCATTGCTTTACCACATGTCTGTCCTACACCAGGATGACACTATCTACTGGGTTTCCTCCAGACAGGTCTCTGTGCTCTTCCACTTCCTCAAGCTCCTGAACCAAAGGGGTTGCTTTTGACAATCTCTGGGTCACATGAGCAGACCCACAGGAGTGCAAAAGCTTGCACACATTTTCTGAGATTTGTGAGATAGATGGATCCAAGGGAATGAGAGATACTACCTTGGGTTCCCTGTGCTCCTACTAGGAGGATTCATAGAGGAAGAAGTCTTTCTTCTTAAAAGGCCACTGGTTTATGGTTTTAACACCATGATACTATATTTATAGGATTGAATAAGCAAGGCTTGTCACCACGAACAGGTAGTGATCATCAAGTTTGGGAGAAAGGTGCCAAGAAAATGCTGCCCAGAGAGGTTGACATTTTTTCTAGAAGTCAAATCCGTTGTCTCCCTTCCCACCACTCTCTGTCAGCCCTGTTAGACCAAAGTACAAAATAACTATGTATTTGGACTTAAGGTTCAAGTTTTGTGCCTAACATAATGTAGCATACAGGCTTGCATTTGAAGATTAACTTAAACACCGTACAGCCTCTGCTAGTCCTCAATTCACTGATGATCAGAAGACAAGCATCTTTAAGGGGTAGGGGCATCCAACCCCTGGAAAAGAACCCAAAAGAATCCCAAATTAAAATATAATTCAAATGAAGAATATTTCTGCCTGTGATGAGTAGGAAGAATATTTCTGCCTGTGATGAGTACAACAAAGGTTGTACTTTAAGAGTTAAACCCATTAAGGTTGGAACGTTTGTGATTAAGAAAGACCAGTGGAGGGATAGACTCCCTACTGTCCTTCATGATTTCCTCTTTTGACTTTCTATAGTACATCCCCCACACCATGCAGTCAGCAGACAGGCCTCTTCCAACCACAAGTTTTTGTTTATTTCTGTCTGTCTCCAGGCATTCGGACCGACCAACCAGAGACTGCCAGAAAAGCAGAGAGTATGCAAAGGGGAGACACAGAGATTTCACATGACAGGATATTCAGTCTGAAACTACTCACTGTTAAACTGACACTGGTCAGGAGACAATCTTTGATTTCATATATTGGATAATAGTACTCCGAATAAGGCAATGAGGATAGATAATCCATTTCTGAGCCACAATGTTGAGAGGCAGTCCTCAGGGCTACCATGCTGTCAGCAAGGAGGAAGAGGCCTGCTCCTGCAGTAACAGAACTCACTGCATTTGAGGTCAAGCTGCTCAGGTCCTGGAAGAGAAACTCTGCATTGGGTTCTCATCACAGAATCAGCACGTGACACTATTAGTCCTCTGTCCATTGTACTGCAATGGTGCTTCCTTGGGTCTGTTTCCTTCCTGTTTCCTTGTGTGGGCACAAACTGTGTTTTATTCATCTTTGTATCTCTTGTCGCTATTTAGTTAATCATGTGATATAATTAGTAAATGCTTATTGAATAAGAAAATGCATGGATAATTCCTCCTTAGGGAGAGGGGTTCTGGCCCATTGACTCTCTATAGCACTCAAGATAGAGACAGTGCTGCTCAGGTCACTGCCAACATCTCCCATGACTTCCTCAATAGCCTTAGAATCATTCTGTTGCCTTCAGGGCTTCTAGAATATGGACTTCGGTCCCCTCTGGTAAACTGAATCCATGACTTTGATTTACATAAAAGAGCAGCTTCAGAGAAAAGGTGGAGGCAAACTGGAAAAGTTGGAAAACCTATCTATAGGTCTGTGGGAACATAAAATAGGCTTTCAATTGACAAGCAATTGATCTTGAATTGACAATCAATATTTGTTCAATATGACAAGCATATGCCTTCGATTTTCCTAAGTGACAGGGCATGAGGCAGAGGCACATGGGCTTAGACCCTGTGCTTCTCTCTCCACCCATTCACAAACAGAAATATTATCAGACTGTAGCCACTTTTCCCACAAACCTTGGAGGGAGAAAGGGAGGAAGCAGCTATAAAGCCTTTGCTTCTCTCCGTAGCAGCCTTTCTCTCTTCCCTGCCACACACCCATAGAGGTGATTTAGGGAAAAGCCACATCCTGACTCAAGAAGATACAGGGCCTGGCTAGGCACAGATGAGGACACATGGATGGTGCATGAGGCTGGTATATGCTCCTGATGATTGAAGCTGCAGTCTAGAACCCAGGATTATGGAAGAGGGTTTTGAAGAGTTCACAGCATTCATTGGTTGGAGTCATAGTTCTGGACTTAGAAACTGAAATCCTCTCCTCCTATCCCAGCTCTGTCACTGACCCATCTGTCACTGATCCATCTGTGTGCTTGAGCAAGTCCTTCTTACTCTGGGCTTCAGTTATCTCTTTTATAAAATGTGGAAGATGAATCTTCTGATCTCAGAAGTGGCTTCCCAAATGCACTGAATACACAGAAAGGGAAATCTATGCTTGGACTTGACAACAATGTGGGCTCCACAAGTGGGACAAAGAACAACATGTGGGCTCCATTGCTCATATGGTAGCTTTGGGCAAAGATACTGCCCACTGGGACTACTTTTCCTTCAAAGACTCAGCACATGAATCCATATAGCTACAGAGCTGGAGTAGAAAAGGGCAGGACAACCATCCTTCCCAACATACATTGTCTTCCAGTGATGCTTAAACAGAGAGGAGCATGTGCTGGAAACCTCGCACAGAGCCTGGCACATCAGTGTCTTTGCTAGTGAATCGTCATGCTATGGGAGAATCCTGTCTCCTAAAATGTAGAAGAGGAGTTGGGAAATGGTGTGGTGAATGTGGTTCTCATAGGCCTGATCCACCTGTAGGTAGGTATTCCAACTTCTTCAGTTTGCTTTTGTCTTTTCTCTGAAGCCGCTCTTTTAAGTAAGAAGACATACATTGGGTTTCTAGGGAGGGACCAAAGGTCATATTCTAGATGCACTTAGGGCAATATAATAATTCTAAAGTTGTTGAGGAAGCCAGGGGTATGTTGGCAGTGGCATGAGTGGTATTGTCTTTGAGTTTGGTGCTGCAATCAGTGCTGACATTGCAGACATCCCCCTCACCCCTACTCCATCACCCTCATTTTCTCCCACCTTACTTTAAACTGATTTTTTTTCTCAAACATCCAATTATCAAGCATGAGTCTTTGGATGGAAATAGTCTCCTCCAGCCTGGATGAAGACGGCAACACCCTCTTCTGACAGGGGAATGAATGCCTCCCCACCTGATATTTGACTGAAAGAAGTTTATTTCAGTTGCTTAAATAGTAGAACTTTGAAAATATATCATGGACTTCTTTCAACTTGTTACCACGGTCACAGAGTAGGGTAAACCAGTTATTCTGCTTTGCCTGGGGAGTAAGGGGTTTCCCAGGATATAGGCTTTCTGGGCTAAAACTGAGACAGTCCTGGGAAAACCAAACAATTGGTCACCCTGACGCTGAAGGGCTAGAATTTGTGTGAAGTCCCAACTCTATGAATGGGGACATTTGGCATCAAAAAGAACCCCAAGAGGCAGGTTTTATAGAAAAAAGGATCTGTAGGCTCTCTCTGGGATGGGTGGCTACCTTATTCAAGGTCAAGGTTACAAGCTATAAAGAGTCCATGGTACATTTAAAAATGTACACTTTTTAAATAACTGAGGTAAACCTCCTCCAAGCTTGGAATATAATCCAGGAGCAACATTGTGTAGACGAAAGAGCACTGGTCTAGAAGGCAAGAAATTTGGGCTCTACTCTTGGTTCTACCAATGGGACAGCCAGGAAAACCTGGGCTTCCTAGCCTGTTCTAAGCTTTTTCTCTCTAAATTGTAAAATAGGGATTTTTAAACTAGAAGAATTAACTCTGACGTTCCTTCAATTCCAACCAGCTGAGATTTGATGGTCCTTATACTTACAAAGGGCTTAGTTGATTGTTTTCCAGAGATAATTGAGAGGGATCCAGTAATGCCAAACTGCCCAGAAGAGAGAGAAATGATCAGTTCAGTTGTCTTGTGGAAATGTGCCCACCATGTCACTGTCAATCACTCAATCAAAAAGTGATGTTGGAAAACTTTTAGGGAGAGAACACTGCAGAAATCTTGTGGATCTATATTGCTAGATAGGCCTAATTCCCACCTGATATAAGAATGTCTATATTGACTTTGAATGACATGCAGATGCACAGAGGGGTTGGATTTGTTTTAGTGGAAATCACTAGGAACTGAGGAGGCCTGGAGAAAAGGTGTACCTGGGAAGGAGAAGAGTGTTACTAAATTACAGGGTTGAAAGAGAGGAGGTTGAGATGGACCAATGACTTGAATGGACAGAGAGATTGGAACAGCCAACAGAAGCACTCAGGAAAGAGGCTCTGATGGGACAAGGTGCAGAAACACATGGACTGGAAGTTATTGGTGTATGTTGCTTGAGTCAGAATGGGAGTCGAGGAAAGTGGGAAGAGCAGGCTCAGACGTGAAGTCTTTATCATAAAGCCCCAGAAATCAGTATTTAATCTCAGTGGTATTAAAGATCCAGCTGGCAGAGGAAGGGTATTCTGAGAAGCTGAAAAGTTGCTTAAGTGTGTGGCTTGGATATTGAATAATCACAGGCAAAGAGGGTCCAGTATGAGCTAACGCTAGCTTCTCTAAGGAGATGTGGGGCCCACAACCACTGGTTACAGGAGAAGTCAAGGACAAATTGTGCTCTGGGGCAGGACCAGGGCCTCCTTATGTGACTGCACAGTTTGTGTTCACACAGGGACTGTATCCACACAGAAGTGGTACCTTAGTATAGTTCATTTGCCCAGAATATTTGATTTTTATCCTTTGTACCAAATACTACGTGGAGAAGAAATAACCCTTTGTGGGAAGTGTGAGTCTGCCCTGGCCACTCTCTGAAAAATGGATCTACTGGGCCCTTTTTCATGAGCCATTAGGTGGAAGGCAGCAAAGAGAGTTTCTCTAGTGCTCAGGGTTACCTCTGGACACACAGCAAGCATGTCCCTGCCTCCCATGAATCTTACCCTTGTTAATCCAAATCTCTGCAAACCTGTGGCATCAACCAGTGGTGCTCGTTTTATTGTTTAAAAATGGCCTTCTCACTCTCTACCTGAAAAGTTGATTATTCTTACAATGGAGGGAATCCAATGGCCTCATCAAAGCCTCAAAGAGGGATATGGAAAATCATCCACTTTTCTAGAGGTATGCTGTAATGCCAGGTAAGAAATTCTGTGCTGGTATACCCATTGTATTACCATTCCCTCTTGCCCCCTGCTCTGCAGGAAGACAGATTAAGTCTCTCTGCTGCTCTTCTTGAATAGGGGAAATGTGACGTGGGGCAATGATAGAAGGAAAGTCGAGGCCTTGCCGCCTTTTGCCTCCTGGCCTCTTGGAGTCTGAGTCACTCCACGACTATGCACCTGGTTAGCATTTATAAAGCATGTCCCCTCTTAGAGTCCCCATTCTACTCACACACAGAGCTCCTAAAAATGGGTACCCAGACATCAAAGTGGTGGAAATTGCTGGATTGAAGTGGGAGGGGTAGGGAGCAAAAACCAAGATGGCCCCCAGACTTGAAATCAACAGGCAACACAGGATCTGGACAGTCTACAAGAGAGAAGACAGGAAATCTAGACTGCACTTCAAACAGATAAAAGTGATTATTTGAATGCACACGGTAAAGTATAAAGAGTATAAAATACATTATAATTTGTTATATTAAAGAGGAAAAATGTTACAAGGAGCCAATCGATATGCTTCTAGAGAAAGTCATGTATAGCTAACCTCTTCTTTTCTGATAGGATTATTAAACCAGCAAATCGGAAAGTGATCATACACACATTTTAACTTTTTTTGAAAAAGATACTTGACAGTTTTTAAATTTATTTTCTTGAAAAGTAGATAAAAAAGTTGTCCAGTGAGGTGGAAATAGAGAGCAAACTTTTCACAGGAGTGTTAATGAAGAGATTTTTCAGTTGAAATTAGATAGAGCAGGTCATCTCTTCTGCTGTAATTCATCTTATTTTGTTCATCATTGGATTTTAATAATAATTATTTCGCAAGTGGAAGAACTGAAGTTTAGCTGTTAGCTTGCTCTAAAGCCCATGCTTTTGCTCATAGTTTAATGCATGTGCAATTGAAAGATGATGCAAACATAGGAGAAATAAAAAAAGAAGTCAACCATTCACATCATCAACAGTTATTGAATACCACAACAGGTATGTTGTGTGCCAGGCACGAGGGAATGAAGCAAATGAAAATCACTACCATTGGAGAGCTTATATGTGTACTATGTCTTGTCTGTAAAGGTACAGACAAGTTCCATGCAAGGCAGAATAGAGTTAAGAGCAAAGTAGTAGGACATGAGGCTTGTGAAGTACTGGAGGCATGGTACAAACTATGTAGGGATTTTTAGGCTATGTTTTACCAACTTTGCTTTTCATTTTGAGCAAAAAAGGAATCCCACTGGATAATTTTGAGCCAGGAGAATACATGATCTAACTTTCATTTTTAAAAGAGTACCCTACCTGCTGTACTAAGAATAGATTGTAAAGAAACAGGGCAGGGAGATCCATCTAAATAGGCAGTGAATAGGACCTGGGTATTATAAGAGGGTATTCAAAACCACATGGAGATTAAAGTTCTGGATATGAGGGATGATGATCTGGGACACTTGGATGTCTTATAGTTACTCATATGAACGGGGAAAAATGGGTCATGAGATTAGTCTTGATCGTCTCATCTCAAAATATTTGAAAAATAAGCTCAAAGTTAATTTAATCATATTGAGTAAAATCCATATGGTTAAATAGAAAATTTTTACTGTACTAATGACAAAATAAGAAAGACTAATTTGTGGCTGGGCACAGTGGCTCATGCCTGTAATCCCAGCACTTTGGGAGGCCAAGGCGGGCAGATCACAAGGTCAGGAGTTCAAGACCAGCCTGGCCAGTATGGTGAAACCCCATCTCTACTAAGAATACAAAAATTAGCCGGGCGTGGTGGCGTGCACCCATAGTCCCAGCTACTCGGGAGGCTGAGGCAGAAGAATCACTTGAACCCAGGAGGCGGAGGTTGCAGTGAGCTGAGATCGTGCCACTGCACTCCATGCTGGGTGACAGAGGGAGATTCTGTCTCAAAATAAATAAATATATAAATAAATAAAATAAGAAAGACTAACCTGTTAATTGTGAAGCATGCTAGTGAAAAAGATCTAGTGGTTTTAGTTTCTAGAAACTGCTGCAGAGCTTTAAGAGTCTTCCCTTAAAGCTCCATTTCATGTCCTCATTAGCCTGGAGTCAGCCAGAAAAGAGTGAAAGAGTTTCCCAGACCCACTGTAGATCTGTAGTCTAGATACATTTACAAAGTATTTTCTCAGTATTCCCCTTATAATGAGGTGGACTTACCCCAAGAACGGTGGTTTCTGTTGGCAGCCCGTTCTGCAGGTAATCTTCGTTTTGGTACATGTGTCCAGGTTTCTCTCTTTGAGGGATAGTGATGCCCTTTGGTGTAAAGCTGTGAGAAACCCCCATGGTTTGGGATTGTAATAGCATGATGCTGATGATGCTGGAAGAGGCATCAAAACTCAGTTACTTCCCAAGGTTTGACTTACAGACATAAACTTCCCAGGGACCATACTTTGTAGGAACTTAAGAAGGTATTTGCCATTATTCCAAGGCTGGTTGTCCTTCAGAAACAAAACATGGGGATCAGTGGAGCATTGGAAAGTGGGCATGCTGGGCACAGTTCATCCATTGTGGTCAAGAAGCATGTCACTGGGAGAGTACTGTACACATTTTGAGGGGTCCCACAATTGAGAGGTGAGCAAATCACATAGAACTTGCTTTGTAGCCCTGAATGTGTCCATCTCCCTCTCCCTCCAGTGACCTCTGCTTCCAGCTTCCCTTCCCTATCTCCTGTATCTCTGCTTCACTTGTGCTACCTTCTCACACCACATCTTCCAGGATTACACTTTTATGCTACACCTGCACTGATCAGTCTTCTACTCCAGTCTTCATTTTGTCTTCGTAAAAATGTTGAGGATGAATGCTGTTCCACTTTCCTTTCCTATAGCGAGATGGCCTGTCCCATCCGGAATCTTCCTCCTTGCTTATATTGGCTTCGTAATTAGTAATGTAAACATTTACTTAACTCCTGCTGAATTCCAAGCATTAGACCATTGCAGCTCTAATCCTTATAACAACCCTGTAACTTACATGTTATTAAATCAATTTTATACATTAGAAACCTGGGGCTAATAAGCTCAAGTGACTTTTATTGAATGAAATAGTCACATAAAGTACTTAGCCTGGCACTTAGAATGTGTTCAATATATGGTAGCAAATATTAACAGCCTGTGTTTACATGACTGGATTGAGACTTGTCTGGCTCAGACGCTTGTGATATTTTTTTCTCTATGCCATGTTAATTCTCCTCCTCTTCCTCTTCCTTCCTTTCTTCCTTCCTAACATTTCCAGTTCCCTTGTAGATTCCAGGAGCAAGTTGTCTGCCACCACTAACTCAGCAGCATTGCTGGGCCTCTGTGGTGTCAGCAACAAGGCTCAGCACCTGAAATGTTGCCCAGATTTGTTTTCAGCTCAACATTCTCCCTACTGAAGGCCAGAGTTTAGTTAAAGGCTTGTCATCCTTGAAAGGTGCCACAGCTCTGCTGCCTGACATTTTGCCTCAATGTGTTGGTGCTTTAGGAATGGTTCTGGCCTCTCTTGGGTGGAGTGAAGAACATGTAAAAATTGGAAATGACACCTAGAATCTCTTCCTAGTGAGGGAGATGGAAAAGTGCACTGGGATGGGAGTCCAATGCCTAGGCATCTAGTTGCACATCTGACCATATGTCTTGGAGTCCAGTCGTGTGTTCAGATCCCATATCCACCAGTTACTGCTAAACTCACCCTGGGCAAGGTATTTTCACCACTTCATAGGTTTGTGGTACAGGTTGGATAAGATGACACATATAATGGACTCAGCATAGGGGGAGGCATGTGATAAACTCCCAAAACATATCAGTTTTATCTAATATTCATTGGAAGCCCAGTTCTGATATTGATGAGCTGGCCGTAGGCAGGATACTTTCCCTCATTCATCCCCAGTTTCCTTATCTGTAAAATAAGGATAATGACACTATCCTGAAGGACTCTTGTGAGGATTTGAATGACACACGTGAGTGTCTTTTGTTGTAACTCTCTGAGTTTTATCAGGTGTTCCATAATAGTCGATCCATGTTTGGACCTCCATTTTATTTCTACTCCTAGATCTGTGCCTTAGTCTAGTTTCTCATGCTCTCCGGGCATGAGATACTTTATCTGAAGAATTATTAAACCTAAAGTTCTCTTTGTTTAAGGAGATAGTTTTCATTTCTTGGAATTTTGAAATCTGGGTAGAAGTGTGGGTGAGGTTACATGTCCTATGAGGGGAATAATGTTGAAGCTGAATCCCTGCAGTGGAGTCAGGGTGAGCCTTCCAGCACATCTTTAAAGCCAGAGAAGGAGAAAAAGTGTCAGGCTTAGAGAAATTCTAGGTTCCAGAATCAAACAGTAGTTCATGATAAAATGATAATCATTGCTAACATTGATTGGGCACGTACTATGAATGTGGCATTCTATTAAGAGCTTTGTGACAGTCTCATTTAATCTGCAGTCTCAGAGATGGGTGCTGAACTTTGAAGATAAGAAAAATGAGGCTTGGAGAGGTGAAATAGCTTGTGCAAGATTGCTTATCTAGCAGGTAGTGGAGGCAAGATTTGGGCACAGGCCATCTAACACCAGAGCTCTTCTATATCCCTGTAGGTTTGTTCTTGCCCGGCTAGCTACAACTGATTCTCATCCTCTCTATTCTTCCTCCCCTATTGTTGAAGCATTGGCTGCCACTCATCAGTTCCATATCCTCTCCCAGGGACATTGCTGATCTTAGGGAATATAGGTTGAAGATTTCTTTTTCCCAACTTGCTTTCATGTTGTAGAAACTTGGCTTTTACCTTGCTCTGTGTGGCTCAATAGCCCAAATATACCAACTAGACTCCTTCCTACTAGTCTTCGTCACCAGCCTCCTGAGTTCTGGGTTCCTTTCTTTATTTTTCGAATCTCATACCTAAGGACTGCAGAAAATGCTTGATTCTCAGCCTGAAGCTAGGACTCGAAAGTTTAATTGATACTTTCAGGCTATAGCCTATCTGATACCATGAACATTTATTTTCCTTTGTTATTTCTTAACTGTTTGTTCTGTTTGAAAGAGTGCATAAAGTACCACCATTACAAGGGAATACAGTTTGAAGAAGAAAACAAATTAGCTCCTTAACTTTCAACTGCCACCCGATCACTCTTGTTTCCTATGCACATATTCTTTACATTCTCTCTTCCCATCTGTCACTTTATCTCTCTCCTCTTTATATATGTTCACAGACATTCACAATTCTACGGAAATAGTCATTCTATCCATGCCATTTTATAACTGTTCTTTTTGTACTCAACATTATTCTGTAGACATCTTTGACCGATGAATAGAAATAATAAAAAGCCTAAATTTAAAAGCAAATGATAGATTCTGATACATGGCACAACATGGATGAACCTTGAAGACAATATGGCAAGTGAAATAATCCAGTCACAAAAGGACAAATATTGTATGATTCTACTTATGTGAGGCACCTAGAAGAGTCAAATTCACTGAAAGTAGAATGGTGGTTGCCAGGGGCTGGCGGGAGAGGGGAATGGAAAGCTATTGTTTAATGGGCACGGAGTTCCAGTTTGGGAAGACAAGAAAGTTCTGGAGTTGGGTGGTGGTGATGGTTGCACAATGGTGTGAATGTGCTTAATGCCACTGAACTGTACACCTAAAAATGGTTAAGGCTGGGTGCAGCGGCTCATGCCTGTAATCCTAGCACTTTGGGAGGCCGAGGCGGGCAGATCACCTGAGGTCAGGAATTCAAGACCAGCGTGGCCAACATGGTGAAACCCCGTCTCTACTAAAAAAATACAAAAATTAGCCAGGCATGATGGTGAGTGCCTGTAATCCCAGCTACTCAGGAGGCTGAGATGGGAGAATCGCTTGAACCTGGAAGACAGTGGTTGCAGTAAGCCGAGATCACGCACTCTAGCCTGGGTGACTGAGCAAAACTCTTTCTCAATTAAAAAACAAACAAACAAACAAACAAAAAACAACAAAAAAACACATGGTTAAAAGGCTACAATTATTTTAAGCATATTTTACTACAACCAAAAAGCCAAATGGTATATTTAAATAAATGGAGGTCTCTAGATTCATTTAATCAATCACATGTTCATGACTATTTAGGTGGTTTCTATTTTTTCTTTTTGCCACTATGAACAATGCAATAATGAACATCTTTGCACTTTTGTGATACCTCCTGCATTTAATTATCTCACAGTGATGTATGGAAGTGGAATTATTACATTTAAATCTATGACACTTGAATTTAGATACACGTTGCTACTTTTAGAAGGAATCCTATATAACCAAGATTCTTTATGTTTCACAAAAGTCTCCAGACTGATGCTATCATCTCCAAACACCACAGTCTGAGAGGATGCTTTGTCCTTCCACATTCGCCTTGAGGAGATAGACTGGAGGGACCCACAGCTTTCAAGACAGCTCTAAAATCCGTGCTTTGAAGATAAATCATGACATGGAGGTCAACAGCTCTGCCCAGCAATTTTCTGTATTACAGAATTAGAGTAGGACCATGGGGTTCTAATGCAAGATTCAGTCTAATTGCACAGTATTTGTTGAGAGTAGACTCTGTAAGACTGAGTGACACACCAGGAGAATGCAGAACATTGAGGAAAATCACCTCAATGAGGGAAACCTAAGAATGGTTTTACCCAATTTTCTTATTTGACAAGTGAGTAAACTGAGACCCAAAAAGGGGACTGAGCTGACGCTCCAACTCACACAGGTGGTCAGAATCAGAGACAGGATGATAATCCAATTCCCTGGCTGTCTTTTCAAAAGCACACAATCTTCCCCAAAAGTCATGATCTAAACCAAGGTGTCTACCTGTTCTCGCAGCCTGGTCCTGTGTGCTGTGGCTGGGGATCAGCTCACCTCTGGGGAGCGCTCAGCTGGAACCTCCCACTGGCTGTTCCTGCCAGAACGATCTTGGTGCTCTGCTCTCCAGCCTCTGAGACTTCCTGTCCCTTTCTTAGAGCAGTATTTATGATTACACAGGATGTGAATTTTGCTGTAGTTACAGACAGTTGATATATAAAAAGTGCCTCTGCTTCCTCTTTCTAAATTCTGAGGTCTGGCAAAATGACACAAGATAGAAGTGACACATGAGAAAAAGACCTTTGTGCAGACTAGTGATTTGTACGGTCCCAGTTAAAATTCATTTTCCCTACTCCTACATAGAATTATTTAAGTCATCTAGTTTTGCTTAGCCTGAGTTTTCTTGTCTATTAAATAAATGGTGGATGGATAATAATAATTCCACTCTGTGGGTGTTGGGAGAATTAAAGAAAAAAGATGCAAAGAGTTTACAAAAAGTAGACAATAAATATTGATAATAGTAATGTTAGTTTTGAATTTTGGAGAATCTATTCTCTCACTTTCCAGGCTCTTGGTAAGCTGAAAGCAACCTGTGGAAAATTCCGTGTCTCCTTGTTACTTCTTTTGGGTGTTTCCATTCTCCATCTTTGGCCTCATGCTCAGGGAAGTCCAGGCACATCTTGGGAAAGATGCCAGTGGATTGGCCTCAGAGGCAGAGTCATCAGGCTCCACACAAGCTCATATTTGGGGAAGTATTTGTTGTTGAGGGGACACTGTTGCCACTTTCACATCCCTTTTAAGGCTTCTTGTAGACTAGCCATTGTTCAGAAGGGTAGGGTTTAAGATGGCTCTGGGACATGCAGCAGCTGGCGGCACAACATGCTCCATATACAGTCTCCATTTCCTGAAGGGTGGCAAGGCTATCCCCTAAGAGAGGAGCAAACCTAAGCCTGGGAGATTTAAATAACTCATAAACTACTTGGAGGGTATTTTAGTCCAGTTCTTCTCCAAATGAGGTGATATTGCTGAAGGAATCTGCCCCCAGTCACATGTCTAGTCTGTGGAAGAGGCAGGAATCTAATTCACATCTCTTGGCACTGAGGTCTGGGCTTGCTTCATGGCAAGAGTCTGCCATTTGGTCAACATCTTTTTTTTTTTTTGAGATGGAGTTTTTTGCTCTTGTTGCTCAGGCTGGAGTGCAATGGTGCAGTCTCAGCTCACTGTAACCTCCACCTCCCAGGTTCAAGTGATTCTCCTGCCTCAGCCTCCCCAGTAGCTGGGACTATGGGTGCCCACCACCATGCCTGTCTAATTTTTGTATTTTTACTAGAGACAGGATTTCACCATGTTGGTCAGGCTGGTCTCGAACTCCTGATCTCAGGTGATCCACCTGCCTTGGCCTCCCAAAGCTGGGATTACAGGTGTGAGCCACTGTGCCCAGCTTAGTCAACATCTTCATATCCACAACAAGCACTGTCTTTGCTTAAGAAAACTTCCAGGATCCAGACCTTCCTCTGGGTCTATGACCTGTTTTGACCAAATTGTTAAAGAACCTTGGTCATTTGGGCTTCTTTCACACTTCTGAGCCTCAGAAGGAATTCGTGAGAAAATCAGTTAAATATCCAGTTCACTTTCTCATAAAATTTGAAAAAAGATTTTTCAGAATTGTTGTGAGGATTAAGTCAAATAACATAAAAGTCCCCACCATAGAGCCTGACATAAATGAACCATTAAGAAAATCTGGTATTTCTTGTCCAACATCTTCTCCCACCCCCTTTAGAGAAAAGTGTATTTTATCTCTAGATTGATCTCTGATCTCTAAGTGTAATCTATGTTTACTCTAAATTCATGCTCTTTTCCATTGATGGAAATCTCCTCAGCCCTTTGCAAACAGTCCTGGTGCTCTAGACAGGCAAGTGACTCACAGTCCTAGTGCCTACTTCAAGGATACGATCTCCCCGCCATCCCCACCCCAAGCAGACCATGAAGCTAGTAAAATGGAAATGCGTCTTATATGTTGGAGGACTCTAACAGCCTTGGACAGACTAACTGTATTTTTTTTCTCTAGCAGTGGAGATGACGGGCTGGGGCTAGGGCACAAGGTCTGGTTATCCAGAGAGAGATTCCTTGGAGCAGTGTTCATAGACCCCCCTGATGTTTGACTTGGTTATTGGCTCCACTCACGGAATTTTCTCCCTGTTTCTTAGAATCTCGTATCACGCCACCGGAATGAAAGTGAAACGATTTTTCCCCCCAACTTCAGCATTTTACAGGTGGGGAAACTAAAGGCCAGGGATTGCTTAGGGAGTTAGTAGTGACTGGGCTGTGGCTGATTCATGCAGTTTCTATGTCTGTATTATTTCAGTGTTTTCTTTATGCCTTTGCAGTTCTTTAATACACAGGTAATGACTCTTTCTAGCAAGTATTCTCTGCTAAAATAACAGAAGGTTTCTGTCTTTTGGCTGATAACCTAAATTACAGAGAGGTTAAGTAACTTACCCTGTCACACACCCTAGAAAGTAATGAAGTCTAGATTTGAATCCAGGTAATCTTAATTCAGGGACTGTGCTCTGTGATCGTTTTTTTTTTTTTTTTTTTTGACGGAGTCTTGCTCTGTTACTCAGGCTGGGGTGCAGTGGCGGGATCTCTGCTCACTGCAAGCTCCGCCTCCCGGGGTCACGCCATCCTCCTGCCTCAGCCTCCCAAGTAGCCGGGACTACAGGCGCCCGCCACAACGCCTGTTTAATTTTTTATATTTTTAGTAGAGACGGGGTTTCACTGTGTTAGCCAGGATGGTCTCGACTCCTGACCTCGTGATCTGCTCGCCTCAGCCTCCCAAAGTGCTGGGATTACAGGCGTGAGCCACTGTGCCTGGCTGGGACTGTGCTCTTAACTGCTATATTATTACTTCCAGGAACTTGCTTTACTGGTCATCTGGACTTGAACAGTAAATCCCCAAACCTGGTGTGAGACCCTACCTTCCAAGTGAAATACAAACAAATGGTTATTTCCTGGTGCTCTTGATATCAGAATTGCTGGGACTCACCATTCAGTGATGATGAATAGGGCAAAAGAATGCAATTATCTCAAATGGGGATGAGGCTGAGCATCTCTAGCTTTGTATAACTGGAGGCTACACATGACAATGGGCATGATGGGATGACTAAGCATGGGGGAGTCTCTTTCTACACCATCCTCAGCAGCTCTGCCAGGTTTCTGCCTCTCTTGGTCTCTGCCTCTGCTGATCTCGCCATGCACACAGCAGGCCTCGCGTAGTACTTCACAGAAAATCTCCTTACTGAAAAGGTGTAGGGCACAACATTCCTTTAAAAAATTCCACATGAAAAATATTCCTCACTTTTCATTGAAATACCACAGTTTGAGTGCTTCTTCTGTGCCAGGCTGTGTTCTAGGTGCTTGGATTGCATCAATGGACAGAACAGAAAAAACCACCTTCCTCTATGGTGTTTTCATTCTCCTAGAATGTTCAAATAGAACAGTGAGGAAGCATACTACATAGTCCTAGTAATAAGCCTAGTAACAAGGTGAATAGACCAATGGAACAGAACTGATGTTAAGAATAGCATTTTACTCAGGATTAAGAAACTGACTCAAAACCACTCAACTACATGGAAACTGAACAACCTGCTCCTGAATGACTACTGCGTACATAAAGAAATGAAGGCAGAAATAAAGATGTTCTTTGAAACCAACGAGAACAAAGACACAACATACCAGAATCTCTGGGACACATTTAAAGCAGTGTGTAGAGGGAAATTTATAGCACTAAATACCCACAAGAGAAAGCAGGAAAGATCTAAAATTGACACCCTAACATCACAATTAAAAGAACTAGAGAAGCAAGAGCAAACACATTCAAAAGCTAGCAGAAGGCAAGAAATAACTAAGATCAGAGCAGAACTGAAGGAGATAGAGACACAAAAAACTCTTCAAAAAATTAATGAATCCAGGAGCTGGTTTTCTGAAAAGATCAACAAAATTGATAGACTGCTAGCAAGACTAATAAAGAAGAAAAGAGAGAAGAATCAAATAGAAGCAATAAAAAATGATAAAGGGAATATCACCACCAATCCCACAGAAATACAAACTACCATCAGAAAATACTATAAACACCTCTACACAAATAAACTAGAAAATCTAGAAGAAATGGATAAATTCCTGGACACATGCACCCTCCCAAGACTAAACCAGGAAGAAGTTGAATCCCTGAATAGACCAATAACAGGCTCTGAAATTGAGGCAATAATTAATAGCCTACCAACCAAATGGCTCTCATGGGGTGAATAAGCTTTAACATATTGAAACGAGGGGAGTTTTCCCTTATCCCCCTTGCAGGGTGCGTGATGGGGGTGTGGCTCACTTCTTTGGTGCCCCGCAGCTCAAACCCCTAAGGGAAGCATGCAGACGGGCAGGTCATGGGGAGCGTGGGCTCCGACTCCATGGCAGCATCTAGGGTTGAGTGTTTACAGCTCCCGAAGCCCAAATGGGTGTATGTTACAATGTGCTCTTTCAGCTTAGCCGTCCGCAGGCACCTTGCTTTAATGAGCTCAGTTAGACCCTCTACCTTATCGCAAGGACAGAGGGCTTTCTGTATCCCAGGGTTCTTGCCCAAGTGTCCCAGAAAAATCAGATCATATGTGGGCTTGGAGAGTGAGTGCAAGGTTTTATTGAGTGGTGATAGTAGTTATCAACAGATGGACAGGGAGCCAGAACGGGGATGGAGTGGGAAGGTGGTCTTCTCTGGAGTAGGGCTGCTCAGCAGCCTGGCTCTCCTCCAACCACCCTCAGCTGAATTTCCTTTGGTATCTGCTTTGTTCTGCCATCGATGGTCTGCCAGCAACTGTTGGTGTGTTCTTCTGCCAGTGTGTTCCTCTTGACATCCAGCCACTTGTGTGTGTATACCCACTAGGGTATCAGGGTTTTTATAGGCACAGGAGGAGGGGCATGGCTGGCTTGGAAATGCAACATTTGGCATGAAAACAGGAGTGCCTGTCCTCACCTGGGTTTGTGGGCAAAGGCCGAGGGTGGAACCTCGCCAGGGACCCTGCCCTTCTCTACTTAGCACTTCCCTGCCCCTCTCCCATATCAATATGTTGATGGAATTATTTAAAAAATTGTTCTCTAGGCTAGTGTGAGAATCCTGAAACTGTTCTGAATATCAGTCTGAAGATGCAAATGATAGACAGTTAATGCTTGTAAGGCCCATAGCTATGGAGATGTGGTTGACCCTAATCATGAATTTTGCACATTCATTCTCGAAAGCCCACCTGAGAATGGTGACAGTGGCACATAAGAGAAAAAAGGAGGAAAAGAACAATAAAAAGGGCAAAGACAAAGATACCTATTATGTATTTAGGGGCTCAGAAAACAATACCCCAAAACAATACCTCAGAAGCAAAAGTTTTTCTCTGACTTCCTTTCCTGTCTCTCAGTCCTATCTTCCTTTGAGGCTAGCTGTACAAACAAGAATCCCTCCCCAAGGTGGGTCATAGAAACCAGACACCCCTCTTGCCACAGCCAGCCTTAAAACCTAAAAGTGTTACTCTAACTCTCCTTCCACTCTATCTGTGTAAAACTGGTCATAAAGAAATCATCTGAGCTATCTTGTTTGACTGTAGGTCATAAGATGCCCATTCCAGAGATGGTCCTGTCCTACAACCAAAATGAAGGAATGCAGCACAGAGAGGCCAAGAAAAACCTAGACAGACGGGTCTTGCTCGGTTCTAACTAAGCCTATTAGCATAGATTATATCCAGTCATATTTCTACAGGGCTGTCCTTACTTCGTTGAACCTAAGCATACAAATGGATACTTTCCCCTATATTTTTTGGGTCTTCATTCTGAAGGCCCTCATGTCTATGTGTTGAATAATTTGTATGCCTTTTCTCAATTAATCTGACTTTTACAAGTTGACTTTTCAGCGAAACTTCAGAGGGCAAAAGGGAAGCTATACCCTTGGCCCCTGCAATGTTCTTTTTTTTTTTTTTTTTTTTTTTTTTGAGACGGAGTCTCACTCTGTCGCCAGGCTGGAGTGCAGTGGTATGATCTTGGCTCCTCGACTCACTGCAACCTCTGCCTCCCGAGTTCAAGTGATTCTCCTGCTCCAGCCTCCTGAACTGGGACTACAGGTGCATGCCACTACGCTCAGCTAATTTTTTGTATTTTTGGTAGAGACGGGGTTTCACCATGTTGGCCAGAATGGTCTCGATCTCTTGACCTCGTGATACGTCCGCCTCAGCCTCCCAAAGTGCTGGATTACAGGCATGAGCCACCGTGCCCGGCCCTGGGCCCCTGCAACATTCTTGCCATTCTTGTAAAGACTCTTGGAAGCTCCAATAAATTCGAATCCCATCTCTTAGTGATAGTCATTCAATTCCTCAAACATAGACATATTTACAGGCAACTGTGATTCTTTAGTCTGTAATAAACTTGGAGAGAGGTCAGATAACTGTCTTTTAAACTGGGGTTTAGAAGACACTGGGATTGTGTGTAACCACAACAGGTGCCTTGCTAATCCTCTCTAGTACAGTCTCCCAAAGGTGTCTTTATCTCCAATATGACATCCTGGCCATTTTATAGGTTTGCATTTTATATCTATAAAGTTTGCTTCATCCTATGCCCTCCTTTGCACTACCACTGATCTTAGCCTATTAAAATTGCAATGATTTCTATCTCCCAACAGCAGCTGATCTGCACTATTGCCCAGTAATTTCTCGAAATCAGAAGGACTTAATTCCACTTTCCTGATCCTCAGAAATCATTATATTCTTCAAGTTCCCATCCCATTTCTGTCACATTTGTCCATAAGATAATCCCATTTGTAGCGTCTCTAAGACCTAAGACTGATTGAATTTAACAAAACAATTTGTTCCAATAATTTGCCGTAATTAGGAGAGCTAAGTGAATTTTATGAGTTCTCCTTCTTTTTTTAAAAAAATTGAATACTATTAACACTTTCTGTTAAAAAGGGCTTAGTATAAAAGGGTTTCTTAAAACTGGCCTGGGACCAATATGTGTTTGTCTGTTTTTTATTTCTCCAGATCACGCTTTACTTCCTCAGTGAAAATGCCATAGTTCCTTTTTTTGTTCACGTTTTCCCTTTTTTCCCATAGAAGTTTCTGGTGCCTATTATTACAAATGTTAACAAACTCTTAGAAATATCTAGAAATCAAACAAAGCTGCATTAAATCTAAGAGACTTCACAATCATGTTACTTTCCCTCCCAAGGTAGACAAAAATGCATTTTCCCTTTGTTTATTCCACCAGGGAAAACTCAGAAAAAAAAATCTTATTAAATTATAGGTTCTATAGCCTTAATTCTTTATAGCTCTGCTCACTATCCACAGCATAGAAGAGCTTCTTTTACTCACATATCTTCCTGGAAGGTATGTGAGTCATTCCTGTGACATTATGTGGATTCTCCATGTCAAGGAGGGTCTGTTTATTTTGAACTGGCAGTTCTGGAAGTATGTACACATGGCAAAGTCACACATCTGATTACCGTACGTTATTGTATGTGTAGTGAAAAACTAGGAAGCCAATATTTAGTTAATGGCTAAAGAATCTATCTGGGCTAAAGTGACTACTAGAGACCTGGGTAGACACACAGAGATGAGCAGAACCCCCATGCCCCTCAAAACCACATAAAATACACAAATATATATGCAAACAAAACAATCCCCACAAACAAAACCCAATACAAATAATACTCTGCTGACAAAATTCTTGAGTGAGTCATTGTTTACACAGCTGTTAATTGTACAAGCTAGAAACCGAATCCGGTTCTCCATACTTTAAACTCATATTGTGCCAATCACGAAGGCTTCACAAAAACAAACTGAGACGTTCCTAGTCCTGGCAAAGGTAATATTTCCTAGGTAAACCTTTGGCTTCCCCGATAATTGGATTTGAAGGTAATTGTCTATGTCTGTGTTACACTGATGTCCAGCATCACCATAAGACATGTTGATGCAGTTACAAATTAAAGCATTTATGAGACCTTGAGAATCCAAGCTGATGAAATGCTCTCACCCTGGCCTTCATGAAATAGCTCATGTTTGCAATGCTGATACATATTCCATTATTTACTAATCTTGCTTCCCTGAGGTATTAATAGTTCTGCTGAGTATTGACAATAAATGGTAGAGAACAGGTACTATGGACCCCTGTAGGCAACACAGCATATAAGAAACAATGTTGGTCTTGGACTTATAAACTCTAAGTCTGAATCATAAATCTGGGTGAGTCACTATGGCTTTCTGTAGATTAATTTCTTCACCCATTAAATACTAGAAATCAATAAAACCAGGAGATTTTTAAGGTAATCCCAGCTATAGCATTAAACAAATGGTGCATTCTAAATGGTGGGGAAAGGTGACTGAGGTAATTATTAGTGAAAACAATTTTAACCTCACTTTTAATATTAGAATAACTTGAAGTTTATTTGCTCATTTGTACAATTACATTATTTCTAAAAATACCTAGATTAGTATATCAATTTGAGATTGCATTCCTTAATGCCAAAGCTTCACCAGTTAGAAATGCAGGCTTTTTCAAGAAGTCTAGGGAAACTGTCTAGAGCTAATTAACAAGACCTACGATATTGTAACCGCTCAGTGGGTTCTCTCTGCCCAGTTCCTAGACAGAGCCAGTTTATCAAGACAGGGGAATTGCCATAGAGAGAGTTTAATTCATGCACAGCTGACTCTATGGGAGACCCTCTAGACTTTTATTATTACTCAAATCAGTCTCCCCAAAGATTCAGGGATTAGGTTTTTTAAGGATAATTTGGTGAGTAAGGGGCCAGTGAGTTGGGAGTGCTGATTGCTTGGGTCGAAGATAAAATCACAGGGAATCAAAGCTGCCCTCTTGCACTTAGTCAGTTTCTGAGTGGGGGCCACAGGACCCAGATGAGCCAGTTTATTAATGTGGGTGGTACCAGCTGATCCATCAATTGCAGGGTCTGCAAAATATCCGAAGCACTGATCTTAGGTTTTACAATAGTGATGTTATCCCCAGGAGCGACTGGGGAGGGTGAGAACTTCGCAGCCTCCAGCTATATGACTCCTAAACCATAATTTCTAATTGTGTGGCTAATTGGTTACTCCTACAAAGGCAGTCTAGACCCCAGGCAGGAAGGGGTCTTGTTTTGGAAAGGAGATATTGTCTTTGTTTCAAACTGTAAATTAAGTTCCTCCCAAAGTTAGTTTGGCCTAGGCCCAGGAATGAACAAGGATGGCTTGGAGGTTAGAAGCAAGGTGAAGTTGGTTAGGTCAGATCTCTTTCACTGTAATAATGCTCTCAGCCAGAATTTTGCAATGGCCATTTCAGTATCATCAGTGTTTTCAGATTCTCAGGTTTTTGTGCTCAGTTCTCCATAAGGTGAGCTTTCATCTCCATGGGAGCTGTATGGTAACAAGTTGGATAATCCATTGTCAGCTTTCTATTTGCCTTTTCTTTTGAAAGACTATGAAGAACAAGAAGGAAAAGAAGGACGGTGGTGAGAGGAGAGCAGTAGAAGGGAGAGGAAGGGCTATGCCTAAATAAGAAATTAGCCCATTCCCACAAATTCCAGCAAAATTCTTCTTAGGTCTCATTAGCGAGAGCTATGTCACACTGCCATTTTTATATACAAAGAAGGCTGGGAAATATCATCTCTTAATTGTGCAGAGTCCCACTTCTCAATAAAGTAATCATTCTTTTATAAGAAAAATGGGGAGATCAGATAATAAAAAGACAAATTATGTTGACTATTATATTACTCTGTTTTCACACTGCTCTAAAGAAATACCTGAGACTGTGTAATTTATAAAGGAAAGAGGTTTAATTGACCCATAGTTCCACGTGGCTGGGGAAGCCTCAGGAAATTTACAACACAATCATGGCGGAAGGCAAAGGGGAAGCAAGGGACTTCTTCACATGGTGGCAGGAGACAGTGTGTGAGAGTGCAGGAAAAACTACTGCTTAGAAAACCATCAGATCTTATGAGAATTCACTCATGATCACAAGAATGGGCATAGGGGAAACTGTCCCCATAATCTAATCACCTCCCACTAGGTCTCTCCCTAAACACTTGGGGATTACAATTCAAGATGAGATTTGGATGGGGACACCATGCCTAACCATGTCAACTATCGACATTGAATTTGCAAGATAATTTCTATTGGAGTGTGTGGATTTATCTTGGTGAACAGGATTCCTTGCATATTTCAGATAACCCAATTGTGAACTTACTCAAAGATTTATCTGAAAATATTTGTTCTTAGAGCTCCCAAGATGGTGGTGGGCTGCTCCAAAGATGGCAGCAAGCCTTTTGTTCTCTGACCTGGGGTTCTTGGCCTCACGGATTCCAAGGAATGGAAGCTTGGGCCATGCTGTGAGTGTTATAGCTCTATTGGAAGCCGTGGATGACGGAAGAGAACTGTGGAACCTGGTGACTAGTGTTCAGCCTGATTAGGACGAACCCGGGCACTTAGCCGTGCAGGAACAATAGCGAGCCTTTAGGGGCAATGGGCGCCTCGCTGGATCAGGAGCGCAGGGGACACCCTGCCAGATCCGGAGGGGTAGAAGTCAGCGGTGGTTCTGCGACGGCGGCAAACTGCAGTGGTGGACGCAAGCGATAGCTCTGCTCCAGCCAGAACAAACACGGACCAGAAGAGCAATCAGTTGCAAGATTTAATAGAATGAAAACAGAGCTCCCTTACAAGGGAGGGGACTCAAAGGGGGTTGCCGCTCCCTGCTCGAATGCCTGGGTTTATATCCCGATCATTGTCCCTCCCACTGTGCTCTCAGGCAATATATGATTTGACTATTTCTTTACTTCCTGCTGTTAGCCTAATTTGTATTTTAGTGAGCCCTCTTTACTACCTGATTGGTCGTGTATGAGCTGAGTTACAAGACCTGTGTTTAAAGGTGGGTACCGTCACCTTCTCCAGCTAGGCTTAGGAATTCTTAGTTGGCCTAGGAAATCCAGCTAGTCCTGTCTCTCAAAATGATACCTTTATGACTTGAACAAATTTCTAAGTATTTTCTTAAACCAGATGGTAGCAGAGAATGGGAATGAAACAACTTTGCCATCTTTTTGTTGATATTACTAAAACGCATTTGGAAACATTTTATTTTTCATTTTTACACATACACACACTCCTATATCATATAAAATTTTAGTGGCATTTAGAAAACAAAATGTATTGCTCAAGTTTTTTCTTTAATTTTGGTTAGCAACTAATTTTGAGTATAAAAGGAAAATATTTTTAGGAAACAAATCAAAACTGAATGTTTTTTCTCACTGCAGCTGATTCAGTTGACCGAAACTGGTAAGTGATTATAAACAACAGGACTTGTTTTAAACAACTCACTTTCCCAGCCTAAAGACTGAAGACTGCTAGTCTTCAGTCTTCAATTTGCATAACTATTATGAAACCTCTTTCTATTCAGTTTGAAAAAACCCCTGAATTTCCCCCAGCTGGTGAATACTTAATGAATTTCCCCACAGGGAAAGAGCCACGGGGCTCTTTCCTTACTGGGCACATACACAAACACATAAACTCAGCTTTTCAATTTATATTCTATTTATAGCTCTAGTGATCTTTAATTTGTTCTTTAACACAAGTGTAAGATCTTGTCAGAAAATGGGATTCAGATTTTACCAACATCTGACCCAATACACATGTGATTTGAGATTCTTTTTAATTGATACATGATCTTTGTACATATTTATGGGGTATATATAATATTTTGTTACATGCATAGAATGTGTAATGATCAAGTCAGGGTATTTAGATTATTAACGTTGGTTAAAATTTTAAAAATAATGTTGGTTAAAATTTAAAAAAATTCCATCCTGGCTAACATGGGTGAAACCCCGTCTCTACTAAAAACACACACAAAAAATTAGCCGGGCACGGTGGCGGGTGCCTTTAGTCCCAGCTACTCTGGAGGCTGAGGCAGGAGAATGGCCTGAACCCGGGAGGCGGAGCTTGCAGTAAGCCGAGACCGCGCCACTACACTCCAGCTTGGGCGACACAGCGAGACTCCGTCTCAAAAAAAAAAAAATTTTTTTTTGAAAAATTATTTTATTGATACAAAATGCCTTCCTCTTTAAGTGGTGTTCAGATAAAATCTTTTCATCACTGAATCCGATATGAAACCGCCTTTGCAAAATTATGACTGAGACAGTGAAAGACATTTAACTTAACTGACTCCATTTTGCTTCTAACCTCCAAGCTGTCCTTGTTCATTCCTGGGAGTAGGCTGAACTAACTTTGGGAGAAACTTAGTTTATAGTTTACAGTTTAAACAAAGACAGTAACAGCCCTTTCCCAAAGCAGACCTCTTTCTTGCCTGGGGACTAGATTACTTTTGTAGGACTAACATTAGACACAAGATTAGAAATTATGGTTTAGGAGTCATGCAGCTGGAGGCTACAAGATTCTGACCCTTCCTAAACTGCTCCTAAGAGCAGTGCTTGAGATATTTTGCAGACCCCGATGGATTAGCTGGCACCACCCAGATCAATAAACTGGCTCATCTGATCTTGTGGCCCCCACCTAGGAACTGACTCAGCACAAAAAAGCAGTTTCAGGGTGGGTGAGGTGGCTCATGTTTATAATCCCAGCACTTTGGGAGGCCGAGGTGGGTAGATCACCTGAGGTCAGGAGTTTGAGACCAGCCTGGTGATTCTCCTGCCTCAGCCTTCTGAGTAGCTGGGATTACACGCGCCTACTACCATGCCCAGCTAATTTTTTTATTTTTAGTAAAGACAGGGTTTCACCATGTTGGCCAGGCTGATCACGAACTCCTGAACTCAGGCGATTCGTCCGCCACGGCCTCCCAAAGTGCTGGGATTACAGGCATGAGCCACCGTGCCTGGCCCCACAACTGTTCTTTCTAAGATCCTCAGTAGGGCTAGCTCTCCCCTGCTGCTTGTTTGAAATCTAAGATGTTACTACTGTCAGCTAATAGAAGAGTTCCTCAGTCACTTTAGTAATTAAAATATAGATTTATGCAAAAATCAAAATCCAACTGTCATTCATATTAAAATTTCTTCTTTTCCTCAGTTTGGCCTGCTTTAGGCAGGGCAGCTGACATGTAAAGTGGGGGTCAGTGCTATTTCTTCTCTAACTCTTCACCCTGAGGATTGCTAAGAGGGATTCCTGATCCTCACAGAGTCAGGGGCAGGAATGAGGAGAGAGGAACAGAAAAAGTCTCTCTCGATTGGCCGTTTCCCAACTCGATGTCAGTGCTATGCAGGCTGGTGGATGTTGAATGCATCTGTGGTTCCATCACTGGGATTCCTTGGCTGGGCTTCCTCTCAGTATCCTCATGGACTTAGCTGGCAGCTGACGATTATCCTATGTCCTGTCCCTGGATGTCCATCAGAAAATCTCCAGCCTCATTCTCTTCAAGGTCTCCTTGCTCCCTCCTGATTTCTTTTCAGAGCAAGCTCTAAGACCATCCATGTAGAATCTCTTTCACACAGCATACAGGTGGAAGTGCAGACCACCCCCACACAATCTACTCCTCTTGCTTAATTGTGCCACCATGAGAGCCACTCTAGGGTGGCTAGATGATTCCTGCCTCTTGGTCTTCATGCCCTTTTGTAGTTATTTCCCTGTAAATATAGGCAGGATCTGTGACTTGCTTTGAATAACCAGAATCCTGCAAAGGTGACAGGATGTATGTGATTTTGGGTATGTGATTATATGATCATGTCACAGAAGACTGTAAACTCTGTCTTACTGGTGTCTCATTCTCACCATTGTTGGCCTTGAGAAACCAATTTGTCATGTTGCAGTCTTGATATGGTAAGAGAGTATAAGCAGCCCTTAGGAATTGAGAGTGGTCTCTAGCCAATATCCTACAAAGACCTCGAGCCAACACCTGGCAAGAAATGAGACCATTTATCCTACAACTGCAAGGAACTGAATTCTAGCAATAACATTGTAAGCTTGGAAGTGGATCCTTCTCTAGTCAAACCTCATTTGAGGCCTCATCCCTGCCAATACCTTAAATGGAACTTGGTGAGACCTTGAAGCAAAGAACTCAGTTAAGTCATGCCCAGAGTCCCGACCTGTGAGGTAACAGGTGTGCTGTGTTAAACCTCTACGTTTGGGTGATTTATTATATAGCAATAGATAAAAACACTGGCTATAGAGTAGACAGTCCAGGTCTTAGCATTCTTTGGTTTCTCCTGGTGTGTTGGACTCAAGTTTCTCATTTTCCCTAAACTGCAGAGGATCTACAACATGATCCCCATGCGGTCCCATTCCAGCCTCTCTCTCTGAGCTGGAGATGAGGGGGAGGTTCCTCCTTCCTTCTCCTATAGTGACAGGAGGGAGGAAACCACACAAAACATCAACAATGTCCTTCTAACGAAATTCTCCAGTACAGTTTCCAAATGACATTCTGTTTCTAATGAAATCCTCTTCCTTCAGTCTTACTCAATTTCTTACTCTTTTACTCAATCTTTAATGTTTTATAATCTGGTTGAGAAAACCATGTTTGGCTCTTTTTTCTTAATTTCTACTTGGGTGAATGGGGTTTTATTGTGTAAATTAGGAGCGATTGTCATCTCTATGGCAAAACAAGAACGGGTGGTGGGTGTGGTCTCTTCAGGTGCAGACAATGAGGAGAAGCATGGTCTGTAGAAAATTTTACAACAATAACAAACTGCCATATGCTTTTTAGCATCCATTTTTAAACAATTCTAAACAGTATTGGTAACAGAATACTGCTCTCAGGAGCAACAACAACGAAAAAGATCTAAATTCTACCTGAATAATTACCTGCTCCGGGGGCTGACTCCTCCTTCTGTCCTGCCCCTTGGCACAATTCTGTGTCATCTCTTGTCTTCGGGCCACAGATGAAACTGAACAGAATGCCTCTCCTGTCTATGCTCTGTTATATATCTAGAGGGACAATTTAGCCTCTAGCTTTACACTGCCACATAGGGCTGAATTATACAGAAAAAGTAGTTCCTCAGGACACTTTGCTGCCATCTGCTGGGCAATTGTGAAAAGTACACAAAAAGTGGTTGGAGCCTCAGAGTTGCATAGCTTTCCCCCAGCACACACTTATGTAAGGGTGTTTTGTGTGTGTGCATGTGTTTGTGTAAATGCATGTGCCCCCAGCTATAAGAAAGCATATGGACCATTTAACACTATCGAAGATATGAAGAATCGAGTGCATAATTCCCTCCACATCTTACCATTTTCTTTGGTCTAGCAAGAGTGGTACCAGGAAGCCACTTGAGTGGTCTTGAGGATTCTAGGTGTGCCTGTGGGCAAGTGTTGGAGGGAGGAAGTGAGGAGGGTGTCTGGCTATGGAAGGGTGGTCTAGCTCTATCATCTAGCTCTGGTGTCTGGCTATGGAAGGGTAGTCTAGCTCTATCATCTAGCTCTATCATCTAGGGAAGCGAGGCAGGGAAAGATGGAAGAGGAAGGAAAGGAAGCTCTTAAGTCTTGATGAGATTACATTGTCAGGCTTTGTTCTAAGTGCTGGATATATATATTTTCTCATCCTGTCACCATGGGGTACTATTACATTTAACTATCTTCATTCTGAAAAGAGAGAGGAAGACCCCAAAAAGTTAAGGAAGTTGCTCAAGATATTTTTTTGTGTGTTTGAAGAAGTAAATAGGCTTCTGGGCAGAGTGCTCATACGTCTGGTCTGCTGGGTTGGATATCAGTGACCTTTCTGAGCCTACGCTGACCCTGAGTTTCAGGATCTGTAAGTGGCCCTAAGCTCCAAGACCAGACTTGCCCGCACCAGCAGGCTCTCTACCTTGGCTTTTGAAGCTGCGGCAGAAACAAATGCAGATGGCCAATTGTTATTTTCAGTGAGTGAACGTGGGGGCTTCCTTTGCTTCTGTCCTTAGAAATAAAAATAAATCTTCCAAGCCAGCTGCAACTCTGCCACCATACTTACTCTGACGACTGCAGTAGAATGTCAGCAACAGGTCATTGCAGGAACCTGAAACTTAGGTCTTTGTTTCCAAAGTTTGGGAAACACTCATGGTGTCTGAACATGGGGTGAGAAGGGAAAGGAAAACTGGGTTGTTTATAACTGTTGGGAAACAAAAATGTGCTATGTTTTCATGAGGTTTCTCTTCAATTGCTTTCCATTTGTTTGAGAAGAAATCTACTGCTTGGTTAATATGAAGTATCTCTTAGGCAGAAAGTTTTCCTTCCCATCGTTCTGGAGGGTATAGTTCCTTTGCACTTTATGACTCACACCTGACATTTTGTCCTGAAAAGAGTACTCACTGTTGTCTGAGGGGGCTACAGTGAAACACACAAAAAAGGAGGAAGGCAAGAAGGTCAAATGAGGAAAAACAACTATAAATATTTGCCACTCAGGGACTTTTATACATTTCAGAGCTGTATAAAAATGGTACATTAAATAATAATAAAATAACTTTGAGGTTCATAGGAGACTTATATTTTCTTCTTTTTCTTTTCTGTATTCCTTCTGAAAGAATCAGATATATAGAAAGGTGAGATGATAAATGACTCAGAATAATTTATAATGTTTATATGCTAATTCCAAAACTTTATACACATAGATAAAAATGCAGAAAATAATAAAACAGGTATCTACATATTTCCCCCAGTGATTCAAGTGATATTATCATTTTACATGATTATTTAGATTCACTTTTTTCCTCTCTACAGAAATAAAATGCTGCAGGTAGCCCCAAAGCTCTCCCTGTCTCCTCCTCCCCCTCCCTCCTTCCCCAGAGGTAGCCACAGTTAGGAGGGAACTTCATCTGTCTCCAGCCTCACATTTCCTTCCAGCAGAACTTCCTATAGAGAAACACACCTGTTTCTTTCCTCTCCTTAACCTGGTTCTCTTCAGGGAAGGAGGAATGCTGCACAAAGTTGCAGAGTTTGGAAGGAGGGCTTGGGCTTGTGTGGCTCAGCCCATCTGTGTTTCTTCATTTGTTTTGGAGACAGTCTGCCTGCTAGAAACCACTATCATCTGTTCTTCCCTTCCCTTGCTAGGGTTTGGAGGTGCCTCCTCTTATGGGGGAGGCCTGGGGTGACCCAGCTCTGCCAGTGACTGGTTGGACACATCAATTGAATTTCATTTGGCCTTGAACTGAAGGAATGCTTTTCCTTCAGCATATCAGGAATAAAGTGGTATTTTGGTTTTTCACCTGAGCATTTGCTGTATCTTATTTTGCAAGTCACTGTAAATATGGGACTAGAAGAAAGGGGTATTATTTATATTCCTAGTCCCTTAGTTCTCCTAAAAACATATGTTCAAAGACTAGGAACTTTGAAAAATAAATTAAAGCAAGTACTTGGGGAGATTGATGCATCTGACAGCGCCAGGAGGTAGACAATCGTAGGCAGACAGGGGCAGGAGTCCGGTGAACACCACCTTTAACCCAAAGAGAGTTTAAAGCCTGAAAGCCAAGCTACAAGTCTCAGATAAATCTGAGGCTGGATGGAGAACCTCTCTTCCCATTTGGCATGCTTTTCTCTGATTGGTCCCCACCCTTCACCACCCTTCCCCTGTTTTACATGTACCTACACTTCCATAATTGGCCTTTTACATTGTCATGCCCACTTTTGAGTGGTGTCTTTGTTTTAGCCTTTTCTGCATACTCACAAACTAATCAGCCTGCACTCCTCCATTCTGAGCCCATAAAAGCCTGGGACTCAGCCACATGGGAACTGCCCACCTCTGGGTGAGAGAGACCACCTGACTTTGGGTGGGGGACCATCCTTGTAACCCCCTCTCTGCTGAGAGTTGTTTTGTCACTTAATAAAATTCTTCCCCACCCTCCTCACCCTTCAATTGTCAACATAACCTCATTCTTCTTGAACGTGGGACAATAACTCAGGACCCACTGAATGTGAGTACAAAAAAAGCTGTAACACTGTGGCCCTTTCCCCTTCGCCAGTGGAGGGCAGCCACCCCATGCAACAGGAAGTAGCAGCAGGACCGAGCTAGCCCCAGAGCCATGGGCAGGATTAGGGCAATGGGACTGACAGAGCTGTTAACATGCCGCTGTTCACTGGGCTGCAGATGGCAGAACTAAAAGAGCTATTAGAATGTGGCAACACCCCCTCTGGGGCTTCAGGGATATGGGCATCCCTGCCTGGGTACCACCATGTTCCTCTTGTCTGAATGCCAGAGTCCACTGCGGGAGTTGCTTGTGACATGCCTGGTCCAGCTGCAAGCCCTGCACAGAGCCCACTCCTGTGCCGGTGATTGAAATAGCTGGCCCAACCCCACACTTGCTTACTCACACACCCCCTCCCACCAGAGGCTTATTGCACAGTTGCAGTGGCCATGGGATCTGTGCTGGAGTGCAAGACAGGTGTGGCCTGCCAGGCTGAGTAGATAGGGCATCTCCTGCAGTAAGCCTGGGCCCAAGCAAAGCCTGGGCAGGGGTGTCACTGGCTGGAGGTCTTCAGCTGGCAAAGAGGCCAAGAAAAATCCTGTGTTACATCTGTTGTAGCCTTGATTGGGTGGTTTGAAGTCAACAATCAAGTCCAGTGTTGGTTCCGCACTGGTAACACAGTAGTATGTCATTTAGGGGGGTCATGGGACACTGGGAGATGAAGTGGACAAGCCTTGTTTGAACAATGGATGCTTTGGGAACACTAAGCATCTTGAAGAATCAATGTAAGAGGTATGTTAGGAAGACAAAAATGTCCAGGCCAGAAAGCAAAACAAACAAACAAACAAACAAAAAACAAACCAACAGAATATAGTGTAATCAATGAACCACATCAACTTTACATCAACAGATATGGAAATGGATCCATTTAAGAAGCAGATGAATTGTTAGCAGCTTAGCAAAAGCCTTCCAAAATGTGGGAATGCTTTAAAAGGATGCAGAATTCTAGGGTCATATATAAATCCTGCAGAAATAAATGCTCCAAAGAAAAGAAACATTTCTGTTTCTCTGAAGTACTACAGCATTTTCGTATGAAGCACCACACTCAGGCCTGACAGTTCAAAGGCTGAGGAGATGCTCAGTTCTAGAATGGAGCACAGTGGCACCGTGACTAGCTGTCCTGAGCCTCCAAGGGCCACTGGCTCCCTAGGCCCTCATAGCAGCTTTGGTTCAGCCTTTCTCTCAGAGGTGTTCTTTGGCTGAAATTACAGTGAGGACAAGAGGAAAATTGTGCCTGTAAGGTTTGCTTTAGAAGCCTAAGTGAGTGCATTGAAAGAAATAGTGGCCATAGCTACTGTGGCAAAGGACTTTTGTCACTAGAGACAGATTTCACTTGATGCAACATGAGGATGCCAGGAACACAGAGACCAGAGAGGAAAAAAACATCAGGAGGTTTTGAGCAAGGCCAATGGGACAGAAGTGCCTCAAGAGTGACTTTGACACCTGGGACCACCATCAAATATCCAAACTTTGCAAAAGTACCACAATGTAAACCAAAAATAAAATTCTAAGGCCCCAAGTATCTGAATGGACTTCCTCCTCAGCCAGGGCTCTTTTAAAATGTAACCTGAAAGACTGGTTCAGGCCATGATGGGAAGTGTGGTTGAGACATGCCTCTTTATACCTCTCCAGCATTAACATCAACACAGACTTTAAGTCTGATAAGAAACATTTTACAGCCATGGCTGGGAGTGGTGGCTCACGCCTGTAATCCCAGTACTTTGGGAGGCCAAGGCATGTGGATCACTTTAGGTCAGGAGTTGGAGACCAGCCTGGCCAACATGGTGAAACCTTGTCTCTACTAAAAATTAGCGAGGTGTGATGGCATGCACCTGTAGTCGCAGCTACTTGGGAGGCTGAGGCAGGAGAATCGCTTTAACTCAGGATGTGGACGTTGCAGTGAGCCCAGATTGTGCCACTGCATTTCAGCCTGGGTGACAGAGGGAGACTCCATCTCAAAAAGAAAAAAAAAAGAAAGAAAAGAAATATTTTACAACCAATTATCTCTGAAGCCTGCTACCTGAAGGCTTCATCTGCATGATAAAACTTTGGTCTCCATAGCCTCTTATCTCAACCCAGACATTCCTTTCTATTGATTCCAGGTCTTTAAATAAATTCGACCAATTATCAACCAGAAAATGTTTAAATTTACCTATAGCCCGGAAGCTGCCCCATCACTCACTTCCTGCTTCAAATTGTCCCACCTTTCTGGACCAAACCAATATATATTTTAAATGTATAAGATTGATGTCTCATGCCTCCCTAGAATGTATAAAAGCAAGCTGCACCCCAACAGCCTTGAGCACATGTTCTCAGGACCTCCTGAAGGCTGTGTCGTGGGTCATGGTCACTCATATTAGGCTCAGAATAAATCTCTTCAAATATTTTACAGAGTTTGACACTTTTTATCAACAATAATGTCTCTAAGGCTCTAATGCTCTGAGAGGGAACATAATATGCACACGTGGATTTCTCCATCCTCCAATGAAAGCAGCATGAAAAGGTGCCTGAATTCAGCGTCAACTGATTTTAAGACAAATCATTGATTCTGGAAATCTGGAGTTTATTGTCATCCTTGAGGCTGAAAATCAAGGTTTCTTGTTCTCCATCTACCCTCCTTTCTTTAGATACTCCTGAGTTACTGCTTTGGTGTTTGGAAATAATATCATAGGTCTAGATTAAGTATGAGGTCTAGAAACGTAATTTTCCCTGGGCTAATTGTTTAAGGGGCTTGATTTTGGTTTCAACTTCTCTATTTTGCAAATGTGAAACGGGTACTAAGAAAAGTTGGAATAATGCCAATAAAAAAAAAATCCCCAACCCCATGCAGAATCTGAAGGAAACATCTCTGAACAAAATGTAGCAAAACAGAAAAATGGGGGCAGAATAATTTTGAGAGTGTTTGCTTAACTCCCAAAGTAAAGGAGTTTAAGTTTTTATTTTATTTCTTCCTGGGAACCTGGTATTGAACGAGAATTTACACCAAACTGTGTATGTATACAAATTGTGTGTGTATATGGTTGATAATGTAAAATTGGAGAGTTCATCTTATTTTGTGAATTCACCATGTGCCATTTTAGTGAGCTCTGTTGGACAACATGGTTTAGCAGAATACAGAGTGAAAAACAAAAGAGAAATTAAACAATTTGAAATAAACTTTTATACTAGAAAAGTTTTAGATTTACAGAAGAGTTGTGAAGATGGCAGAGAGTTCTCCTGTGCCCTGCACTCAGTTTCTCCAATTATGAACATCTTACATTAGTATGATACACCATTAATGAACAAACATTGATAACTGACGTTCATACTGTCCTATTCAGATTTCCTTAGATTTTGATCTAATGTCCTTTTTCTGTTCCAGGATCCCATCCAAGGTGCAGCATTCCAGTCAGGTGTCCATCTCCTTAGGCCCCTCTAGACTGTGGCAGTTTTTCATACTTTCCTTGTGTTTTATAACGTTAAGAGTTTTGAGGAGTACTGGTCAGGTGTTTTGTAGAAACTCCCTCAGTTGGGGTTTATCTGATATTTTTCTCAGATTAGACTGGTGTTTGGGTTTTGTGGAAGGAGATCACAGATGTAAAGAGCCAGTATCATCACATCCCATCAACAGTCCACACTATCAACATGACTTACCACTGTTATCTTAGTCACTTGATTGAGGTAGTGTATGTCAGGCTTCTTCACTGTAAATCTACTCTTTTTATTCCCCTTTACATTCTGTGTTCTTCGAAAGGAAGTCACTATTCACAGCCCAGACTTAAGGGGTGGGGAGTTACGTTTATGAATCCAAAGCCCGATGGCCTGTGTGTTCTTTTGCCATAGGCTCCACTCAGTGAACTGAGAGGTTGCTGAGACCTGTGATTCAAACAGCAAATGGAGTCAATGGGGTCCAGGAGAAGGGTGGGGTGGGTGGCCCTTTGGAGGTCCTCCTGAGTGTCCTGTTGGTCGGGGTCCAACTCCATAGTAGTGGCCTTTATTGTAAGCCAGTAGATGAATACTTTCAGGATATCTACGTGGGGTATTTGGGATTGCTGCCAGTAGCCAAATAGGTCTACAAATTGCTGCTCTTTTGGGGGTTTTTTTTTTTTGAGGGAGTGGGGAGGGAAAAAAAAAGGTCAAAATCTTGACAATCATCTTTGCAATGAGAGGCTTTGCTCCTTTCTGAATTATGCCCAGGAGTTTTATTAGTTTCATTTGGGTATCATTAGGTCCTTGTATCTTGTCTGTGTTAAAGGCCTAGCTGTGTTGCTGCATGTGGATCAACAGGGTGTCTAGTCCTTGTTGGGCAGTGCCTTTGTCTGAGTCCACCAAAGTACCATCAGTATAGCAGAAGGACAGAGCTCTCTTCAGGGGTGGGACTGTCTGTAAACCATAACCCATCTCTGCATGGCAGATAGCTAGGGGCTTAGGTGGCCTTGCATGGCAGATACCTGGGAGCTTAGGTGCGTGCGCTCTGCTGTATTGGTGGTGGCTGTTTTCAGGTCACTGTGAGGGACAGGGTCTACAGTGATGTGGCCACGTGGTGCCCTGCTCCCTCACTAAGTTCTACAGGATTGCCTTCTTTATCATGCTAACCTCTGAAGTCCGCAGTGAAATATTATTAAAACACCCATACATTCTCAGTATAATTACACCTTGGGAATGATATATGTTACACTGTGGGATTATATTTCCTTGTGTTTTAAATATGATTTTTCAGAGATTGAAAAATATCTGAAAATTTTCCCATTTCTTATTGCTCTGGTTTGGTTTAGATCAAGATCTTTTAAAATAAATTTGTGAGCATTCCCTTTTAAAAAAATCTTCTGAATATTTTGAATAATATTTCAATTGTCTTTTTTTTAGTATCACAAAACTCACTTCTCAGGGCATAGTGTTTTATTTATTTAGTCATTTATTTAATTTTATATGTATATTTTAAATATGTCTTCTAATTATTAATATATTTAATATTTATTTTAAATAGTATTCTGTATTCAATTTTATTTTGATTACTAATATATCAAATTTTAAATGTTTCATGGTATATTTTTCTTTCTACTCACCATGCTTTAATTTTTTAAATTTTTGTAATTTATTCTATTAGACTGACAAAATTTTGTTTAATTTCCTTCTTATTCCTTGGTGGAAGACCCAAGAATTGCCCTATGGATTAAACAACTATAGATGATTGGCATCTAGGCCCTCAAATTTGTACCAAATATTAAGTGGGCTCCTAGAAGCTGCAATTTTTTAGTTCCCATGCTGGATGTGGTTGTAGAGAACAATGGACCAAGGCAATCTTCCTGGAGAACATACCTGGAGGTGGCTCAATTGTCTGGCCAAGAAACACATGTTACTATTGAGACAGAGTTCCCTGTTTAGACAGAGCTCCCTTCATATTCCAATGCAGTGTTAAGTGCATGAGATTTCTGGCTTGATGTCCTCTTGGGAAAAGCTGAATGCCTATCATGTAGCTGTGATCATTGTTGGAAGTATGGATCAGAAGAAAGTGTTTTTGGGCATAGGGCAGACAAAGGAGTGACCTGTAGCATGCGCTTGTTGCCTGCCCAGAATCCATCTTCCATTTTCCTCTTTCAAACAGTCTGTGAATTCTGACTGGGGATCCATGTAACTCTGAGGACTGAGTCCGCCCTTGCCTCCACTGTGCTCTGGCTCTAGGCTAAGTCAATCAGTGCTTTTCACCCCCACTTTCCATTGCAATGATTGAACCAATGTGGACATATAACCTTACATGGCCTCGTCAGAATGATTATCAATAGTCTTGTTTTGAAACTTCAGACAACACTATTCTTCCAAACTGCAGGATGATAAATGGATGTAAGGCCAATACTTGATGTGGAAATTTTTGCTAAGAGGTGGGAAATAGGCCTAAGCATTAAGCCAACACACAGTAGAGGGTAGAGCTAATACACTGCACAGGTGTACACAGGAGTATGGGCTGGAGTCTCCATGACATCTAAACATCTAAACCAGTAGTTCCTATTTTTTGAAGTTTGCTTCAACTCTGTAGTTTTCAGATACATTAGCCTACATATTTTGTTTAGATTTTCTCTGTATGATAATGTACTTCTCCCTTTTCATCCTCCATTTCCATTTAGAAACACAAAAAATAATTTATTTAATGTCACAAAGACCACTGTTTCTCCAATTCAGATTGCAATTTAGATAGGTAAATGTATTAGTCCATTTTCACACTGCTGTAAAAACATACCTGAGACTAGGCAATTTACAAAAGAAAAAGGTGTATTGGACTTACAGTTCCACATGTCTGGAGAGGCCTCACAAACATGGCAGAAAGTGGAAGGCACATCTCACAAGGAGGCAGACAAAAGAAGAGAGATTGTGCAGGGAAACTCCCATTTTTAAAACCATCACATCTCATGAGACTCATTCACTATCAGGAGAACAGTGCAGGAAAGACCCGCCCCCATAATTCAATCACCTCCCACTGGGTTCCTCCCACGAAACGTGGGAATTGTGGCAGTTACAATTCAAGATGAGATTTGGGTGGGGACACAGACAAACAATATCAGTAAATGATCAAAACCCTTTACTCTTGGCCCTGGAAATGAAGGATGGAAAATGAGGAGGGAAAAATTAAGAAAGCAGGCCATTCTTTGGAAAAATAATGGAAAAATGATTTGGAGAGAGGCAATAGAAATCTTTATCTGGATTAATATATGAAAAACACTGACACAACCAAGTAAAAAGTTTAGCTCACCTCCCACCAAAAATTGTGGCTCTTCCTAATGAATACTTAGACAAACAGTTTTTCTAGGCTGTAGGAAATTGATACTGAGTTGAGGAGTCTTGATGAATACATCACAGGCTGCGGCATTTAATGCTACTATTGTGCACCCAATTGTGCAAAAGAAATATGCTAATACACTGCCTAGCATTGATATCAAGTAATTACACTGTCTACTATTGCTCTGTCATCTTATTTTGCTCTTGTTCCAAATTCACATATTTTTCCATGTTGCTGTTACTCTCTTTCCATGAAGGCATGTTTGAAAACAGATTTGTACAGCAACAATTCTCTGCTTCACACGGGAGGGACTCCTAAGTGACAGCCACTGTATATGTGAACAAGACTGCCATTTTTGTCCCACCTTTCTAGAGTTATCCTGGGTTTCTAGTCCAAATGAGCTACCATTCAGAATTATTTTATTCAGCCAATATTTATTAAGTATCTGGTGCATGCAACACTGCTAGAGACTAACAATACCTGTGGAAGATAATGTCCCTGCCCTTGAACACAGTACATAGGGAGCATCATGGGAGCACAAAGGTCACACAGTACATAGGGAGCATCATGGGAGCACAAAGGTCAGATATTAAACTTCTCTTGGAAGAGGAGGCTCCATTGAAAATTAACTTTCAAATCATGCTTTCAAAGAACAGCAGGTGCTTGTAGCCATATGCATTCTCGGTAGAGGGATCAATGTGCAGAGACTAGAGTTCTGAAACAGTTTGGCTTACTAGCAGACCTGGAAACACTTTGGTATTATTCTATCACAGAGGGAGAAGTGACAGATTCAGTTGGGAGAGAGATAAGATCCTGGATGTGCAAAATGAGAGATTTACAGGGCTTTGAATGCTTCCTGGAGACATTGGGCTTTGTCATAGAGACAATGTGTAGCCACAGAAGGATATAAGCAGCACAGTGACAAAATCCCATTTCTATTCCAAAGGTTCCTATTATAGTAGTGAATGTAAGGGTAAGGAAAGGCAAATAAAGGTCAGAAAATGCAAAATAATAAGACAAAGGATGGTGTATTAATATTAGGCAATAAAATGTCTAAGGAAAATTCTTAAATATGACAAAGGAATTCATTTATAATAATATGTTGTTTACAATTTTATGATCAAATAATATAATATACTACTAATAAAAAATGTGCCTGAGTATGAGAAACTAACAAAAACATAGTAATCATGAAAATTTTTAACAAATATAAGTTTTGATGAATGTAAGCCAAAAAATATGATTTGAATTATAAAATACTTGAATGAATCAACACTAAAGAAAGCATGCTTTTTAAGAATCCTTGGTACATTGGCAACAATTGGCCATATATCCATTCCAAATAAATAAAACAAAAATTGCAGGCCATGTTAACTAATCAATTGCAATAAAACTAGAAGTAAATAATACAAATATTTGTTACCAAAGTAAGATTAATTTCAAGCCCAATGAATAGTTATAGATTTTTAATTGTTAATAACCAGGTTAAACATCTAAAGTGTTCATATTAAAACAAAATATGAAATATTTGGTAATTCACCTAATTGAAAACATGAAGAATTTATATGATAAAAGATACACATTTTTTATTTAGGAAGGCAAATGGACACTTGACTGTACTGACATATTTCTGGTTGTCAATTATTCCAAATTTTTTTCAGATGTAATATAATGTGCTTCCAAATAAAACCCTTGTGGAACTTGACTTAATGATTTTTATGTTCATGTGGAATGAGTCTTACTAGCCAAAAGCATTTTATTTTATTTATTTATATTTTTGAGATGGAGTCTCATTCTGCCACCCAGGCTAGAGTGCAGTGGTGTGATCTCGGCTCACTGCAACGTCCACCTCCTAGGTTCAAGTGATTCTCTTGCCTCAGCCTCCTGAGTAGCTGGGATTACAGGCACGCACCACCATGCCCGGCTAATGTTTGTATTTTTATTAGAGATGGCGTTTCACCATGTTGGCCAGGCTGGTCTTGAACTCCTGATCTCAGGTGATCTGCCCACCTTGGCCTCCCAAAGTGCTAGATATACAGGCATGAGCCACCGCACCAGGCCCAAAATCATTTTAATAAAGAGTAGTGTTGAAGTAAGGATTGTACTGTCAGAAATTAAAATGCAGTGTACTAATACAAGTGATGTGTTACTTGTGTTGAAATAGACTGAATGACAAAAAAATGAGACTAGACAAATGTAGTACTACAATGAATGTAAATAAATGTTGAGTGTATTTTTAAAAATATATTTTAAACCATAGACAGAAACACAGTTAACTCAGTAAGTAATAATAGAACAAGTGGTTAAATGTGCGTGTGTGTGTGTGTTTGTGTGTGTGTGTGTGTACTGTAAACTCAAAAGTATCTGAGAGAAATGTGAAAGGAAAATATATTGGTACCCCCAAGTCACTAAGCCAAAAGGAAAAGTCAAGCAGGGACTTTCTTAGGGCAAACCTTCCTCCCATTCTATTCCTAAAATAAAGATACCTACTAAGATAAGCCACATACCTCTCTCACAAGGAATTTCCTTGTGGACAAGGGCAGACAGAACTCAAAGTCATGCCTCTGCTCACTGAATTAATGCAGATGTGATTGCCTCCTATGGAAAGGCTAATCAGAAACTCAAAAGAATGCAGCCATTTGTCTCTTACCTACCTATAACCAGGAAGACCCCTCCCAGCTTTGAGTTGTCCTGCCTTTCTGTGCAGAACCAATGTACCTCTTACAAATATTGATTGATATCTCATGTCTCCCTAAAATGTATAAAACCAAGCTATGCCCCAAAGTGGGGGCTGGAGATGGGGGTTACAGATCATAAGTAGCTCGAAACATTTTCTGGCTGGCAATTGATTGAAAGAGTTTATCTAAAGACCTGGAATCAATAGAAGGGAGTGTCTGGCTTAAGATAAGGAATTGTGGAGACCAAAGTTCTTATTGAAGACTCCTGGTAGCAGGCTTCAGCGTGAATAGATTGTAAATGTTTCCTATTGGACTTAAAGAGACTGTTCCATCAATCTTGAGGTCTCTGTTTTAATGTTAATGCTGGTAAGCTGTGCCTGAATTCCAAAGAAAGGATTGTATAATGCGGCGTGTCTAACCCCCACTTTCCATCATGGCCTGAACTAGTTTTTCAGGTTAATTTTGGAATGCCCTTGGCCAAGAGGAGGGTCCATCAGTTGATTGGGGAACTTGGAATTTTATTTCTGATTTAAAATATATACATTAGGTCCTGCCTCATATTACTTATACTATAACTTATACTATAACTATAACTATACTTATACTATAAATAAGAAAATGCCAAGTGATTAAAAAAATAAGAAAAAAGATGTCTGTTTCCTTGTTGTCATTTAGAGTTTGGAAGCAATTTCTACACATATAAAATATGTTTAATTATCCAAAAATTTCAGCATTTTTAAATTAACATAAAAATCTGATAAACAATTCAAAAGGCAAAGCCAAATTATAACAAGGGATAAATCTTTATAACATCTATAATAAGGCACAAGAGAAAGAAAGACAGAAAAAAATATAAATGGATGAAGTGCATGACCAGACAGACAATTTAACTAAAAGAAATAGACATGGCCATGCATTTATGCATGAAAAACAATGGATTTGAAAGCAAATAATTTATATAACAAAATAAACAAAAAGTGATGTGTCTTGAAATGCAAAAAAAAACACAAAAAACAAAAAAAGCAAGTTGTTGGTGGAGAAAAGCTCCAAGAGTACTGCAAGAGAAACAGTCAAGATATGAAAGTCCCTGGGAAAGAGGAAGCTGGGAAAGGACATGCAACACTGCAGTTTTTACATGATCAGCATGAAGAGTGTTGGAGTCCAAGTACCCAGGGAGGCTCTTTCAGTAAGAATATGTGGTAGCTGTTATGTGGTCTTTTAGGGACTGGTAGTGAAACGCAAGTCCTGCTGTGTTTTGATTGTGTCTAGTCAGAATGCACCACAATTATGTCCATGGGGCAATTTCATGGCATGGAAATGGTATATTTCCTTCAGGGCTGGAGAGAAGGTCAAGTAAGGAAGACTGAAGGAGAAAGTTGAACATCAAAGTTCTACATCTTGACATCCTTTGTCCTTACGTGTCTTTTAAAAACCTGGGACAAGAAAACTCCAACACTGGGTTTCTCCTGTACCTGGCATTTGGAATCTTGTATTACTGGTTCAGAGAAAGAACTGAAGAGGCCTCAGTGCACAGGCTCAGGACTGGTCCTGTAACAAAAGTGATCAGATGACACCCAGGTCCAGCTGATCTCAGCCAATGACCCGAGGTTGAACCTAAATATGGAAAACCACAGAATCAGGACTATAGCTGCCTACCACGCCCTGATTATTTTCCTTGGCCCAAGTGAACATCTTCTAGCTTTTCATTCATTAGAAGAGAAAGAGTGTTTTTTGTTTGTTTGCCTGGCAGCCTGAGAAGTAATAAACTGAGTCAGCTTCTGAAAGCCTTGGAGAGTAACAATGACCTCCAGGTTGCTATCCCTCATGGACCCTTAGGAAGATCATGGAATATTCTGCCTATCAGCCATCACCCAGGGCTTTCCTTTAAGAAGAAAAGCCAAGGGATTGGAGGTGCGTGGCCTAGGTGTAGCACATACTAGGAGGCAGAAGGTGTACTTTGGATCCGTGATCCAGATGTTGCCCAAACCCTCTTGGTATGGAATACGGGAGCTAAGCAGACCTAGTGTCTGTAAGGGCTCAAACCACTCAATACCCGACTCTGCCTACTGGAGAGTCTAGTGGATACAGTAAGTCATCCCTCTGAGCCTCTTTTTCATCTGCTAAATGTAGAGATGATTACTTATGTTGAAAGGTGTTTGTAAGGATAATTGAGAATATTAAAAGCTTATCATAAGTTGATTCTCAAGACAATATTAAAGTGCTTTAATTTCAAAAAGTGCTTTTTGTGCTATCCTAACTTTATTGCACTTTTTTATCCACCCCCACCCCATTCTCTTCACTCTGGGTGAATTGAAAGAAATCTTTTAGACTTTGTCTAATTGTTCTTCACTCCCATTCTTCTCCTGAGTATAGAAGTGGACCTCAATTCTGTCCATTCATTTTGAGGCTCTTAGCCACCATTTTAAAACCAAATCAAATAAAAATCCCGGGCATCCCATGGCCATCTACATGCCTTTAGGGCAAACCACCTGCTGTTCTCAAGTCTCAGATGACAGGCTTCCTGGAGATACCATGGCCAATCCCCCAGGTTACTGGGCATGTTGGCCATATTTTGAATCAGTTTCTCTTCATGGAGTACCTAGCTGTTGCATGGGGCTGGAAGAGGTTTTGGAGCAAATGAGGATTTCTCGCCAGGGTTACACCCTGGTGTTATCTGAAGCCTTCTGGACTGACCCCAGCCTCTGATTGCTTGATCCGGCATCAGCAACAGGATATCCAATTTTCTATTGCAAATTTCCTCCTTTTCCATCTGCGACTGCCATATCTCTTATCCTCTGTATGCAATGCTGCACAGATTTTTATGGTGTGGGGAAATAGTCCTGTTAGGAAAGATTAGCAAATGCCATATAAACTGGGAATATAGCTCAAGGGAATGCCATTTTTGTGATTTTCTAGGAGCAGAAGGTCTCCCTGAAATGAGCTGTACTCTTTCTACCCTTCATCTGGCAAGCACGTGGTATTTCTAGGTCAACAGCATCACCCAGTGGAATAAGAATCCTCTCACTGGGCACATTGTCAGTCCTTTGCTGAAACACTCTAGCTTTTCCAATTTCCTCCCTTTGTGCGCCCCTCCACAAGAGACCAGGCTTTATGCTCCTTCTGTGAATGGAAAAAAACTCTACCTTTAACCATTAGGAGAAAAATGTCCTCCAATTTTAGTTCTGAGACTGTCCTGTTAGCAGGAAAACCACCATTTGGTTCCTGGGTTTTTTAAAGAAACCTCTTCTGCCTTTAGTTAGAATGGTACTTAAATGGTAAGGGGATTTTATGTCCAGAAGTTAACCCGAATCGCTGTCTAAGGGTAAACACTTTAGCATGGGCCATAATAGCAAAATATAGAATTCAATCTAGTACACCCCTCCCATTAAAGCAGTCTTGCCCAAATGTAACTATTACATAGCCTTTCCCAAGATCCATCTTTTGGGGAGCCATGCAGATCATACAAGTCTAGGGAGTCAAAGGGGAATCAGAAGCGGAGAACTAGGGCTGCATGGGTATGCATGACTAAGCCCATTCCTTAGTTCCTCCAGTTTCATGGCTGGGGTGGGGGGTTATGCCTGCAACCATGGGCAGCACATTTAACAAGGTGCTGGGACCACAGGAAGCAAGGAGAGAAAACAGTAGGGTGGATGCCCTCACTGTCTTCGCCTCCACCCTGTGTCATACCAAAAGGAATGAGACTAAAGATAGGCCTTTTTTTTTTTTTTCTCAGTTCTCTTTCTAGATGCATAACAGATTGTCTTTGGCCTGAATTTCCTCTTGAGTGCATTCTAGAACATTGGGACTCCTCTGACCCTGAGACTTTGAAAAAAAAAGCATCTCATATTCTATTGTACAACTTCTTACCATCTTGGGGATGAACAGACTTGGCCCACTGCGGTGGAGACTTGATTTTAATATTATCCAACAATTAGATCTTTTCTACAGATGGGAGGGCAAATGATCCAAGATCCCCTATGTACAGGCTTTCTTTGCCCTGCAAGATAACCCAGACTTGCAAGCATTGCACAATCAACCTAGCTCTTTTAGCAGCCATGTCAGGAAATTCCATAGGAAATGATTCCCCAAAACTAAAGCATATTCCAGGGGGACAATCTGAGACAGCTACTGAGTGTCTCAACCCTTCCAGTCTCCCTTATCTGGGACCCCCACTAACCATGCCACCAGCTCCTCCAGCTGCACTATCTCTAAAACTACCCACTTTCCCTGCTTCACTCTTACCCCTACAAGAAATGCCTGATGAAAATTGTGCTATTAGGATTCACATTTCCTGCTCATTTCAGGACCTTTGGCAAATAAAGGGAGACTAGGCCAATTTTCTGATGACCCCAATAGGTATATAGAAGCTTTCCGAACTTTAACTCAGGTGTTTGACCTCGCATGGAGGGATGTTATGCTGCTTCTAAGCCAAACCCTCACCGCAGCTGAAAAGCAGGCAGCTCTGCAGCTAGCAGAGAAATTTGGAGATGAACAACATGTTTTTTATAGTAGACTGAAAAGGAGAAAAGGAGACAGAGAAGGTGAAGGAATAATGGAAACACCATTCCAAATAGGAAGGGAAGCAGTTCTTTTTGCCAACCCTGATTGGAACTCCAATAGTTCTGCAGATAAATGGTAAAGGAAACACTTTTAATGTGTATATTAGAGGGCCTACAAAGAACTAGGGCCAAACCTTTTAATTATTCTAAACTGTCCATGATAGACCAAAAGCCAGATGAGAATCCTGCAGCCTTTATGGAAAGGCTGAGAGATACACTAATAAAACACACTTCCTATCCCCTTATTCAGTCAAGGGATGGCTCATCCTAAAGAACAAGTTTATTACACAGGCAGTTCCCAACATTAAGAGGAAACTACAGCAGCAGGTGATAGGACCAGATAGCACCTTGGAGAACCTCCTGAGCATGGCCACTTTGGTCTTTTAAATAGGGACAGGAGGATGCCCAAGAGAAAGAGAGGAAACACAAGAGAAGGACAGAGCCTCCAGTAGCTGTTTTGCAGGCTTGCAAAGCCCAGGATTCCTCAGGTGCATCCGCTAGATGCTATTGATGTGGCAAGTCAGGGCACTTTAAGAAGGAGTGCCAGGCAGCAAGAAGTCACCTTGACCCTGTCCAGACTGTAGCATGGATCACTGGAGATCAGACTGCTCCCAGAGACAGAAGTCACCAGTTTCAGAACCAGTCTCACAGATGGTCCAATAGGACTGATGGTTCCTGGGGCTCAAACCTCCAGCTCCAGTGGCTCAAACTGTCATGAACAGCACAGAAGCCCCAGGTGATTCTGGAAATTAAAGGAAGGAAGGTAGACCTCCTTCTGGACAACAGAGCCAGTCTCTTCTCCTGTCTAATCCAGGCCTCCCCTCTTCCCATAGCATGAACGTGAGGGGCATCTCAGGAAAAATTCTAATCTAATATTTTTCTCAACCCCTTAGTTGCAGTTGGGGGGACCTATTATTTATACATGCCTCCAAGCCATTGCCACAGTGGCCCTACTGGTCCCAGAAGCCACCAAATTAACCCTGGGAAATGATTTACACCCCACATAATGTGGCAGGATTGCTGTCCTCTAGGGGGAGCCTTTGGCTAACAGCCAGCCAGCTCCTTAACAGACTCTGTTGTTAGAGATTTCCACAATTGAGTTAAACACTTGTTCTCACCTAAACACAGCCACTTTCCTTCCAGAGGAAGCTGGGGAACCTGAATATGACTGTGAACAAGTTATAATACAAACCAATGCAGCCAGAGAGTATCTCAGGGAAACTCTCCTAGAAAATCCAGACTAGACCCTCTTCACAGATAGTAGCTGTGAAGCTCCACAGTCAGGATATGCAGTAGCCACTCTAAATGACGTCTTTCAAAGTGTGTCTCTCTCTCCAGCCACAAGCAGTCAATTAGCTGAACTGATAGCTCTTACAAGAGCACTTGAATTAAGCAAAATAAAGGTAGGTAATATTTACACTCCAAGTATACTTTCTTAGTTCTCCATGCTCATGGTGCCATTTGGAAGGAAAGACACTTTCTTACTGCTAATGGATCTCCTATAAAATACCACCAGGGGCAGGGCGCGGTGGCTCAAGCCTGTAATCCCAGCACTTTGGGAGGCCGAGGCGGGTGGATCACAAGATCAGGAGATCGAGAACATCCTGGCTAACACGGTGAAACCCCATCTCTACTAAAAATACAAAAAATTAGCCTGGTGTGGTGGCGCACACCTGTAGTCCCAGCTACTCGGGAGGCTGAGGCAGGAGAATGGCGTGAACCCAGGAGGTGGAGCTTGCAGTGAGCCGAGATTGTGCCACTGCAACCAGCCTGGGCCACAGAGTGAGACTCTGTCTCAAAAAAACAAAAAACAAAAAACAAAAAAACAAACAAAAAAAACAAAACAAACAAACAAAAACCACCAGGAAATTAGCAGGTTATCATCCTCAGTTTTCCTTCCATGAAAGATAACAGTGCTACACTGTAAGGGACATCAAAAGGGAAAAGATGAAGTAGCTGAAGGAAATAGGTTAGCTGATCAGGCAGCTAAGTCAGCAGCAAGGAAGCCTCAAGACATCTATGGACTTCAAGCCCCTCTAATCTGGGAAGGTTCCATAAAGAAATTAAACCTCAGTACTTCCCTGCAGAAATAGAATGGGCCACTTCTCAAGTGTATATTTTCCAGCTCTCAGGATGGCTACAGTCAGGATGGCAAACTCTACTTGCCAGTCTCTAGCCAATGGAAAGTCCTTAAAATCCTCCATCAAGCTTTTCACTTGGGAAAGGATAAAACTCATCAATGTGCCCAGAGATTGTTTTCAGGAGAGAACTTACCAAAAACAGCCAAACAGGTTGTTAATGCTTGTGAAATCTGTCTTAAAAATAATCCCCTGAACAGGTGGCTCCTTCCTCCTCAAACCCAAAGAATAGGAAGCTATCCAGGGGAGGACTGGCAGACAGACTTCACCCACATGCCAAAGATGAAGGGCATCCAATATCTCCTGGTAGGGACAGATACTTTCGCCAACTGGTTAGAAGCATTTTCATGCCATACAGAAAAGGCATCTGAGGTAATAAAGTGTTAGTTAATGAAATAACTCCCCGCTGTGGTCTACTTAAATACCTCCAAAGTGACAATGGCAGACAAAGTGAGCCCTTTTAAAATGCTGTATGGATGGTCTTTCCTTACCAATGATTTTCTATTAAATTAAGAAATCTCTGAGTTGGTTGAGCATGTAACCTCTCTGGCTCACTTCCAGCAGGAATTAACACAGTTAGCAAAAGCCCAACTCCAAGAAATAGGATCACCTTTATTTAACCCAGGAGATTTGGTATTGGTGAAAGCTCTCCCTTCTCTCTCTCTTCCTGACCCCAAGCTGGGAAGGGCCCTACACTGTTCTTTCAACCCCCTCAGCAGTAAAAGTTACAGGTATTAATTCCTGCATACATCACACTCCAGTCAAAGCCTGGAAAGCTGAGAGAGCAACCTCTGACAGCCCAGAAGAACGTCCTGGACATCAATGACAAAAAATAGGAGATCTTAAGCTGAAAATCATAAAAGATAAGTAAGTAAGTAAGGGCTACCCATCTTACTCAGTCCCACCTTTAACTCACCAGATACTTTTTGTCATTTCAACATTTCCTCTCGAGATTCGCAGCCAGATATTAGCACTTCTTTTTAACACATATTTGCAGGGAGATTTTAATTATACATGGGATTACATTTGTAACTTCATAGAACCCCAAGGAGAAATTCTACATCTTGGCGAGTAAAAGTTTTAGACGTAAATTATCTACTACACCACCTTTCCGGGAATTGATACATGCGCTCTACTATTTGCAACACAACTATACATTGTGGCACCTGCAATATGGAATTCCGGTTGGAAAATTCTAATTGCTGTAATATTCTGTCTAATTATAATCTTTATAGTAGAATTAATAATTGGGGGACACTTATGCAAAAAAAAGGTTCCTTTTATATTAACGCGTCTAGTAAAGTAAGCGACACCTGGTGGAGGCAAACTAGTATTACAAGCCATTAAAATGGCTAACAGGTATCAAACTCCACTGGCATGGTTATGGCCTATGGTACCCCCACTAATAATGGTAATCTTAATACTCATATTCAAACCCTGTATTCTAAACCTTCTTGTAAAATTTATCTCTTTTGGCCTAGAAGCAAACTTTAAATGGTGCTGCAGGCAGAACCACACACGGACACGCCTTTCTTCTGAGGACCGTTAGATTGAACTCAGGAGGAGCCCTAGCTGCTGTCCCCACTAGATGCCCCTTTTCAGCAGGAAGTAGTCAGAAAGAGTCACTGTCCAACACCCTCTAACAGCAGTTAGGGTTACTACTTCTGAGGGGAGAAATAACACAGGAGCTAAAAAGAAATTATTTAAGTAGCTAGTGAGGGTAAGGGAGTTCTCAGTAAGATTTTCTTTTTATTAAAAAGCAGCCCCCAAATCATTTCTTGTCTAGCAAAAGAAGCCTGAAAAATCCAGCTGCAAGAATAGATAAGCAAGCTGGAAGCTTGCAAAGGTGAATGCCAGCAGTTGTGCCAATAGAAAAGGGATACCTGGAAGCTAGATATATTAAGCATGGAGGTTCCCTCTTCCCTTTTCTTTGTCACCATGTGTGCAGCAAAAAAGCAGGCAATATGGTGCCGGCCAGGTGGAGACCCCATCTGCATAATAAAAGATTAGTGTGGGATGGCCAGCACTTCCCATGCTATGTAAATGGCACATCTGGTCCAACCAATCTACTATGCCTGATGTAAATCAGACACGACCTCCTCAGACTCATCTATAAAACCAGCCTCATCTTGCCCCAAACCCAGAAATCCATTCGGGATCCCTTCCTCTGCATGAGGAAGCACTCTTCTTTCTTTTAGCCATTAAACTTCTGCTCTTAAATTCACTCTTTGTGTGTCCATGTCTTCAATTTTCTTGGCATGAGACAATGAACCTCTGATATTACCCCAGACAAATGACAATGCTTCAATGGTCCTCTCCTGTGGCGGAAGGTGGCACCATGTGATTAATAGTGGGGAGGTGGATTTTCAAAGGAAGTACATTCTGTCTTTTCTGTCTTTCTCTCCCCCCCCCTCTCTCTCTCTCTCTCTCTCTCACACACACACACACACACACACACACACACACACTTGTTTATCCTCTACATTCTTTTAGGCAGAAGATGATATTCTTTATTCTGTGCTCAAATAACAGTTAGTGTCTTTATTCTGTGCTCAAATAACAGTTAGCGAAATCCCTAACTTCATTGTCATCTCTGTTTTCCTTATTTGACTATAAATATCTTGAAGCCAAATCATGTATCTTATTCACTTTGGTAGCCCTGGCATTAAAAGCATAGTGTCTGGTATCCAATAAGTATCAATAAAAGTTGAATGTCCACAATAGGCAAATAAATAAAAGAAATGGTGTGTGTCAGTGGGGGGTGCAAAGGACAGGGAGAAGACCTAATGAAACAGATTTGAAGATAAAGCTAAAATCAAAGAAACTGACAGTTCCATTTGAGACTGGAAAAAAAGAGCAGAGAAACTCTCTGAGTATCAGGATATCTGAGACAGTGAGTATGAAGTATGACCCCTGCTACAGAGGGTCAGAGCAAGGAAATATGACAAAATCTTTCAAAGAAATGGAGGTCATATAAAATTGAAATACTTTTTTACACGTGTGTGTGTGTGTGTGCGTGTGTGTGCATGAGCAAGGTGAGGCTTATGTTTGTTATACTCAAACAATTCGTCTTTTTTATTTTGAAATAAGGACGTAAGTATGAACTGGTTGTCTCTTCATAACAGATAAGCATTCCTGGTTAGCATTTGTTCACTCGTTAGTTTTGTTTGAATATTGGTGAGGAGAAAATTGAGTTAAAATTTGGGTTTATGTCTGTCATTGTTGATTTATTCTGTGTTTAAAGGAAAAAATAACAAAATAAGTATTAAAATAAAGTATGCACTCAAAGATTTTATTTTGAAGCCGGCTACTTTCATACACTCGGAGACTTCATTATGGGGTTTGCCTTTATGCACTAATGAGTAAAATACATGGGATAAATCAGTAGCACCTGTGATAAAAGAGTCTGCGCACCACAGCAAATCAGTTAACTCCTGTTCACAATTGAGGAGTATAAGAAAAAGCTGTATCCTTTGCCTCACTGTGATCCATTGAATCATCATTCTGCCTAGTTTTCTGGGAAATGTCTAAGACTATTTGGCTAGTCTAGTAAATGGTAATTTACAGCCCTGTGCTTTTGCTGAAGTCAGTATCAGGCAAACCAAGAGATCCCCAATGAACACATATCATAAATGACAGCGAAATAATTTTTTAAAACAAATATGCATTACTTTAAATGCTTACATTTAGGAAACTCAAGTTTGCTTTTTTATAATGGTTAGGTTTTCCATATTATCATAAAAATCAACTTTCCAATTAATATTTCTCCGTTTTTTCCCAAGAAGTCAATAGTTCTTCATATCCAGCATCATGAGTCGTCTTTGAGGACATGAGTAACTGTGAGGCAGGAAAAGCACACTTTAGAAGAAACAAAGTATGTTAGGTCTTCAGACTTTACTCAGGTTCAAGATACATGTGGATATGCCATTTTTTCCAACTGTATACATAGAATTCTTAGCTAATCCAAGACAAGTAGAGCAGATCACTGGGTTCTTCAAATAATTACAATTTATCAGTCTAGTATTCTTCTATTCTCTATAATAAAATTCTGGATAAATCAAGGCTTTTAAATTCAGTTAAATAAAGCAATAAGTCCATAGGGGTGGTATCCCTTGGAATTTGATTCAACAATACATTTTTAATATATCTTTTAAAAGGAAAAAGAATTTTAAAATCACCAGGAGGAAAAGCAGAGCATAAGACATTCACTGGATCCAGTCACATGTGTAAAGGCCCTTTACCAAGTCAATACTATTAAAGAGACTAGTGGTTGTGGCAGAAATTGTTTCTGCTTAGAAGGGAGGCAAGCCAGGTTCTAGCGTCCTCAGCACAGGTACAGACTCATATCATAATGCCAGCCCAGTCATTTAACTTCCCAGAGTCTCATTCCCTTCAATGACAAAATGGGAAGATTGAACCAGTTGATTTCTCATTTTAACTATTTTCATATCCAGTGAACTCTCAGCTTGTCAGCTACTCAATTACCATCTGCTTTTCTTCTCGGTCTTCCATCACCATTTAAATGACCTCCCATGTGTATCTCATGACTGACTGATTGTTCCTTCTACCACTCTTGGTGACATACTCAACACAGTGCAGAGATAAGATACACTAGGCAAGATTAAGCGAGGCTGGCCAGCACACTCACCCAGGGAAGTCAGACAGTCTGTTTCCACTGCAGCACAGCAGTGAGCACAGCTAGGCAGAACTCCAACACAGTAGAAACCAGCATCAGAGACAGAGTTCCCTGAAAGTCAAGAAATAAAATATCAGTGATGCTTGGGTCAGCCGAAGCTTTCATGCCTAGTTTAGAGGTGACCATAGAGATGAAGACCACCTCAACCATTAGAGAATGAAGTAAGGAAACAATCAGGAAAACAAAACTGCTCCTCCTCACAATTGTCTTAATTCAACTCCTTCACTCATTCAGTTTCTTGAGAAGAGAAGGGAAGATGAGTAGTAACTAAATCAACTAATCCATTTCATACACTTGTTTCTCACTTCTTTGAGACGTACGTAGTTCTGATGACATTGTTCACTCAGTAAGAGAGCAGAGTGGCGTAATAGCTCCCAGGACTGAGAATCAGCAGCTCCATTATAGTCTCATCTTTACTGCTGAGTAGCTGTGTAAGCCTGGACAAGTCTCTTTCTTTCTCTAGCTCCTGTTTCCTCATGTATCAAACATGCATACTAACATTTATTTCTCAGAGATTTGTGAGGATCAAGGAGGTTTTGGCTGTGTAAGCCCTTTGTAAAATTCAGTATTGACATCCCTGTCTATGTATCTGAACCTGTTTGGATGTTTTTTATTTTTGTTGTTTATTTTTTATTTTTGCTGTTTTTGGTGTTTTAAGACTTGGAAAAAAACAGTGAAGGTAGTAAACTGTTGCTAATCACCAACACCAACTCACAAGGATGAGTTCTACCATTTCTGTCCTGAGACATTCTTTGTGCAGAACTGGTCATCTGATAATAAAGGGAGGTAATTTGATCACATGAACTTTTGTTTTGTGGTATTTACACACAGTTAAATAGAAGATACATGTTGTGTCCATTACCTAGAAATTGTTCCAGCAAGCAAGCTCAACAGAATCTCTCTTATTTCCAATATAAAATCGTCCCATCATGAATTTATACTTTATCACTACCAAATTTCTCCCAAATTTCTCTCCAGAATTTTTCCCAAGGTGGAATTTGTACCAATTACTGTCAGCCTCATTTGCATGCACTTTTTCCTCATTATACCATTACCTTGGAAGCAAGGCTCAGTTTATAATGGGTGCTGTACAAGCATGAATTTGACCAGACCTTTCTATCTGTCCATCGTCCAGGTGAGTTCTTGGCTGACCTCATTTTTATGATTGCAGGACAATAAATATTCTGCAACTTCTTTACTTTTATGTTGCCTGTTTTCCTCTCAATGCGTTGCTGGCCATGCACATACCCCTTAATTTTTCAACTTCAGACACATTATTTCTGTTAGCCAAACTTCATTGTTTTTCTTCTTCCAAAGAGAGAGAATTCTCCTGCGATAATTCTCAGTTACACTCTCCATCTCCCTATATTTCTTATCTCCTGATTTAAGATATCACACTTCTTTCAGCTATAACAAAAAGCAATAATAATGTTACCGTTTCACCTGATTAGTATTATTCATTATTGTAATCATTAGGAGAAACCCTTACCATCTAACCCCATATTTCCTATTCTCTGTTTCTTCATCTTTAGTCTGATGTCTTTTTAGACCAAACTGACCCCCTACCACACACACATACCACATTTCCTTGTCAGCATTTTCTGATCACCCGGGTCTTTCTGCTCTGTTTGCCAATCTGAATTCACCACTCTATGTACCAACATTCTCAGTTTGACAAACTCATAATTTATGCCTCCAAAATTAGATTAGTTGAGTAATTAAGAAACTCTACAAACCGTAAGTTTTAGTTTTTCATCATCAACCTTATCTGACATTTCAATTCCACTCTGTTAGTATGTAATCCCCTTAATCTCATCCATGCAGCCCCCCTTTGATTTACATAACCTTGGCCTTCCTCCAGATGCCCAAACCAGAATTAACAGAGAGATTTTCAAAGGATGGAATAATAAGAAATCAAGGCTTTCAGAAACCTCATAAAATTAGAACATCCCATCTAAAAAATACTTACAGCCAGACTGGCTTTGGCTCTATGGCAGTCCATGGTGTAAGGTGAATGATAATCATAAGAAAGAAGAAGTCTGGTTGGTATATCCTTTTCGTCCAACTTACACTGCAATGAGGCAGGATTTAATGCAGCCGGGTTGACAGACAGGAGAATGAAACCCACCAGGGCAGACAGAGCACTCAGAATGCTTCCAGCCAGGCTGCTATGCACCTGAAAGAGACATGCTGGGTAAGAATCATTCCCAAAGGGCCACGAATCTCTCTTATCCCTTTTTGCCATTACATTGCAAGTTATTCCCTTATCTGTCTCCCTCAGGAAGTCCCGGAGGGATCATTTCTTGTTGTAGGCCTCTCCAGTGTCCAGCCAAAAACTCAGAATCTGCAACGTAAAACTTGGCTGAATGAATGAACATATGAACTGGTTCCCCTCAAACAGGACCTCAGTAGTGTGGTAGAGAATGTTACTCTCCTAAATTCTTTCCCTGGGACAGATAGCAGGGCCCACGAGGCTTGCCTGGAAAATTACTGTGAGTGTGACCACAAGCAAAGGTGGCAATGTACCAGATGCAGTTTCTCTCTCGGCCAACTCAGAAACCCCTCGTGCAAGCATCAACCACACAGAAAATCTGGATGGTGTATTAGCATGGTGCAAAAGTAATTTTGGGTTTTGCCACTACTTTCAATGGCAAAACCGCAATTACCTTTGCACCAACCTAATAGCTCACTTTTGCGTGCCTATTGCCTCTCTCAAAAGCACACCTCTCAAAGATGAGTGAGGGGGTGGTTCTGAGTCTCAGGCAGGCCCTGGAACCTGGGCAGGCATATGACTGGCCACATTGAGCGCAGCATGGGGTGGCTGTGGGCAGAGGTCTAGGTGCGGGCCCAAGGATGGTGTAATGTGTGGGAGGCAGCGGGAGGTACAGAATAAAGGCCTGGACTGGATGTCAGAAAATTGAGGTCACAATATAGACTTGACCCAGCTTGTTCCCTTGGGTACTCAGTTCCTTGGTTTTATTTCCCACTCTGGTTCTCATTTCTACATTTATGAAGTGGAGGAAATAAATAAACTGACCTCAGAAGTGACTTCCTTTACTCCAACTCACACAGAAAAGAGAACTGAGCTCACAGCATTCTGAAAGCTATTGTTACAGGTAGGTAGGCTCCAGGGCACATCCCACAGCCATACAGTAGAGTGTTATTTAATCCCATATGGGCACTTCTTCTTTTAGGAACTCACCAGTTGATGCTCTGGGACCCCAATTTCCCAACATAATGACTGAAGTGTACACTCCTGGGCCTCCTAGTAGCCAGTAGTAGTCTTGATGCCTAGAGTCTATATTTCTTAGAATAAGCTAGATTTGTCTTGAGATGGCACTCTTCTTCAATCTCAAAAAGGGCTGGTACAATGTGTGACAAGAGTAGAACTCACTAAAGCCTCGATGTCTCTGGTGAGTCTGAGCCCACCCCGAGACCACATCCTGCATCCTTGAGCTTCCTGCATGTTCACTGTGGGATTGTTCTCTGGAGTAAGAGGCCCATATATTTCCTACTAAAAGTTTGAAAACATTACTCTTGTACTAGGCTACTCAGTATGGTTGCCAGTAGCCACATGGGCTACTTATATTTGAAGTAAAATTAAGTAAAATTTAAAATTCAGTTGCACTATCCATATTTCACATCATCGATAGCCACATGTGACCGCCATATTGTAACAGTGCAGCTGTTGTGGATTTCCATCATCATAGAAAGTTACATTTCATTTCCATCATAGACAGTTACATTGCACAGCACAGATCTAGTGTTGGATTGTAACTGAGGGTTCCAAACAATAATCTCTAAATACCAACGAGGGAAAGAAAGAACTGGCATTTTTCTGGGCACTCTCTCTGACTTCCTTGCTGGCTTTGGGAGATTTTTGTAGCCAGAGCTTCCAAATTGAGTTTCTGTGCATTAGTTATTTTTCCTGATCCTCTCCCTCCTCCCACCCTCCACCCTCTGAAAGGCCCCAGTGTGCATTGTTCCCTTCTACGTGTCCATGTGTTCTCATCATTTAGAGGCCACCACCCTTAGCAAACTAACAAAACCAAATACTGCATGTTCTCATGTATAACTGAAGCTCTGTCTTAGGAGGTAGTTTTCCTTCCTGACATCCACCTCAGAGATTCACAGCTCTATTATCATTTACCAAGAAGTTTCCTAGACCTTTTGTCACCTGAGCCTCATAGAAACCCATATGATTGTACATGAGGCAAGGAAACCAGTCCCACCAGGTCCTGAAATCCAGTCAAACAGAGTGCCTCACCTCAGATCACATAAGTGCAGAGGCAATTCTAGAAACCAAAACTCTGTGTTTCCCTCCCAATCCAAGATAGATCCCTTCTTTCTCTCCTCCCTTCATGCAATACAGCTTCTTTAATAAACTCTGGATGAGAGGAGAAACAGACAAATAAAAGGTAAATATCATTTCCATTCTCAAAAAGGTAAGAAGAAAACAGGGAGAGGAGGTATATTTTTTCTGTAATTTGCAGTAAGGGAAAAATTCCTTGCAAAGAATCAGTGTGGATTGTTAAGCATGCAGTTGTGAAATACAGAAAAATGTATATACAATATGTCATTATTTACCACCATTACTTTCGTAAAAGAAAATATAGAGAAGTACTGTATTGCAAAAATACAAAGACAACAACAGAAAATCAACTCCTCATATTCAGAATAAGGGAAAAAACGTTTCTAAGACAATCTCCTGTGGAAAAGTTCTGGGACAGTTTTCTCCAAGTGGCTTCTACCCCAAAGTCCCTCCAGCAAAACTTAAGGGTCTCCACACTCACAAGGATGACCAGTCCCAAAACATACATCATCTCTTCCCACTTCCCCTAACCCCTCTCCAACATGTTCTGAATTAGATTTACCCCAATAACTTTGACTTTTGCCTGTAGACGTTTCTTCAGGCTATCCTGCCCCTGGTTGGTGGGTTCGGGTTTCTCTGCTTGGGAGAAGTTGATGACATTTGATGGGAGCATTATGATGGTCTCATTGGAAATAGGTTGTGATGTCATAATGGTGTTGCCAACTACGGAAGAAAAAATAGATTTAGCTCTTAAAAGTACAGAGCTCCCAAGTTCTGGCTGCAAAACTGGTAAGTCAGTTTCTGCCAATTAGTCCAGACTTGGCCTGTGTGTTAGAGAAAGAAACTGATATTATGGAGCAGTGAAAGCCACACAACCTTGGTATCATGAGGATTTTTCCATAATGTTTGACACAGTCCATTATAGATAATAAACACATCACAGGGTGGCAGCAGCATGAATCTTGAGAGGTCCCAATATCCAGAGGCAAAGGGTCACACAAAATTTGCAATATGCAGCAATGTCCCTTTGCCCAGTCCTACTGACAACAACTGTATTGCCATATATTTGATGAATTTTTTAGACAAATGCACTCTAATCATTTATTTTTTGTCTATTAGCATGCATCTTAGATATGTTTATCATATTTTACTAGACATGCTCTTAGTTTTTATCCTGCAGTGCTTTTAATATTTGAAAAATACACCCAACCTCCTCCAGTCATTACAGAGTGGCTTCATACATTGGAAGACCTTTATTGGTTAGCATAGCTAGAGATTCTAGGGGCCCTTCAAGCTTTTTATGGGCTTGTGTGTGTAATTTCCCAGTTAAAGAGGTTTGCTTGTTTCTTGTCTGGAGCCTGTAACCTCTTTCTCCCCCTGGTGTCCGCCTTCAGTACTACAATCTCCCTAGTGCTGAAACAGGGTGCTTGCCTTTGTTCTCAGAGGCCCCCAACATGGCATCCAAACTCTGCACTCTGAGTCATGTAAGACAGAAACCAGTGCCTTGGGCAACCCCGCTGGAAACCCAGAATGCTGGACTCATGGCCCACTCCTGTTGCTTCCCTAAGGGAGAAGCTGGGACTTCAGGGTTTTCTCCAGATCGAGTCTCACTGTATCAGGGTGAAAGAGGCCAGGACGAGTAAAATGCCACGACTTTTTCTACTCATTTTGATGCGTCTTTTCCTGGCTCTGCACTCACCTGAAGTGCTCCCAAGTTCCCGTGGCAGAGCTCAGAAACAGATATTTATGTTTGACAACAAAGGAGTTGGAGATAAATTTTGGTGTTTCTCTAACAATATATACAACTCTCTGTGCACATTCTCCATAAAATATCTCTTGTTCCTGCAGGTCCATGGGCAAAACTGTCTCCCTGGCATTTCTAGTTCTAGGGATCCCTCCTTAGAGAATAAGAAGGCCTTAACTCTTTGGACCCAAAACAACTATCCGAGTTTTTGTTTCTCAGCTAGCCCTGTTTCCCAGGTCCCATCTGCATCTCAGCTTTCATCTCCCACTCTCCAACCCTCTCCTTCAGGACCAGGGGAATCTTCTATTCCCTAAGGACATGTGTCCTTCTCTTATTTATCGTGTTTCCCCCTCCATTCCATGATACCTCTCATACCCTGTACTCTAGGAACTCTTCTCTTTTGATATATCTTTCTAAAGCATGTATCATAAACTTTTTAGTGAGATATTGTTCTTTGGATTGCTGGAAAACAAAAGCTAGAAACTAGTAAGCAAAATCTCCTTTTCCTTCCTCCATTACTATATTCCTCTAACTCCTCCACTTATCTCTCCCTTTGCATATATTATCTTAAGAAAAGTACTAAGAAAGTCTTAAATGCTTGGGATAGAAAGAAAAAAATTCATGTGTTTGCAAGACTTTTAATCTTTCTTGTAATCTGCATTGGATACATTAGTATTGGGCAACAGGAAGTCCTCAGTTGAAAACACAGCCTGGTAACTATTCCAGCATTCAAGGGATCCAGAGAAGGAAGGGCTAATGTTCAGCATAAGCTATTTCACAAAAGTGACTGTGATTTCTCATATGTAAGTGAGAAGTTTCTTCCTATAATGAAGGAAAAGAGGGAAGTGTGAAGGAAAGAAAGGAAGAAACATTTTCCTCAAAGTGACAATTAAGCAAAATGAAGCGTGTGGGCTCTTTGTGAGGAGGAGGAATCAACAGCTAGAAAGAGTCATCTGGTTCTGACTGATTTATGCGGGCATGCGGGTGTTTTAACAAGATAAAATCTTATTTGTTATATACATAGTAGCCTCGGATCAATTGCTTTCTCTTTGTGTCTTACATATATTATTTGGTATATTTGTTTTATGGTTTATATCTGAAAATGTCTTGAAATATCTCTGTCCAAATTATGATTTTGGGTCAACTAATAAAGAGCAGTTTTATGGTTTTGACAAGGTTGATGGTTCTCTGAATCAGTTAATATTTGCACTTAGCACCTCAGCTACATGGGGAAACATTGACTTAAACCATGCCATGTCAAACTGACATAAGATCAAATAAGAGAAGGACAGATGTCCTTAGGGAATAGAAGATTCCCCTGGTCGTGAAGGAGAGAGTTGGAGAGTGGGAAATGAAAGCTGAGATGCAGATGGGACCTGGGAAACAGGACTAGCTGAGAAACAAAAACTCAGATAGTTGTTTTGGGTCCAAAGAGTTAAGGCCTTCTTATTCTCTAACTTCCTCATGAATAATGAGCATTGACACATAATTAGGATCAATTTATCTAAGAGTTTACTACAATTATGTGTTCCCAGGAAATGCAAAACTTTTATACCTTGATATCCGAGTTTCCGTCTTTCAGTTGTAACTTGAGTAATAAAGTAGACTAATACATTTAGGCTGAGAATAGAGGATGAGATGACAAATTTAATGGATACTAACACCATTCAGTGAAAATATTTTTTGAAACATAATATTCACTTTGTCTTAAAAGCATAAGACTACTGATTCCTTTTTAGTTATGAAGTTAAAAATATACCTTTAAAATGAAAATAGCATGTGAATACCACCTGTCTTTGTCTGTTCAGACTGTTATAACAAAAATACCATAATCTAGGTGGCTGAAAAAACAAACATTTATTTCTCACGATTTTGGAGGCCAGGACATCTGACGTCAAATTGCTGGCATATCCTCAAGTGTGATGAAGGCCAACTTTCTGGTTCAAGGATGTCTGTCTTCTTGCTGTGTCCTCTCATGGTCGAAAGGAGCAAGAGAGCTCTGTGGGGTCTCTTTTATAAGAGCACCAATCCCATTCATGAGGACTCCACCTTTGTTACCTTATCGCCTTGCAAAGGCCCCACTTTTTAATACCATCACTTTAGGGGTTAGAATTTTAACATATGAATTTCGGGAAGACATAAACATTCAACTGATAACACCACCCGAATCAATTGATTAAAGTAACCACCACCAAAATTGAAATAAACTGTTATTATGTTCATCCTTATGTGATGCAATGAAAAGTTGGTAAGTCACATCATCTATGTTGTGTTTTTATTAAAATTATTAACTTGAACTCATGGAAAACAAGAAGAAATGTCCAAGATATGGGGCATTATATGAAACAAATGCTCCAGACTAAAAAAACAAAAACAAAAGTCAGTGTCATAAAAGACTAAAATAAATGCAAAATCAAACAAACAAAAAATGGTGAGAAACTGCTCTATGAGTAGATTATGAAAGACTCAAAGGACAAGAGAACCAAATGTATGAGTGAACCATAATTTATGTGTTTATTTATATATAAACACATAAGCCCCTCCATTATCCTCATATTTTTATAATTAGGGAATAATGGAGGAAATTGTAATAAGAACTATATATTGGATTATTATTATATTAATAAATTTTGGGATGTAATAATTGTATTAAAGCTATATAGTAGAATATTATTCTTAGGGGACATGTCTTAAGTATTTAGACATTAAGTATCAGGATATCAAGCACTTACATTTTGTAAAATAAATTTCATTGTACATATTTAAAGTATACAACATGATATTATGAGATACATATAGAGAATAAAATGGTTACTACTGACTTCAAACTATATTACAAGGCTACAGTAACCAAAACAGCATGGTACTGGTACCAAAAAAGATATATAGACCAATGGAACAGAACAGAGTCCTCAGAAATAACACCACACATTTACAGCCATCTGATCTTTGACAAACCTGACAAAGACAAGCAATCGGGAAAGTGTTCCATATTTAATAAATGACGTTGGGAAAACTGGCTAGCCATATGCAGAAAACTAAAACTGGGCCACTTCCTTACAGCTTATTCAAAAATTAACTCAAGATGGATTAAAGATTCAAACATAAGACCTAAAACCATAAAAACCATAGAAGAAAACCTAGGCAATACCATTCAGGACATAGGCATAGGCAAAGACTTCATGAATAAAACCAAAAGCAATTGCAACAAAAGCCAAAATTGGCCAGGCGCGGTGGCTTATGCCTGTAATCCCAGCACTTTGGGAGGCCGAGGTGGGCGGATCACGAGGTCAGATCGAGACCATCCTGGCTAACACAGTGAAACCCCGTCTCTACTAAAAATACAAAAGAAATTAGCTGGGCGTGGTGGTGGGTGCCTGTATCCCAGCTACTCGGGAGGCTGAGGCAGGAGAATGGTGTGAACCCGGGAGGCGGAGCTTGCAGTGAGCCGAGATCGCGCCACTGCACTCCAGCCTGGGCAAAAGAGTGAGACTCCGCCTAAAAAAAAAAAAAAAAAAAAAAAAAGAGCCAAAATTAACAAATGGGATCTAATTAAACAAAAGAGCTTCTACACAGCAAAAGAAACTATCATCAGAGTGAACAGGCGACCTACAGAATGGGAGAAAATTTTTGCAATCTATCCATCTGACAAAGGGCTAATATCCAGAATCTACAAGGAACTTAAACAAACTTACAAGAAAAAAACAAACAACCCCATCAAAAAGTGGGTGAAGGAGGCCGGGCGCGGTGGCTCACGCCTGTAATCCCAGCACTTTAGGAGGCCAAGACGGATGGATCATGAGGTCAGGAGATCAAAACCAGCCTGGCTAACACGGTGAAACCCCATCTCTACTAAAAATACAACAAATTAGTCAGGTGTGCTGGTATGCACCTGTAGTCTCAGCTACTCAGGAGGCTGAGGCAGGAGAATCACTTGAACCCAGCAGGCAGAGGTAGCAGTGAGCTGAGATTGTGCCACAGCAGTCCAGCCTGGGTGACTGAACGATATTCTATCTCAAAAAAAAAAAAAAAAAAAGTGGGTGAAGGATATGAACAGACAATTCTCATAAGAAGAAATTTATATGGCTAACAAACATAGGAAAAAAAGCTCATCATCACTGGTAATTAGAGAAATGCAAATCAAAACCACAATAGATACCATCTCATGCCAATTAGAATAGTGATCATTAAAAAGTCAGGAAACAACAGGTGCTGGAGAGGATGTGGAGAAATAGGAATTGTTTTACACTGTTGGTGGGAGTGTAAATTAATTCAACCATTGTGGAAGACAGTGTGGTGATTCCTCAAGGACCTAGAACTTGAAATACCATTTGACCCAGCAATCCCATTACTGGGTATATACTGAAAGGATTATAAATCATTCTGCTATATAGACACATACACACGTATGTTTATCGCAGCACTATTCACAATAGCAAAGACTTCAACCAACCCAAATGCCCATCAATGATAGACTGGATAAAGAAAATGTGGCACATATATACTATGGAATACTATGCAGCCATAAAAAAGAATGAGTTCATGTCCTTTTCAGGGACATGGATAAAGCTGGAAACCATCATTCTCAGCAAACTAACACAGGAACAGAAAACCAAACACTGCATATTCTCACTCATAAGTGGGAATTGAACAACGAGAATATATGGGCACAGGGAGGGGAACATCACACACCAAGGCCTGTCGGGGGGTGGGGGGCAAGGGGAGGGATAGCATTAGGAGAAATACCTAATGTAGACGATGGGTTGATGGGTGCAGCAAACCACCATGGCACGTGTATACCTGTGTAACAAACCTGCACGTTCTGCACATGTATCCCAGAACTTAAAGTATAATAATAAAAATTTAAAAATTAACATATCTATTATTTCAAATAGTCACTCGTTTGTATTTCTATGTGTGGCAAGAGCAGCTAAAATCTAGTCATTTAGCAAAAATGCCAAATACAATACCTTGTTATTAACTATCGTCTTTGTACTGTACATTAGAACTCTAGATTTGCTCATCCTACTTATCTTTCACTTTGTATCTTTTGACCTGCTGCTCTCCCCTACCAGTTTTCTCTCTCTCTCTCTTCTTCTACCCCTGGTAACCACAGTTTCACTCTCTATCTCTCTGAATTCTATATTGTTAGTTGTTTTGTTGTTATTTTAGATTCCACATATAAATGAGATTGTGCAATATGTCTCTGTGTCTGGGTAAGTTTACTTAGCATAAGTTTCTCCAGTATCTTCCATGTTGTGGCAAATGGCAAGATCTCCTTTTTTAAGTCTGAATTATATGAGTGTGTGTGTGTGTGTGTGTGTGTGTGTGTGTATCTCACAGTTTATCCATTCATCTGTCAATAAAAACTTAGCACTTGGCACCTGTAATGGGAATGGGAGCCCCAAAGATCTTCCAAATATCACTGGGATCACCCCTCCACTGTTCTAGTGAATAGTATCTGGCTTCTACCTACACATATATATTTCTTATTTAAACAGTAGCTTGGCCATACCTTTAATTTTCTTTCTTGAACAGCCTTTTATCTTCACATGGCCAGGCTGATAATTTTCTAAATCTTTAAATTTCACTTACTTTTTGATTATACATTTTATCTTTTAATTCATTTCTCTCTTCCCGTATTTTATTATAAGCAGTCAGTTCCCTGAACACTTCACTTAGATATTTATTTCACCAAACATCCTAGTTCATTGCCTTTAAGTTCTGCCTTCCACAAAACCCTGGGACATAGACACAATTCAGCCATATTCTTTGCCACTTGATAACAAGGATGGCCTTTGATCCACTTTTTTTTTTTTTTTTTTTTTTTTGAGATGGAGTCTCACTTTGTCACCCAGGCTGGAGTGTAGTGGTGCGATCTTGGCTCATGGCAACTTCCGCCTCCCAGGTTCAAGCAATTCTACAGCCTCAGCCTCCCGAGTAGCTGGGATTATAGGTGTGCACCACCATGACAGGCTAATTTTTGTATTTTTGGTAGAGACGAGGTTTCACCATATCAGCCAAACTGGTCTTGAACTCCTGACCTCCAGTAATCTGCCCACCTCGGCCTCCCAAAGTGAATGGGATTACAAGCATTGAACCACTGCGCCTGGCCCCCTCCAGTTTTTAATTATTTCTCATTTTCATCTGACACCACATCAGAATGGCACTCACTGCCCACATTTTAATTGATATTGTAATTACAACCACTAAAATAATCTCTAAGACTGAGGTTCTGTCTACAGCTCTCTTCTTCTTAGTCCTTACCAGAATCGTCTGTTAGAGACTAGCCTCTACCCATTACCCAGTTCCAATGCCACTTCCACATTTTTAGGTGTTCGATACAGCAGTACTCCACTTATTGGTACCAGTTTCTTTCTTAGTCCATTTGTGCTGCTATAACAGAATACCACAAACTGGGTAATTATAAAAAATAGAAAATTATTTCTCACAGTTTTGGAACTGAGAAGTCCACGATCAAGGTGCCACAGGTTCAGCATCTACTTAGGGTCACGTTGCTTGCTTCCAAGATGGTATCTTGTTGCTGCATCTTCCAGATAGGACAAACTGTGTCCTCACATGGTGGAATGAATGGAAGGGTGAAATAGTCCAAATGTCTTGTGAAGCCTCTTTTATAAGGACCTTAATTACATCCATGAGGGAGGAGTCATCATGACCTAATTTCCTCTTAAAGGCCCAAACTATTGCATTTGAGATTAAGTTTCAACATGCATTTTGGAAAGGACACAAACATTCAAGGCTTCAAACCATAGAAACCATATATATTTGGGTTTATTTCTGGGCTGTATATTTTTGTCCCACTGGTTTATATGTCTGCTTTTATGCCAGTATTATACTGTTTTGATTACTATAACTTTATAATATACTTTTAAATAAAGAAGCATAATGCTTCCAACTTTGTTCTTGTTTCTCAGAATTACTTTGGCTATTCAGGGTCTTCTGTGATTACACGTGGATTTTAGCATTTCATTTTATATTTCTGTGAAGATGGATTGTGTTGAATCCTTATACTGCTTTTAGTAGCATTGATAAGTATAGGAGGCAGGGAAATTCTGTGCAGAAGAAGGCAGGTCCCCAGCAAGGGCCCCACCGTCAAGCCAAAAAGCCTGATAACTCAGCCCAAAGTGAGAACATACATCCCTGTTTTCCTGCTTGAATGTCGCCTTTTCCAAAACCACCCATATCCTGCCCCACCCTCCATCCTATGCTCATAAACACCCCAGGCTCAGCCAGCAGAGAGAGGAGATGCAGCTGGATGTTGAAGACTATGGTTGTATGGCAGACAGAAGCAGCTTGACATGAGAGGGACAGCTTGATGGTGTAGCATCTAGTCCTCGGCCAGATTCCAGGGGAAGATTACCTTCCCGCTCCATCCATCCCCTTTACATATTCCCTTCCCACTGAAAGCCACTTTCACCAGCACTAAAATCTCTTGCATTTACCATCTTCAGTTCGTTCATGCAACCTCATTCCTCCTGGATGCTGAACAAGAACTTGGGTGCCATGAGTGTAGGTGCAAAACACTGTCACACTGACCCTCCACTGAGCTATTAACACTTAAGCTATCCTTGGATGGCAAAGCTAAAATGGGCAGTGTAACACTTCTTCTGGGTCTTCAGAGATCACGGTCACCCTCTCCCTAGATGCTGCCATGGGACTGGTATGGAGTTTGCTCTTGCCGGCACCCAAAAGTGCTTGCCCTGAGTCCTGCACCTGCTCACCTGTGCTGCCCCTCCAGCAAAGGGTGGAGCAGCAAGTGAGTTAAATTTGCCTCTGCTGGCACTCGTGCAGTGCAGTTCCCACCTGTGTAGGTGTCAGGGAAACTTCAGCATACACATTTTAACAATATTTCTTCTAATGTGTGTACACAGGATATCTGTCCATTTATTTGTGTCTTCAATTTCTTTCATCAATGTTTTATAGTTTTTACTATACAGATCTTTCAATTCCTTGGTTAAAATTATTCCTATATATTTTTGATGCTAATATAAATAAGATTGTTTTCTTTATTTCTTTTCAGCTAAGTTTTTAATTGTGTGCAAACATTTAGCTAATTTTTGTTTGTTGATTTTGTATCCTGCAACTTTAGTCAATTAATTTATTATTTCTAACAGTGCTAGTGGGTGGAGGGTGGTTTTTGAGGTTTTCTACATATAGGATCATGCCATAGGCAAATAGAAATAATTTTACTTCTTTTCTGATTTGGATAGCTTTTAATTTTTCTCTTTTCTGATTACATTGACTAGAATTTCTAATACAATATTGAATAGAAATGGTGAAAGTGGTTATGCTTGCCCTGAACTAAATATTAGAGAAAAATATTTCAGTTTTTCTATATTAATTATAATGATAGCTGTGGGTTTTTATAAATAGTCTTTACTATATTGAGGAACTTTCTTTTTATACATAAACTGTTGAGTATTTTTAACAAGAAAGGATGTTGAACTTTGTCAAATGCTTTTTCAGTATCTGTTGTAATGATCATGTGGTTTTGTCTTTCATTCTGTTAATGTGATGTATCACACTGATTGATTTGCATACATTAAACCAGCTCTGCATGCCAGGGATAAATCCTACTTGGTCATGATATATAACATTTTTGATGTGTTGTTGAATTTAGTTTTCTAATATTTTGAGGATTTCTGCATCAATATTCTTCAGAAATACTGGTCTCAACTTTCATTTTTTATGGTGTCTTTGTCTAGTTTGGAATAGTTTAAGAAGTATTAACTCTTTATTTATTTATTTATTTATTTATTTATTTATTTATTTAGAATTTAGCAATAAAGCCATCTGGTCCTGAGATTTTCTTTGTTGAGAAATTTTAAATTACTACTTCCATCTTTTTATTTGTTATCAGTCTGCACAGTCTTTCTATTTCTTCCTCATTCTATCTTGGTAGATCGTATGTTCCAAAGATTTATCAATTTCCACTAGGTTATCTCATTATTGGCCTTTAATTATTCGTTATAGTCCCTTATTATCCTTTTTATTTCTGAGGCATCTGTTGTAATGTCTCTACCTTCATTTCCGATTTTATTTATTTGAGTGTTCTCTCTTTTATTAGTTCTGCTAAAGATTTGTCAGTTGTGTTTATTTTTTAAAAATCAAATCCTAGTTTACTAATTTTTTCTTTGTATTTTTTAATCATCACTTTATTTCTCATCTTTGTTTTCTCTTTTTTTTCCTGCTAACATTGTGTTCATTTTGACCTTTTTAAATCTGTTTTCCTGAGGTGTAATGTTAGACTATTTATTTTGAATCTTTCTTTTTTAAATACTGGCATTTATTGCTATAAAATTTCCTCTTAGAACTTTCTTTTTTTTTTGCATTCCATAGGTTTTATTGTGTTTTCATTGCCATTAATCTCAAGATATTTTTAAATTTCTCTTTTAATTTCTTCTTTGGTTGTTCAGGAGCATGTTGTTTAATTTCTACATATTTGTGAATTTGTGGAGGAGGAATATTCCTCCAGTTATTGATTTCTAGTTAAGTATCGGTATAGTCAGAAATTATACTTGATAGAATTTCAATCTTTTTAATGATTAACACTTATTTTGTGGCCTAACATATAATCTATCTTAGTGAATGTTTCATATGCACCAGAAAAGAATGAATATTCTGTTGCTTTAGGATGGAATGTTCTATATATGTCCATTAGGTCCATTTGGTGGACAATTCAAGTTCAGAATTTCCTGATTAATTTTCTGTCTGGTTAATCTATTTTTAAGGTATTGAAGATGCCTATATTATTGTATCGCTATCTGTTTCTCCCTTCATGTCCATTAATATGTGCTTTATATATTTAGTTGCTCCAAAGTTTGGTGCATATATATTTATAATTGTTATGTCCTCCTGATTAACTGAACTCTTCATCACTAAATAATAACATTCTTTGTCTTGTGACAATTTTTGACATAAAGTCTATTTTATCTGATAAAAGCATAACCACCTCTGACCTCCTTTGGTTTCTATTTGCATAAAATATCTTTTTCCATTCCTCCACTTTTAGCCTTGTGTGTCTTTAAAGCTAAAGTAGGTCTCTTGCCAGAAACACATACTTGGATCTTGTTTCTTATTGATTCAGCCACGCTGACTTTCAATTGAAAAATTTAATTTACTTAAATTCAAGGATATTAGTGATAAACAAAGACTTGTGATTGTCATATTGCTAATTGTTTTCTGGTTCTTTTGCAAATCCAATTGTCTTTTCTTCCTCTCTTGTCTGCCTTTGTTATTTGGTTATTTTCTTTAGTACTAAGGTTTGATTCTTTTTTATTTCTTTCTGTTTTTTATTATACTTTAAGTTCTGGGATACATGTGCAGAACGTGCAGGTTTGTTACATAGGTATACACATGCCATGGTGGTTTGCTGCACCCTTCAACTCGTCATCTACATTAGGTATTTCTCATAATGCTATCCTTCCCCTAGCCCCCCACCCCCAAACAGGCCCTGGTGTGTGATGTTCTGAACATGCAGTGTTTGGTTTTCTGTTCCTGTGTTAGTTTGCTGAGAATGATGATTTCCAGCTTTATCGTCCTTGCATAGGATATGAACTAATCCTTTTTTATGGCTGCATAGTATTCCATGGTGTGTATGTGTCACATTTTTTTTTATCCAGTCTATTATTGATGGTCATTTGGGTTGGTTCCAAGTCTTTGCTATTGTGAATAGTGCTGCAATAAACATATGTGTGCATGTGTCTTTATAGTAGAATAATTTATAATCGTTTGGGTATATACCCAGTAATGGATTGCTGGGTCAAATGGTATTTCTGGTTCTAGATCCTTGAGGAATCATCACGTTGTCTTTCACAATGGTTTTCTCTGTATCATTTGTGTATCTTCAATAGCTTTGTGTTTTGTAGTTACCATAATCTTACATAAAACATCTTAAAGCTGGAATACTTTATTTTAAGCTACAATATAGTTTCGGTGTGTTCCCACCCAAGTCTCATCTTGAATTGTAGCTCCCATAATTCCCACGTGTTGTGGAAGGGAACTGGTGAGAGATAATTGAATCATTGGGGCAGTTTCTCTTATATTATTCTCATGGTAGTAAATAAGTCTCACAAGATCTGATGGTTTTATAAGGGGTTTCCCCTTTCACTGGGCTCTCATTCTTTCTTGCCTGATACCATGTAAGACATGATTTTCACCTTCCACCATGATTGTGAGGCTTTCACAGCTAGTTCTCCCAGCATTTATTTATTAAACAGGGAATCATTTCCCCATTGCTTGTTTTTGTCAAGTTTGTCAAAGATCAGATGGTTGTAGGTGTGAGGGCTTATTTCTGAGTTCTCCATTCTGTTCCATTCATCTGTGTTCCTGTTTTCATATCAGTATCATGCGTTTTTGGTTACTGAAGCCTTGTAGTATAGTTTGAAGTCAGGTAGCATGATGCCTCCAGCTGTGTTCTTTTTGCTTAGGATTGTCTTGGCCATACAGGCTCTTTTTTATTCCATATGAATTTTAAAATAGTTTTTTCTAAATATGTGAAGAATGTCAATGGTAATTTGATGGAAATAGCATTGACTCTATAAATTACTTTGGGTAGTATGGTAATTTTCATGATATTGATTCTTCCTATCCATGAGCATGGAATGTTTTTCCGTTTGTTTGGCTTCTCACAGATTTTCTTGAGCAGTGGCTTGTAGTTCTCCTTGAAGAAGTCCTTTACTTCCCTTGTTAGCTGTATTCCTAGGTACTTTATTCCTTTTGTAGCAATTGTAAATGGGAGTTCATTCATGATTTGGCTGTCTGCCTGTCTATTGTTGTTGTATAGGGATGCTGTTGATTTTTGCCATTGATTTTGCATCCTGAGACTTTGCTGAAGTTGCTTATCAGCTTAAGAAGCTTTTGGATGACCATTTCTTATACCTTATACAAATATTAACTCAAGAAGAATTAAAGACTTAAATATAAAACTGAAAACTACAAAAACCCTCGAAGAAAATCTAGGCAATACCATTCAGGACATAGGCATGGGCAAAGATATCATGACAAAAATGTCCAAAGCAATTGCAACAAAAGCAAAAACTGACAAATGGGATCTAATTAAACTAAAGATTTTCTGCACAGCAGAAGAAACTATCATCAGAGTGAACAGACAACCTACAGAATGGGAGATAATTTTTGCAACTATCTATCTGACTAAGATCTAATATCCAGTGTCTATAAGGAACTTACACAAATTTACAAGAAAAAAAACCAAACAACCCCATTAAAAAGTGGACAAAGGGCACAAACAGACACTTCTCAAAAGAAGACATCTATGCAGGCAACAAATGTATGAAAAAAAGCTAAACTTCACTGATCATTAGAGAAATGCAAATCAAAGCCACAGTGAGATACCATCTCACACCAGTCAGAATGGTGATTATTAAAAAGTCAAGAAACAACAGATGCTGGCAATGCTGCAGAGAGATAGGAATGCTTTTACACTGTTGGTAGAAATGTAAATTAGTTCAATCATTTTGAAAGACAGTGTGGTGATTTCTCAAAGACCTAGAACAAGAAATGCCACTTGATCCAGTAATCCTATTACTGGGTAAACACCCAAAGGAATGTAAATCATTCTATTTTAAAAACACATACAAGCTTATGTTCATTGCAGCACTATTCACAATAACAAAGACATGTAATCAACCCAAATACCCATCAATGATAGACTGGATAAAGGCAATGTAGTACATATACACCATAGAATACAATGTAGCCATAAAAAGGAATGAGATCATGTCCTTTGCAGGATATGAATAGAGCTGGAAGCCATTATCCTTAGCAAACTAATGAAGGAACAGAAAACCAAACATTGCAGCATGTTCTCACTCATAAGTAGGAACTGAACAATGAGAAAATACGGACCCAGGGAGGGGAACAACACACACTGGGGTCTACTGGTGGGCATAGGGGGGTGGGGGAAGGGAGAACATCAGGAAAAATAGCTAATGCATGTGGGGCTTAATACTTAGTTGATGGGTTGATAGGTGCAGCAAACCACCATGTCACACATTTACCTATGTGACAAACCTGCACATGTACCCTGGGACCAAAAAAAAAAAAAAAAGATTGCCATGTTGGGTAAAATATTCTTTGCTGGCAAGTCTTGGTTTTTCTTCAATTTCTTTTTATATAGCGTCCCATTCTCCCCGACCCTGCAACTTTCTATTAAAAAATCCTCTGATAGCATAATAGAAATCCCCTTGTATTTAAAAATCTCACTTTTTTCTTGCTACTTTCAAAATTCTCTTTGACATTGACTTTTGACAATTTGATTATAATGTGAGAACCTATAAGATTTAAACCTTATTGGTCATCTTTGAGCTTCATGGATCTGGATGTCTATATCTCTTCCAAGAGCTATGAAGTTTTCAGCAGTTATTTCATTAAGTACGCTTTTTGGTCCTTTCTCTGTTTTATCTCCTTTTGGAACTTTCATAATGCAAAAATTTATTTGATTAATAGTGTCTCATCGGTCCTGTAGGTTTTCTTCACTTTTTTTCACTGCTTTTTCCTTTTTTCCCCTTTGCCTGGGTAATTTTAAATGACCTCCTTTTAAGTTACTGGATTCTTTTTTCTGTTTGATCTAATCTCCTTTCAAGTTCTATTGTATTTTTTATTTTACTCATTGAATTCTTCAGCTTCATGATTTCTGTTTAATTATTTTCAATGATTTCTATTTCTGAATCTCATTCATATAATATTTTTTTCTGATTTTGTTGAATTGCCTATATATATTCTCTTGTATCTTACTGAGTTTTCTTAGATTGTTAATTTGAATTTCTTTCCAGGCAATTTGTATATTTCCATTTCATTGAGGCCAGTTGCTTGAGAATTATTGTATTTCTTTGGTGGTTTTATATTTTCTTGCCTTTTCACATTTCTTGGATGCCGGTGGTCATGTCGATACATCTGATGGAGCAATCACCTCTTTCAAACTTTACAGGTTCGATTTTATAGGGATAGACTCACTTGCAAATGCGTCCCAGGCTGCCAGTTGGGCAGGATGTGGTGGCTCTGGTTCCAGTTGTGCACAGGGGTGCAGGCATCATGCAGCTTCTTCATCTGTGATCCATGTCAGTGATGACTGCAGGTGTCAAAGTGGCCTAAGCTTCAGGAGTTGGTGGCAGCTATGGTGACAGCATTGGTTATTTGGGTCCTCAGTGACAAGGCTTTTGGTGTCCTCTTTTACTCATTTTCCTCACACTAGAGAATCTTAGCTGAGGGGATCTCTTTCAGTATTGGGTCTAACACAGCCCACAGGTGGCCACACAGCTTTGGGATATGAGGTACAGCCTCTTAGAGTGGCTTTGGAGCCAGGGTCCTGGACCCATAGTCTATGAATGTACTTCCACCTAAGTCTTGGGGCACTGGTTCACTCTCCAGGTCATGGTGAATGTAGATTACCCACAAAGCTGAGGTCTGTGACTCTGGAGTACCGCAGCAGCTCAGGCGCAAGAGCCAGGGATGGAGCTATGACTGTGACTTTCGGGGGTAGAATGAAGTATCACCATACTTCTGGAGGATGATGGGTGGTCCAGAGGCTCAGGCCCTGGATAACAGGAGGATGTATCTGCAATTCAGGTCCTGGAGTCAACAATGTGCAATACCAACTCAGACCTCATGGGATGAGGCACCATTTAATTATGACTCTGTACTCTGGGTTTATGGAACATGGCAGTAGCCCAGGCTCAGTGAAGGGAAGTGCAGTGGCAGCAAAGATACAAGAATGGTGAGATGCAACTGTGGCTTGGGTCCTGGTAGGCAGAGAGTAGTGCAGCAATGGCTGCATTCCCTAGGAGGCAGCATACCTCAGCAGCTCAAATTCCAAGTGACTAGTTCCAGGGAGGCAGAGAACTGTAGATATTTGGCCGTTTGTGTGGGGTGGCATAGCTCAGTGAAGGTTTTGGTTTCCTAGGAGGTGAGGCACCACATCAGCTTAGGCCTTGCAGGCATGGCTGCTTGAAATGACTAATATTCTATTTCTTCTGAAAGGAGGGCGTTGCATTAGCTCAGGTGTCAGGAGGCATGACTGTTTGGCTAGGTCAAGACAGTAGTAACCCAGAAGTGGGACACTGCATTAGCTCAGGCCCTGAGAGGTGGGACTGCTTGACTCAACCATGATTTTATTTCCCATAGAAGCCACTGTTTCAGCTCAAGTACCCTCTGTGGCTATTTGGCTTGGCTAAAATGTTGTGTTTCCAGGACACAAAATGTAGCCATCTGGATTTCTGTGCTCTATAGGATTTTTGCTATTGTTTTGCTTTACTCCTGGGCTTTTCTTTGGTTTTTTTTTTCAAAATGTAGTCGTTTTTTCATTGTTTTGGTTAATAGTGGTAGGGATGAGCACTAAGAACTTCTTTTGGTCATCTTGCTGATGTCGCTGCACTTACTTTCAAAATGTCAGGAATATATGCATGTGGGCTGTGTGTGTGTGTGTTTGTGTGTGTATGTATGTTTAGCAAAACAAAATATTATCTACATATGATAATGTCCATCTAATAAACACCACTAGAGACAAACATGTAGTCGAACACAATAGATTTCTTGACTTGTTTTCATAAGTGATAATGCACCCTAGGAGAACCAAGAGGCATCTAATCAACCAAAAGAAGAGATGAAGTTATTTCATGATTTGGGAGAAGGGTGGAGTTTGGGTAACATTAAATTTGTAGTGTTTTATTGGCTCCAAGAAAAGCAGACCTGTCTATAAAGGGCTTAACAGCAAGCCTCATACAGAGTCCTGTTTCCTTGGAACTACAAAGTAAAGAAAAAACTGTGTAATGTTGAATTTTGAAATCTATCATGTAAAGCTCTGCATTGGAAGTTTCTCTCTTTCCTTCCTTCTTTCTTTCCTTCTCTTCTCTTCTCTTTCTTTCTCTTTCTTTCTTTCTCCTTTCTTTCTTTTCTTCTTTCTTTCTTTCTTTCTCTTGAAATGAAAACTTGAATGCTGGCATAATGTTTTATTTTCCCCTGCATAGATAGCATGGCAAAAATGATTAATGCATAGATAAATCTCTATATATACTACACATAAATAAATGTCTTCATGTATAATCTATTTACATAAGAATGTGGAAAACCTTTTTCTAAATTAATTTTCATTGTGTTAGCCTGGGTTCACTAGAAAACAGAGCCTGAGACAGGGATTTAGTGCCAGTGTTTTTGTTGGGAGAACACATAAAGTACATAAATCATAAATGTCCAGCTCGATAAATTATCAAAAAATAAAGACACATGTGTTCTTACCTCCCAATTAAAAATTAGAAAATAGCTTGTATGAAGAAGGTACAGAGCCCTTTTGCTCCTTTCCAGCCAATACACCCCCAAGAGTAATTACTGTCTCTGTTTGTAATGCCCATGATTAGTTTTGTTGGTTTTGGCGTTTTAATTAATGGAATCATATGGCATGTATTTTCGTGTGTGTCTGACTTCTCTTCAGTATTATTGTATTACATTGCTGGGCAACACACAACCAAAAAACTCAGGGATTAAATTAAATCTGTATTATTCCTCTTAAGTTTGTAGGTCAGTGAGGTTTCATTATGGTGAAAAGAGGCTAACAATAAGGAAAAAAAATAAAGTTTAGGGACTATGCCAACTTTTCATTTTCACTATTAACTCAAAACTCACACTGAATGTGCTAAAACTGCCTCCTAAATGGCAACTCTAGAATGAAACTAGAATGTCAGCTCCATGAGGTCACAGATAGCCCAATTAGTTCACTCTATACTTCCAGTAGTGCCTGGAATATAGTAGATGTCAGCTCAAGCACCCTCTGTCTGGGTTCACTAGAAAACAGGATCTGAGACAGGGATTTACTGCCAATGTTTTAGTTGGAAGAGCACATAAAGGACATAAATCATAAATGTACAGCTCAATGAATTATCAAAAAGTAAAGACATGTGTGTTCCTATTTCCTAATTAAAAATTGGAAAATAGCAAGTACTAAGAAGGTATATAGCCCCTTTGCTCCCTTCCAGCCACTATACCCCAAAAGTAATCACCATCTCGACCTCTAATACCTGTGATTAGTTTCACTGGCATGATCTTTTAATTAATGAAATCATATGGCATGCATTTTTTGTAAGTTTGACTTCTCTTCAGTTTTGTGTTATTTTGCTAAGTAACACACAACCAAAAAACTCAGAGATTAAATTAAATATGTATATTTCCTCTCAAGTTTGCAAGTCAGTGAGGTTTCAGTATGATGAGAAGAGGCTAATGATAAAAAAATTAAAGTTTAGAAACTATGCCAAGTTTTCATTTTCACTTTTAACTGAGAACTCGCATTGAATGTGCTAAAACTGCCTTCTAAAGGATAACTGTAGAACGAAACTAGAATGTCAGCTCCATGAGGTCATAGACAGTTCAGTTAGTTCACTCTATATTCCCAGTAGTACCTGGAATGTAGTAGATGCTCAATAAATATTTGTTGAATGAAGATATTGTGAGATAGAGTTAATTTACAGAGGTACTTAAGAGCTCTGTCTTAATCCTGGGGATGCCTGAATGTATGAATTTTGGCTCTTGGTCAAGATAAGACCATTAGAATTTATAATATGCAGTTTAGAATAATTTTAAACTCTCTTGGCAAGCCCCAAGGTCAGTTTCTTTGCTAATGACTTGCAACTAGCCTAATGAGTTTGACAAGCTTGACTACTACTTAATGGGATATAGAGAGTTTCTTGCATAGATCTGGGCAGTTCAAGTCAGAAACTGGCATGGTTCATGTGTCTGGTTAGGTCTATGGGGAGCTTGTACTATCTGGAATGTCTTGTACTGCTTGGAATGTCTCCAGTGCTTGCCCTCTCTCTCTTGCTGCATTGTACTCTCTGCCTTTAGATAAAAGCCTTATGTGAGTACCTTCTGTGGTATTTGTTAAGTCCTTTCAAATATCTGCCTGTGGAAAATAATAGACTCTGACTTGGGCAATACAATTGGGAAAAGAGAATATATCAGATTTACAAAGACTTCGAACTGATTTTCTTCTTAAATCAAATATCTTTTATATAGAAAAATAAAAAGGGAAATATAAGCCCTCCGTTTTCTAGGTCAGCTAAAACAAATTTATGCATATGATACATTTCTAAGAAAAATTTGCAGAATTTGCAGGCTAATTTCTGTTCCAAAATAAATTAAATCAAAATATTGAAATAATAACAACCAAATACTAAATAACTAAATTTTCTAATCCAGATTCTGGGAAAGATAATCTTTGTCAGCAAAACAAATAAAGACTCATATGTTACATGTAGATGTTGCCAGAGTTTTATAATGTATGAGAAAAAGTATATGCATATATGGATATGAAATATATATAAATTTATATGTAATATGCAAGTTATTTAAATATATTTTCAAATAATATACAAACATATATATTCCATACACATGTGTGTTTGTGTATATATATTTGCATATATGTCATTTAGGCCATTTAGCAACCCTGTTATGGGCACAGTTTCTGTGGCTTCAGAGTTAGAGGTAAAACGGGAATGCTTTCAGTATTCTCTAAATATGGGAGAGAATACTAAGTAGAAAAAAAACAAGACAAAAGAATCAGTTACTGAAAGTAATTGACAAGGGTTGAAGCATTTTGCTGCTGGCTTAAGGGGAAAAGAACCCCCCTAGATGATAGCTGGCTTATACAGCACTGTGAGGTTCCTGAGCCCCATCCAGACTGTGACTCTCCTCCTTTTGATGTCCAGCCCCTCCTGGCCAAGCTGAAAGCATGCATTCAAGAGATGGGAGCAAGTTACAGGCTATATCTGGTTAAGCTGTACCTGGAGTCTGAGAAGGATTAAAACAAGCGGTCTTGACCTTTTATTAAAAGAAAAATACCACCTTTTGCTGAAATTGATGATAGAAAGATCCAGAGGGGAAACCACAAAGAACTTTCTGAACTGCTTCCTCTGCTGGAAAGAGTGTACTTATTGAAGACAAATTTTTTTTAAATCTAGTGTTATCAGCCTCACACAGTTACTCGAAAGTACTTAAGTTCCTGGGAATCATATGAGCAGTAGCAATCTGAACAAACCTTAGTCAGTAAAAAAACAAATTGCTGATCTTGAGGAGATTCAAACAGGAAAACAAATGCATCATCAGCTCTGTTCAAACCATATCTCAAATTTAGTTGTTTTTTGTTTTTCTATCCACCAGGCAATCAAAAGGAAGTTACTTTACACATCATTTCTGTGTTTTCCTACAGTAAACTCAAAATTCAAACTGAGAGACATATTTTAATAAATTCAAAGATTTAAATATTTTCCCTGGAATTTGTATAGCTTTGTCTCATTGTGTTTCCTATATTTATGTTGTGTGAAAACAAAACTTTTGAGTGTATATTAAAACTGTCTGGATATTACTATATAAAACATTGCAAAATAACACAAATTAATTTAAATAAAAAATAATTGCAACATGCTAGTGTCTTTTAATAGTTGCTTCTTATGAAACCCAATTAAGGTGACTAAAATATCAGCATATGAAAAGGACAATACTTCAATTTTCTGCTTGAATATTTTAAATTATAAGTATTAATTTTATTAAGTTACATATGTTGACATGCTTAAATCGATTTTAAATATAAACAAATGAAATAAAAATGCTAACATCTGTGTTCATGAGCTTTTTTTTTGAGATGGAGTCTCACTCTGTGGCCCAGGCTGGAATGCAGTGGCATAATCTTGGCTCGCTACAACCTCCTCCTCCCGGGTTCAAGCAATTCTCCTGCCAAGCCTCCCAAGTAGCTGGGATTACAGGCGCGCACCACCATGCTCAACTAAGTTTTGTATTTTTTAGTAGAGACGAGGTTTCACCATGTTGGTCAGGCTGGTCTTGAACTCCTGACCTGAAGTGATCCGCCCCCCTCGACTTCCCAAAGTGCTGGAATTACAGGCGTGAGCCACCATGCCCAGCCTATGATCATCTTTTTAAAGTTGAAACTCAGCTCTTCCAATTATGATAGAACCAGACTTAATCTTCCACTCTGGTCAGTTAGAAAACTGCGCTGGTCACAGTGGCCCATACCTTTGATCCCAGCACTTTGGGAGGCTGAAGTTGGAGAATCCCTTGAGCTCAGTATTTTGAGGCTGCAGTGAGCTATGATTGCACCATTGCACTCAAACCTGGGTGTTAGAGTTAGAGCTTGTCTCAAAAATTTTTTTATATCATAAATAAAACCGGAAAAAAATTAAGCACAACTGCTTCCAGACATTGGGAAACAGTGCCGGACTTTCAACACTGAAAAAATGAAAACAAATGTGAATATAATAATTGCTCTGGTTTTCTGCATGAAGAAACTTTCCAGACCATGGTCAGGGAGAGGGATCCATTCTGATATTGCCAAATTCAGAAGACAAAAACCAGAATTTGAGGGCAGTGAGACAGCTATAATTAGTGAGAAGAGAACCATAAAGGGGATAGCTATGCAGAGACAGAGGTCCAGAAATCTGCAGGGAAGTATTCTAAATTTGTTTTCTAACACTAAGCTGTGCATTTACGGAGTTCAAGACTAGCCTGGTTAACATGGTGAAACCCCATCTCTACTAAAAGAATGCAAAAAATTAGCCTAGCGTGGTGGCGTGTGCCTGTAATCCCAGGTACCTGGAGGCTGAGGTGAGAGAATCACTTGAACCCAGGAGGTGTAGGGGTTGTAGTAAGCCAAGATTACACCATTGCGCTACAGCCTGGGTGACAGAGCGAGACTCCATCTCAAAAAAATATAAATAAATAAAAATAATAAATAAATAAAGGAAAAGGTATATTCTGTTAATGGATTAGAAAACTCAATATTGTTAAGTTGGCAATTTTCCCTTATAGACCTATAGACTCAATACCTTCTTAATCAAAATCCAAGAAGGTCTTTTTGGATTGCATAAAGTTGACGAAGTAATTCCAAAATGTACATGAAATAATTAAAGACTTTGACTAAATCAATTTTGTTAATGAAGAAAAATAATATGAGACATATGCTACCTGATTTCAAGACCTACCATAAAGCTATCATACATTTTAATGATGAAGATTCATAATAAGATACAAAATGAAGATACAGGAAATTTCTAGTCAAGTATTAAGATAAAATGCATCTATTACTTCAGCAGCCACAGCAGTGGGCTTCAACTCTTTATTTCCTTCCTTCTGGTTTAATTCATGTTTTTATTAAAGATAAAAGTATGTCTCTCTTGAAATCCTTTCCATAGAGTATTGCAAGTTTATGGGATCAGGACTCAGAATCAGGAAAAGTAAGAGTTGTGGAAAATGGCAAATTTTAAAAATAGTTAATTTAAGATAAACTACAGATTTCTAATGGTCAGTGGGAACACCCGAGATGATTCTTCCCCAAATTGTTCCATGCTCTATAATCCAATTTACTGAGTAATGTAAGTGTAACACATCACTGTTAGAACTGTTGATTTGCCTCTAACTTTGCATACAGTATTATCATTTTACAACCTCAAATGTAAAAATACCTATTATAACTGTTATAACAATGAGCCCTTTGAGACTTCTCTTACATTTACGAGTGGGTTTAATTTGATTTTATAAATATAAATTACTTTTAATAGTTGGATGCATGTTTTCTCAATAGATAGCAGTTTTTGTAGCAATGCTGATTATAGTACACTTACCAGTTGCTTATTATTGATCGCCCGTTTCTTTATCATTGACTGAAAAAATACACAAGCCTCAATATTCTTTAATCTTTAATTATCCTTACTTTTCTTATAATCTTTGATATTTAGGACTGGTAGAGAAGAGAAATTAGATTTTAGAGGAGAAAGGGGACAGAAATATTTGATAACACAAATTTAACTTAGCGTGAAGCCTTCATTTTGCCTCAGTGAGTCTAAGACAAAAAAAAAACCCAAAAATACTGGATTCAAATTTTTTAAAAAAATCATTTTTAGTCACAGATATCTTGCATCTACCTGAAGAGCTTGGACTACTTATAGTTAGAAGTTATCAATAATATCACTTTATATACTCAAGACCTTATAACTTTTTTTTTCCAATTATTTACAAGGCGAAGTGCGGTCCCAAGATGCTTCCCTCAATGATGAGTTCAACTTTAACCATACCATCCCAACCGTATCAACCACTACTAAGGCAATTCTTGGCCCAACTTCAACCCAGCAGGGGAGCCTCTTGCAATCATTAAGCAGACAGGGAATCAAACTGGGCAACATGGTGAAACACTGTCTCTACAAAAAATAGAAAAAGTAGCTGGGTGTGGTGGTGCACACCTGTAGTCCCATTTACTTAGGAGGCTGAGGTGGGAGGATGGCTTAAGTCCAGGAGGCAGAGGTTCTAATGCACTCCAGCCTGTGCAACAGAGCCAGACCCTCTCTCAAAAAAAAAAACAAAAACCTATGAAACAATAATTATTTTTATTGTAAAAGTAGCAAAAGGAGACAAAGTCTCATGGACATTTTCCTACTGCTTTCTAATCACATATAGATAAAACCAAGAATAACCAAATGAAGAATAAATTTCAAATCACATGACATGAAACAAGTGCAGGTAGTCTTGTCTAAAAGTTGGAATCATAATATCTTGCACTAATAGCACAAAATATTTGCATGAACTTTTTACAACTAAAAATGCACTAATCTTAGGTTGCTTATGTAAGTGTTAAAAAAATTATGTATGCACTAATTATCACCAAGAGAAGGCACTCTCTTACCATTTTAAACAATCTCAAAGCAATATATCAGGATATAAGTCAGGATATTTTAAAAATCCAAGAAACAACAAAGAATCACGTGATGTAAGGACTATGTAGGATTTATATGAGCTTTGGCTTTTATTCTGAATTAGAGAGGAAGCCGTTGAAGGATTTTGCCCAGTTATTGCACTATCTGAATAAATCTCTTTCCTTGTCTTTATATATTTAAAACCCCAGGGGTTGGGCCAACTCCGGGTAAAACTTGACTTGGAGACTCAAAAGAATTACATTAGGGTCTGATCGTTCACTTGGAACTTCTCAGTTCTGCTTTTGTCTGTGAGCATCTGTCTGTCACGGGGCTGCTGATGGCAGCAAACTTACGTCCTCACAGCTCCAAACCCAACAGGAAAGAGGAAAGATGGGGAGACCATTTCTTGGTCAGTGAAGTGAAAATGATGAGATTAATTTTGATTGGAAATGTGTCAGTCATTCACACAATTGTTTTTTCCTAGGTCACAAGGCTACCAAAGAACTTCACTCTAGCTGAGTTGATGTAATTCTGCCACTTCCCAGATGTAGGACACAGGTCAACTCCTGAAATTGGGGGTTGGGTGAGCTCCACCCTTGTACATAAATTAAGAGTTAGATAATGGTGATTTTTTGGAGGAAATCAGGCCATCATTATCAGAACAAATGGGGAATAAATGCCGAGTACAAAATCTGCCAAGTATTAATACAATATTGAAGAAATAAAACAAGTAGGATATCAGTACATACACAATAATTAAAAGATTGGAATTAGGTACATACATAGACCAATATCTCTTTATGACATGGTAAAATATTAACAGTTGGCCGGGCGCGGGGGCTCACGCCTGTAATCCCAGCACTTTGGGAGGCCGAGGCGGGCGGATCACGAGGTCAGGAGATCGAGACACCATCCTGGCTAACACGGTGAAACCCCGTCTCTACTAAAAATATAAAAAATTAGCCGGGCGCGGTGGCGGGCGCTTGTATACAGTCCCAGCTACTCGGGAGGCTGAGGCAGGAGAATGGCGTGAACCGGGGAGGCAGAGCTTGCAGTGAGCCGACATAGCGCCACTGCACTCCAGCCTGGGCGACAGAGCGAGACTCCGTCTCAAAAAAAAAAAAAAAAAAAATTCAAAAAAAAAAAGAAAGAAAAGCAATAGTATTAAGTTCTATTTGGTGGTTCTTGCTAATTACCTTCCAACTTTCAACCAAGAAGATAGAATGTCTTAACTGACTTTTACCACACCTTATCCATCCCTGGAGCTGGAGAAAGTAGACAGGTTAGCACTGATAGAAGGAGGGACTTACATTCCCATGAAAAGCGTGCATGGAGAAAGGTGGATACAATAGATATGTGAGTGTAGGGCAGAATGAGAAATCTAGAAATACTATATACTGAATTGGAAAATACGAATATCCGTGCAAATTCAATAATTTTTATCTTATCATAATGAAAATATCACTTCCTCAAAAAAAAAACTTTCCTGGGTACATTCTAATGACTCATCTCTCACCACCACTACAGCAGCCACTCTCTAGCACATTAATTCTTCCAGTTAGCTTCTAACAACATATAAAAAGGTTTTGATTGTTTATATGTTAATCTATGTCCTGTCCCATAAAAGTTTTAACCTACAAGAGAGGAAGGATGTTCTCTCTCTTATTCACCACTATTATCTTATATATATAAGATATTATCTCTCTTACCACTATTTTCTTATATGCTTAAAACAATGTCTGCCTCATTACAGATACTTTACAGATATATGCTGAATAAAATGATAAATTGATATATATATCTAATACATATCTATTTACATATATACATGTATATATATTAATTAAAACTTTCGTGGCTCCATATGTACCAGTCAGAGTCCTGGTTTTTCTACCTTTGTTATACCAAGTAATTATCATAGGTGTATGGGCCAGACAATATTATTACTACCTTCCTAAAAAGAAATATGAAGCACAGAGAAATTTTGTGGCATCTTCATAGCTACATAAGTAGTAAACAACAAAGATGGGATAGCAAGATGAAAACCCAGGGTTGTCTGTTTAGAAAACCCACATTATTTACCACCATACTGTATTTTTGACATCAACGCTTAGTCTCTTTCCACCATATTGCATCTGAAAAGGAAGTAGGTAGCACATGAAAGTATTGCTTCTAATTTGATTTATTTTTGCTCTGCAATAAAAACAAACGTATTTAACAAATACCATATGTTGCACATTTCCATATATGATTAAGATATAATTATGCCCAGTAGAAGGTGGGAGAAGGGAAAGGAAGAAGATGAAATAGAAAATATAAGTTGAATCTGATGCTTAATATGATTTTTACTCCATGTATACTTTTACTCAAATGATAGCTCGTGCACATGCAAGGACGGGCTGTGCTACTTCAAGGTACTTTCTATGGGGAAAGAAAAGCAGGAGAAGGAAAAAGGGAGGGGGAGATGGCCATGCATCTCCACTTCCTGAAGGAAAAAGCACTTTGGTCCCCATAGGTAGGAGAAAAAAAAAGTTAAATAAATGGGAGGGAAGTATGTGTTTTGCATGGAGGCCTCATTTTAACAATATCTTTTTTTTGCTCTTCTGCTTCCAAACCTTATTTGCCAATGTAATGCCTTTATATAAAGTTCTTATGATGAATGAAAAACTTTCAAGTGCTGTTGCCTCATTAAATGCATTATTTATTAATTTAACTTCTAGTACTCTCGATAAAGAGCCAGTGAAATGAGTTATTGAGTTCCAGGGAAAAAAATGAGAACATAATTTTGAATTTATTATCTCTCTATACACACACAGTTCATAATTGGATTACATATAATAATAATATCAACAAGTCTATCAGTATCGAAGTTGGATACTGGTAATTTCTCATGTGAGGCTCTTGTGTCACAGTCAGCATAGATTTCTGGAGCATTTGTCTGTTGATCTTTTGGTGGCCTCAAACCTCATTAAGTGGTGTGGGAGATGCTGTTTCTGCCATGTGAGAATGTGATGGCAGAATTAACACAACCTGTGAAACAATCAGAATGCCAAAGGTGAGTCACCCAAATCACCTCAGAGTGCCCCTTTCCTGCCCACATAAAGTCATCATTATCAGAGTTTACTCTTTTCTTCTCTGATTCATTCTCAAGATCAAGTATGTGGGGTTTCTCAGTCACTCTCTTGATCAGGCCTGATTTAGGACACAACATTCAGTGATAGCTCTTGACCTGAGCTGCTGATGACCACTGCTCTGGTCTCGCAAGTGGATCAATATTACGTGTGGATGACAGTGCACAGTACGTTGGGTAAACCAAGGTGTTATGAAAAATATGGGGCTCTTCTTCCAAACCAGGTTGTTCATGCTGATGACATCAACATACCCAAATCATGATTTGCTAGTTATGAATAATACATTGCAAAAACCACACTGGCCCACACATCACAAAACTAAGAAGAGTTCTGGTTATTCTTCCACAAAGTCAGTGTGACATAGGGTTGGTGGAAGAACAGGAAGAGATAGAGACCTAGCTATCATATGCCCCAAAACCACTGCTTTTCTGAATTCACATCAGGAGATTAGAAAACAACATTCCCCAGCACCTATGCTAAGAGCTGAAGGGAACACAAGCTTAAATATTATGACATGAAACTTACGAAAGAGTTTGCCTCCATGTCCAAACGTTTCACTCAATGAAAATAAAAAGCTTTACTCAATGAAATTATAAAATCATTGGTAATTGCTGAGAATCTCTCCCTTCTCAGGTTTTACAATGCAAAAACCCACTATTAGAGTTAATGTGCTATAGTCAATCTCTCTTCTGTGAGGAAGGGCTGTGGGGGAGTGGGATGTGGAACCCCCACTCTTCTGTGAGGAAGGCCTGGGAACCTCAAAAGAAGACAAAGAGGTGCAAAATGATGGAGAAGGGCACCAGAAGAACCGTCTCATCAAACTATGATTATTTTATTATTTGGCTGTTGGTTTTGTCTGCCTGTGGGCCTTTGGGTAATGAAGCTAATGAGTAGCTGTTGGGGTTTTACTATCCATTTCCTCATTCTGGAACCTTCAACTCTTGGAGGATATCCCTCCCCATTCTTCCTAGAGCTTCTTTCTTGGTCTCTTCTTTCCTTCCATTCCCTGCTTTCCTCTCTCTGTGTGACATTCTTTGGGTTTAGCTGCCAGGAGCAGCATCAGCTGCAGGTCTCAGGGTAAAAGAGTGGGCAGGTGGGCACAGACTGATAGAGAAGTCTGAGATCATGATATTTCATGGAAATATACCAGGAAAAGTTGTTGTAATAGGATAATGGAATAAAATAAAATACTTTTTGGGGACCTCTTCATTGTGAAATATCCTCATATCTGGATTCAGAGGTTATGCACTTCGAGGGAGAAAGGAAGGGGAAAAAGAGCTTTTATGTAGCTACTGTGCGAGGCAGAGTTCTAAGGTGACACTCACTGAACCCTTGTGATTCCCTTCTCTCAAGTGTGGATGGAACCTGTGTATAGGATGAGATACAAGTCCTGTGTGTAGGTACTAACTAGTTGACTTTCAGTTTATCAAGAAAGGCATTATTCTGAATGGACCTCATCCGTTCATGTGAACCCTTTGTGAGAGGATTAAAGCATTAGCAACCGGCTGATTTCAAAGATAAAATACATTGTCATGAGTTCTCCAACTGAGAGGAAATGAATTCCACCACATTAGTATGGAAGAGAATCAGAAGCTCCAAGCAAGGCCACAGCCCCAGCCAACTCCCTGATGACAGCCTTGTAAGATCCTGAGTCAAGGACATACTTCAGCTGGGCTCAGACTCTTGAACCATGGAAACTGAGAGATAATGAATGTGTTCTGTGTTAAGACTCTAAGTGTGTGTAATCGATTACACAGCAATAGAAAACTAATACAGTCATCTTCAAATGAAGGCCAATACTCACCCCACCAGGGGTACAACAGAGCACTTTACATCCAAAGGCAGAGAGGGACACAGCAATGCAGAATTCCAGCACACTTAGGAGGAGCACCATGCCATCCAGACCCTAGGAGAAAACTCATAACAAAGGAATGTGAGAAATGGAGATGACAAGTGAAAACATTTCCCAGTAACCACAATGTCATAAGAGAAAAAGCACTGGCTGGGAGTCAGGAAACCTGCCTCCCAATGGCAGCCATACCCTTGACCAATTCTTGATCTGCTGAAGTAGCTTCTCACTTTTTTCACTGATAAAATAATCACAGACATTTATTCCCTAGTTCAGCACCTCCCAGTGCTATTGTGGGCATGGAAGATGAAAGTGCTTTAAAAAGTTAGGAAGGTAGTATAAAGATAATTGTCATCATATCCTATTGAGTACTAGAAACTCATATCATTGAGAAAATACTATGATTCCATATCTTAGTAATTGTAAGCAGAGAATCTAATCCTCAGCTTCTGGAGATTAGAATGCAGACCTCCCTGGGGGACCATTGTTCTTTTTGAACAGCGAAAAGGATTAAATTTGCAGATGAAATTAAGATTGCTTATTAGCTGATATAAGAGAATTTTCCTGGATTATTCAGGTGGGTTCAAAATAACCATAAAATCCATATAAGTGGAAGCAAGAGCCAGAATAGAGTTCAAGAGAGATTTGAAGATGCTACATCGCTTGATTTGAAGGTAGAAGATGGGATGACAAACCAAGCAACATAGGCAGCCTAAAGAAGCCAGAAAAGGCAATAAAACTTTTTGTTGCCTAAGCCTTCAGAAAGGAGTATGGCCTTGCCAACACTCTGATTTTAGCCTAGTGAGACCCACTTGGAACTTCTAACCTCCAGAAACATAAGATAACCAAACTGTGTTGTCTTAAGACACTAAATTTGTAGTAATTTGTTACAGTAACAATAAGAAGCTAATACAACAATGAACATCAAGTAGGTCAGTCTTTAATCCATCTGCCCAGAGCACTGGCTTTAGGGCTAGTCTTCAGCCAAGAAACATGGTCAAAATTTGGAAAACATTGGGCAGTACACTTATTTCTATTAATTTTCCCCCGGATTGATGCAGGGATTATCTGGTTTAAATATTCTCTCTTTTTCTCTCCATGGTTAGGGATAGTCCCTCTGTTGCAGAAGAGCCAATAGACCAAGAGCTCAGGATATGAGTGAGGCAGACTTAAGGAGACCTTGAGAATATTTGCATTCATTGCTTATTTATTTTCTTGTGCCTTCAACAGCTGTAGTGGCCTCTGTGTTTCCAACATTGTTGTAGGCACAGAAGATAGAGCAGCAAACAAAACAGACAATTCCCCTGTCTTCAAGGATTTTACCATCTAGAAGTGTAGACTAGAAGACGGCAAGCTTTCTGTAAAGGCCAGATAATGTACATTTTAGATTTTGCCGACCATAAGGTCTCTGTCACACATACTCAAACCTGCTGTTATAACACGAAAGCAGCACTCCACAATATGTAAACAAATGGGCTTCGTTGTATTTCAATTAAACTTTATTTATGAAACTTTATTTACAAAAACAGGTACAGGGCTGGGCCTCCAAAAAAAGGTAGCATGTATATAGACCTGTGGACTGATTGTGCAGGTGCCCAGGCAAGAATAGAACCATTACTTCAAATCCCAGGAAGCCCTTATGGAGGTCCTCTGCTATAAGAACAGGCATAAAGATGTTCACACAATTAACAGGAATTCATCATGGACTCTGGGAAAGGTGATTGAGATGAATGGAGGACCAGCTATGTAATTTAGATTCTCTTGTTTAAAATTTTTAAAAACAATTTTAAGATAGCAACAGCAGAGCATTAGATCAAGCACAGGGCTCTTTTAACTGTGAAGTCCTGAGTAACTGCACAGGTCCCATGCCCACGAAATCAGCCCTATCAAGTTGGCCAATTCCAGATTTTGTCTCTATCATTGTGCCCTTAAAATCTACCAATGAAGAGAACTTCGTAAACTAAAAGTAAGGTCCTTCTGCAGGATACAAATAGCAAATAATAGGGGAATTAGAGACAAGAAATTGTAGAATCTAATCTTCCTTTTGCCAGTTTCTAACTGAAAGACCTTGAAAGAATTTGTCAAATTCTCTATAGAAGCTTTTTCTTATTTTGAGCGAGTGGCAAGAAGTAAAATTGCTTACTATAAAAAGCAATAGAAATCTCAAGGGAAGTAAATTAGTTTAGCAAAGACACCTCAAGGGGTTATTTTGGTGTGATTATATAGCCCACAAAACTATGTAGAATTAGCTAGGAATGAAGTAAACAGAATGCAACTGATTCTGCTTAGTAAGTTAGGAAGAATGTTGGGTTTCCACGTTTACATAAGCGAAGAACGTGGTAAGGAAGAGAACTAAGCAGCAAGGTGAAAGGCTGAAAGTTCATATAGAGGGAAAGTAACAAAAAATTTGCAGGTGTTCAAAATGACCAATAGGCTTTCTCTTTTTTTTGAGATGCAGTCTCGCTCTGTTGCCCAGGCTGGAGTGCAATGTGTCCATCTCGGCTCACTGCAACCTCCGCCTCCCAGCTTCAAGCAATTCTCCTGCCTCAGCCCCCCGAGTAGCTGGGATCACAGGCACGTGCCATCATGCCTGGCTAATTTTTGTATTTTTAGTAGAGACGGGGCTTCATCATGTTGGCCAGGCTGGTCTTGAACTCCTGACCTCAGGTGACCCACCCACCTCATCTTCCCAAAGTGCTGGGATTACAGGCGTGAGCCACTGCGCCCTGCCAGGCTTTTTAATAATAAAGATTTAATTGTGCATTTTAGTCTGCTGTGATGTGCTGCAATAACTTTTCCTCCCCACAATTACCCAATGGCCCAAAATATCAAGAAGTTTTACTACCTACAAAATATTGTGTAGGTGGCATTTTCAGAATAAAGCAATTAGGATAGCATTAAGATAAGAACAATTGGTACAAAAAAGTAGTAAAAGTCATAATGAAGACTGAGATTTATCAGGAGCTAGATGTTGAGGATAAAAGTGGTTAACCTTGCAAGAACATCCAAAGATGTTGGAAAGGATACTGAGCTACTCACCACTTGTAAAATACTGTTCAAGACAATTTTACTTCATTATTAGAGAATAGGGACTGACATCAGGGCCCCATTTTTAGAGGGGATAACAGTACGTACTGCATCAATGTTTTAAAATTAAACAGAAAAATGTATACAAAATACCCAGCACAGTAACTATTAATGAGTAGGTATTCTATAACTATAAGCTTTCTTCCCATTTTGCCTCATGATATATAGAAGAATAAAGACAGAGATGAGACATGTACCTAACTCCTAAATGAAAGATTATTCTATTTCTCAATCACTCCAACTTCCCAAAGTCATTCATCAATTAGGGAATATTAATTATTGTCTTTGCCAGAGCCAGCACTCCCCAAACTTGCTTCTATAATAATATCCCCTGAAAAGAGGCAGTACCAACCATTAAGATGGACATAGTCCCATGACAATTATTTGAGTTGCCATAGTAGTTACAGTAAGGGTGATGGAATGAATAAAACGCCAAGCTAAATGTGTTGATTAAGATCCCTGATGCAGCCAGTACAGAGCTGGTGATATTCATTCCTAGACTACCTCGGACCTAGAAAGGAATGAAAATCAATTAAACAATCCAACAACATCCTCAGATATATCTCCATGAATCACTTTACACCCACCATCTCTTTCTTACTGCCATCTATCATTATCTTGATTATTTCAATAGTCTTCTAACTTGTCTTGTGGTTTCAACTCTAATCTCTTGGCAAAACACAAACATGATCTCATTATTCCGCAGCTTCAATTCTTCAGATGATTCCCGTGGGCACATAATATAATCTCCAAATCTCTTTAGCAGGGTTTTCAATGTCCTTCACACTTTAGCTGGACAGCCCTGTCTGTGTCCTTCCCTGCCACTCCTTGCTTCTGATGCCTGATTTCTTATCATTTTTCTAAATGCTGTTTGCCTGTCATGCCTCTATACCTTTTGTATATTATCTCTCTCAGCAGTATATTCTTTTCTGTACGTTCTCTTCTCATGGATAAAGGTAAGGAGGCTTTTAATAAGAACTAAAATTGCTGACTGGGCGCAGTGGCTCATGCCTGTAATCCCAGCATTTTGGGAGGCCGAAGCGGGGTGGATAATCTGAGGTCAGGAGTTTGAGACCAGTCTGACCAACATGGAGAAACCCTATCTCTACTAAAAATACAAAAATTAGCTGGGCGTGGTGGCACATGCCTGTGATCCCAGCTACTCGGGAGGCTAAGGCAGGAGAATCACTTGAACCTGAGAAGCGGAGGTTGCGGTGAGCCGAGATCACGCCATTGCACTCCAGCCTGGGTAATAAGAGTGAAACTCTGTCTCAAAAAACCAAAAACCAAAAACCAGAAAAAAAACAAACAAAAAAGAACTAAACTTGCACAGCAAAGTGTGAGGAGTATGAGTAATGTGGCTGCAGCCGGAGGGGACACTAGGGAGTTGGGTTAGGCCAGATTTGGAAAACCCATATTGATCATGCTCCAGAATTTGATATTTATCTTTTGAACAAAGAAAACTCAAATATGGACTTTAACTAGAAAAAAACATTTATTCAGATATGGACTTTCGCATTGTATTGGCTTTATGAAAGGCATCTTGGCATGAGAATTACATTTTAAATTTGCTTCTTATGTAATAACCTTATTGTGAATTTCTTTTATTGAAAACTCAAAATCCTTTCTGGACACAGTTGGAGTCTACATTATAATCAATGGGTCAGTAAATATTACACAACACCAATGCTTGGTGTCACTATCATGGGCTGACTCATGCTGCAGGGTTTTGTTGGAGCGGTCCCACTTGATATTTCTTCTCAATAATTCTCTATATCTTCAAAAAGATTCCCTCCACAAGCGTAAGATTCCCTACCTTGCCAAAATATCCAGTCCTATGTCAGCAATTAGCCTGACTGCAGTTTTTGAAAGACAGATTCTAGTAGGTAAAATGCACAATCGCTCCTGATTTTTTACAAACAAAGAAACAAAACCTGTTTTACACCCTGGCAGAATACATTTTTTATTAATCCTTCCTTTTTTTGATACCAAAAAAAGAAAATATTACTCACCAGGCCTTTTGTAGTTCTAATTCCTGCTGCAATTGACAAGGATCCTGAAATAATAAACTAAAAATGAGAGAAAAAATGAAGGTAAAAAACTTTAAGCCAGTATTGGGAGTCATAACTTACTAAACTTAATTCTAAATTAGATAGATATGTTAATCAGACCAATTATCTTAAAGAAAACCACAAAGGTTTGCACATTATTTTCCCTTTTCCCAGAAAGAACAGAGAAATAATACCAGATAAATCCATGGGAGAATTTATCAAGTTTTTCAAATATCTAACTGAAATGATATTAAAACTGTTTGAGGGCACTAAAAGATAGTTTCCAAACTCCTGATACAAAGTAATTCTTACATGGTACCAAAATTGATGACTATATTTAAACAAAAAATACACTAAAATTATTCTCATTTAGAATTTTTTTTTTTTTTTTTTTTTTTTTTTTGAGACGGAGTCTCGCTCTGTCGCCCAGGCTGGAGTGCAGTGGGGCAATCTCGGCTCACTGCAAGCTCCGCCTCCCGGGTTCACGCCATTCTCCTGCCTCAGCCTCCCGAGTAGCTGGGACTACAGGAGCCCGCCACTACGCTGGGCTAATTTTTTGTGTTTTTAGTAGAGACGGGGTTTCACCGTGTTAGCCAGGATGGTCTTGATCTCCTGACCTCGTGATCCGCCCGCCTCGGCCTCCCAAAGTGCTGGGATTACAGGCGTGAGCCACTGCGCCCGGCCAATATTTTTAAACTTATAAGCAAAATAGTAGCAAAAAAATGTAAATTCCCAATTAGATGATGACTAGAATATAGTAGTTCATTTGATTCCATCAATAGGCAATTATTTTTCATTTAGCTAAAATAACTAGTCAAGTTGGTTAGACTCTCTATCTTTTAATATTCAATTGTTGGAGTTTTTAATTTGCTTTTCAAATTTGATTTCAGATGATTCAAAGATTATATCATAATATAAAAAATACAGAACTAATAAAAAAGCTCAATAAATTTATTTAACTTCCAAATACCCAGACATAGAGATGATTCATGATATCTAAATCACCACTGGAATAAAACCACTAGAGGGAATCACCCATCATATGATATAAAATACATCATGAACATTTGGGATGTTCCTTCAGCTCTACAAACATTTTTTAATATTGAAATATTCTAATTTACACAATTAATGAATTTAAGAAAAAAATTACATGCTTATTGCTATTCATGTTTACAGTGTTGATAGGCTAGGACATTTAATACAATTCAACATTATTAGTAACTGCAACATTACTGGTAAAATATAAAGAATTATTGGCAGGGCGTGGTGGCACACGCTTGTAATCCCAGCACTTTGGGAGGCTGAGGCGGGTGGATCACGAGACCAGGAGATCGAGACCACAGTGAAACCCCGTCTGTACTAAAAATACAAAAAAATTAGCCGGGTGTGGTGGCGGGTGCCTGTAGTTCCAGCTACTTGGGAGGCTGAGGCAGGAGAATGGTGAGAACCCGGGAGGCGGAGGTTGCAGTGAGCCGAGATCGTGCCATTGCACTCCAGCCTGGGTAATAAGAGCGAAACTCTGTCTCAAAAAACCAAAAACCAAAAACCAAAAAAAAAAAAAAAAAAAGAATTGTAATTTCTGTAACATGATAGAAATCTGTCTCAGTCTAAAAGTCTTTATTATGTTTAATGATAAAAATGTAGGATCATTTCATTAAAGTCAAAATCAAGATAAAGATGCTGACTATTATGTAATACTATTCTGGGTATATTTACCAAAATAATTACATAAGAAAAATAGTTGGAACAAGTGGTTTAACTATTCTTATTTAAGTATGAACAATATATATTGCAAACATTCAAGAACGTGAACTAAAAATTACCATAAACTATTCTAAAAATTCAATAAGGCACCTTGGAAAAACATTCTATACAGAAATTATATATACACATTACAAGTGTGTATGTATGTCTGTGTATTTGAAGATGGGATTGAATAAGAGGACTTCATTTGCCACAGGAAAAAGTATGTATGTACTATCTCAGAGGAAAAAACAAGGAATGTGAAACATATACAGAAACAGAACTGAAGAGGCCAAAAATAAGAGGAACTTGTGACTGGTTCTTGGTATTGGTACTTATACTGTATGAAAGAGAAAAAGGAGGCACTTCATAGAAGAGGTTTGGAAAAAAAGGTTGAAAGAATAATGGAAGGTAGCCGCAGAAAAGAGTTCACCAATTAAGTAAAGGCTCATCTAATGGAACACCTACGAAAGTCTCAGTGATGTCTCAGCGGACAAATGGCTCCTGCAGTTCCTGGTAATCTACTGAACATGTGTGGAAGGCTTGCACCATGTAAGCTGGTTTTTAATGTGATCTTGAAAAGGAAACGGAAATAAAAACAGAAAACTAAGTAGTTAGATGTATGCAATTCTGAAAATACATTGACCCTATTTGAATCTTCATTCCTGTACCAAGCAGTTGTGATGTTGGGTTAGTTACTTAACCTCTCTTCATCCATAAAATGATTATAATGAAAAATCAGAAGTTCGTGGTGATTGTTTGAAATGAAATTGCACATATAAAGCACTAAGTAGAGTGTCCACATGATAGTAAGAGTTTAATAAGAGCTGTTATTGGCATCAGTATTTTTGGATATATGAAGTATTGTGCAGCTTTCTAGAAGTAAAACACAGCTTTACTGTTCTTCCAATCTTGCACTTCTGCTGTAAACAGGTGAAGGGGATCAAAAAGCAAGCTCTTCTATAAAACTCTACACTACCTCATTCTCAGTTTTAGAAATAAATGGAAACCCTGCAATGCTAGAATAGATTCCCTGATTCTAACATAAACCCAACTTATAAATTTTATTTTTCTCTCTTCAATGGATAAAACTTGGTATTTTATTCTCAATTTTACTCTCAATTTGCATTAAAACTATCTTGTGTTTTCTCTTGGGAGAAGGTTTTTAAATTTAAATTCCAATTCTAATTTTAATGTAATATTAATAATAGTTATAATTAATTTAATATTAATTATAATAATTAGTTATTTTATTGAATTTATGAAACAAAATATATCAAATAACATTTTCATTTTCTGAGGTAACAATTTCCTGAGTTTCGATAGTCAGTAGACTAGATATTAGAAACTGCTTGTGTACCAGCCACATCTCCTCTTCTTCCTTGCTAACTAAACCATCATTTTGTTCAGTTTCTCATGAGCTAAAGGTAGGGTAGACTCCTCCCAGCTACAGAGGTAAATCTTGATTAGTCCAAGCCAATAATGGCAAGTCCGTTATCCTTACTGACAGTTGATTTGGGAATATGTATATGAAATATTTACCAAAAGTTGGATGTGTCAACCATCTCCCCTCTGATGTGGTCTGCTAGCAATCCTTGATGAAATCCTTGCACCACTGAATGAAGCCATCCTAGAAATGATAAGCCACTAGTCTTGTTGTGAAATAATCAGTGCTTCCAATGTTTAAGCCATTCTGGTTTGGGTCTTTGGCAATGTGCTGCTGTAATATATCTAACTGACATATATAAATATTTAATCTGCCTAGATTTAATATAATACTATATTATTTGTAGTACTTTAAATATGAGAAAATTGAGTAAGAAATGGTTAGATACCACTCTCAGATTTACAGAATTACAAGATACGGTTAGAATAGGATTCCAAAGATCAGGGTATTGACAACTGCTTTATGTTATCTTCAATTATATCAAAAGATACTCTACTCACCATTACTGACCCCCAAATTGTGTACCCGATATACACGGAAATAGGGTTACTTCCATAAGTATTAGATGCCATACACATCATTGTTATTCCCATGCTAAGGCTCATCAGGGCAGTCAGAATCTGCACAACCTAAAAATGGTGAAGAAAGCAAAAACTGATTGTCCACCACAAAAATGGTGCTTCCGCCACCCCCTTTCCAATCACTAAGCTATCCTTATTCTCCTTCATTTGATAGTCATATGACCTTCTTAGTATTCTCTTATCACTCTTTTTTCACATAAATAACCGTGAATGTAATCTTACCAATATTATCTCTCGCGACGTCTATCATTGCCAATAATTTCAAGGTTAAAAGGAGTATGCCAGAACCAGCCCAGAGGTGCTTTTCTGATACCTACGATGTTACTTCTACCACAATTATTTCTCTTTTTTTCTCATGAGCTCAGAGAAGTGGCCTAGGAATTATAAAGCAATTATTGTAGCAAGGAGAAGTAACCTGAAGAAAGGAGAGTATATACAAGGGAAGAAAACAAGAAAAGCAAATATGATATTTTCTTGAAGTCTGGGGTATGAGGACACAAGTATGAGTACACAGGGATCTAAACGTAGCAGAGTAAGAGTACCATTATCCCATGGCATTCCAAAGGATCAAAAACATTTCAACAACTTATCAAAATTTATGGGATGTAGTGAAAGCAATGCTTAGAGGAAGATATATAGCATTGAATGAATATATTAGAAAATCATGATCTAAAATCAATCTCCTGAGAGTCTACCTTAAGAAACTAGAAAAAGAAGTGCAAATTAAACTCCAAATAAACAGAAGAAGAGCTATAATAGAAATTAGAGCAGAAATCATAAAATTGAAAACAGAACATGAATAAACAAAATCAATAAAATCCAAAGCAGTTTTTAAAAATATATGTATGTATAAATAAAATTTAAAAAGCCTCTAGCCAGCCTAAGAAAAAGAGAGAGGACAAAAATTACTAACATAAATGAAAGAAGGAACATCAATACAGTTCCCATAGAAATTAAAAGGATAATAAAATAATGTTATGAACAATTCTACGCCCACAGTTTGATAGCCTTGATAAAATGGATAACTCCTTAAAGACAATTTGTCAAAACTCACACAAGAAGAGACACTCTGAATAAGCCTATAATTATTAAATAAATTGAATCAATAATTAATAAATTTCCAAAACAGAAAGCATCAGACCTAGAAGGACTCAGTGGTGAATTCTACCAGACACTTAAGAAAAAAATTATACCATTATTTACAGAAAATAGAAACAGAGGACATACTCCTTAACTAATTCTCTGAAGCTAGCACTACCATCTACCAAAAATCATTCAAAAACATTACAAGAAAAGAAAACTACAGACCAACATCTCTGATGAACAAATATGCAAAAATCCTCAACAAAATATCTGCAAACTAAATCTAACAATGCATCAAAAAAATTGTGTACCATGACCACTTGGGATTTATCCCAGGTATGCAAGACTGACTATACATTCAAAAAACCGATTAATGTATTCATCACATCAACAGGCTAAAGAAGAAAAATCACATGATTATATTAACAGACGCAGAAAAAATATTGAACAAAATCCAATGCCTGTTTATTATAAAAACTCTTGAAAAACCTATTAATAGAGGAGAACTTCTTCAGGTTGATAAAGAATATTTGTGAAAAACCTACAGCTAACTTCATACTTAATGGAGAAACTCAAAGCTTTCTCACTAAGATCAGGAACAAGGCAGGGATGAGCCCTGTCACTACTCCTTTCAACATTGTACTGGAAGTCATAGCAGAAACAGTAAGACAAGAAAAGGAAATAAAGATATACAGACTGGTCAGGGAAAAATAAAACTGCCTTTGTTCCCAGACGACATGATGTCTGTGTAGAAAATCTGAAAGAATCAACCAAAAATTCCTGGAACTAACAAACAATTATATTAGGTTTACAAGATTTATACAAGATTAATACACAAGAGACAATTACTTTCTTATGTACTTATAATGAATAAGTGAAATTTGGAATTAAAAACATAATGCCATTTAAATTAGCACCTCTAAAAATAAAATATTTAGGTATTGGTATTTGGCATTTGTTAGGTATAAATCTAAAAAAAAATGTACAAAATCTATAAGAAACTACAAACTTTGATAAAATAAATGGAGAGATATTCCATGTCCATGGATAGGAAGACTCAACATTGTCAAGATGTCAGTTCTTTCCAACTTGATCAGTAGATTTAATACAATCTCCATTAAAATCCCAGCAAGTTATTTTGTATATATTGATAAACTGACTCTAAAATTTATAAGGAATGGCAAAAAACTCAGAATAGCAAACACAATCTAGAAGAAGAAGAAGAAGAAGAAGAAGAAGAAGAAGAAGAAGAAGAAGAAGAAGAAGAAGTAGTAGTTGTAGGACTAACACTACCCAATTTTAGGACATACTATAAAGTGATAGTAATCAGGACTGTGTGGTATTAGCAAAGAAATAGACAAATAGATAATGGAATAGAGTAGAAAGCCTGGAGAGAGCCACACAAATATAGTCAAGTGATCTTTGGTAATGAGCTAAAGTAATACAATGAAAAAAAAAGTATTTTAAAAAATAGTACTTAAAACTTGATATCCATAAGTAAGAATAAAAGACACATACCTTATATCTTTCACAAAAATTAACTGAAAATGAATCACAGACATAAATATTAAACTAAAAACTATAAAACTCCTAACAGATAACATAGGCCAAAATCTAGATGACCTTGGGTTTGGTGATGAATTTGTCAATACGATACCAAAGGCACAAACCATGAAATACAGAATAAATCATCTTAATTTTCTTAAAATTAAAAAGTTCTGCTCTGCAGAAGACATTGTCAAGAGATGAAAAGACAAACAACAGACTGGGAGAAGATATTTGCAAGAGTCATATCTGACAAAGGATCGTTACCCAAAATATACAACAAATTTAAAACTTAACAATAAGAACATAAACGTCCTCATTAAAAATGTGCCAAAGAATTTAACAAGACACCTTACGAAAGAAGATATAGAGATGGTAAAGAAACGCATGAAAAGATGGTCCACATCTTATGTCACAAGGGAAATGCAAATTAACATGATAGTGAGATTCCACTAGCACCTGTTAGAATGGTAAAAATCCAGAACACTGGCACTACCAATTGCTGGAGATTTTGCAGAACAGCAGGAACTCATTGACTGTTGATTGAAATCTTCAAAGTGACAAGGCCATGTGGAAGACAGTATGGCAGTTTCTTACAAAACTAAACGTACTCTTACTTACAATACACTAATCATACTTAACCAAATGAGTTGAAAAACTTATGTCCACACATGACCTGCACACAGATATTTATAGCAATGTTACTCCTAATTGCCAAAGTTGGGAAGCCATCAAGATGTCCTTCAGTAGGTGAATGCATAAATAAACTGTGGTGCTTCTAGACAATGAAATATTATTCAGTACTAAAAATAAATGAGCTATCAAGCCATAAGAAAACATGGAGGAAATTTAAATGCATGTATTTAGGTGAAAGAACGCAATCTAAAAAAAACACCTATTGTACAATTCCAACTGTATGACTTTCTGGAAAAGGCAAACTATGAAGACAATAAAAGATTTGTGGTTGCCAGGGATTGGTGGGATACTATGTGATACTACAAAGGTAGATTCATATCACTATACTTGTGTTAAAACCCACAGAACACACAACACAGAGAATGAACCCCATTGTGATTTGTGTACTTTTAGTAATGATGTGTCAATGTAGTTCATCAATTGGTACAAAGGTTACATGCTGGTGGAGGAGGTTGATAATTAAAAAGCTATGCATTTGTGGGGGCAAGGGGCATATGGGATAGATCTGTACTTTGCTCTCAATTTTTCTTTAAGCCTAAAACTGCTCTAAAACATACAGTATATTTTAAAATAATTATTCATACATTAAAAAATAAACCCACTTTGGGAGGCTGAAGCAGGCAGATCACGAGGTCAGGAGTTCAAGACCAGCCTGACCAACATGCTGAAACCCCGTCTCTACTAAAAATACAAAAATTAGCCAGGTGTGATGGCTCATGCCTGTAATCCCAACTACTCAGGAGGCTGAGGCAGGAGAATCTCTTGAACCCGGAAGACGGAGGTTGCAGTGAGCCCAGATTGTGCCACTGCACTCCAGCCTGGATGATGGAGCGAGACTCCATCTCAAAAAATAAAATTAAAAATAAATAAACAAACAAACCTAGTATGTGCCAACATAAATAACATATTTTATGAGAAATAACTATATTTCCCCCCCTCCAGAAAATGAATAATGTGAAAAAAGGATCCAGAATATCCACAGTGACATTTTCCCGTGGTTTGAAGCTTGGGCTAGTGATAAACCTATATTTAATATCCTTTCACCTGCCCTATTCTGTCATTCTTTTAATCCTTCATTTCTTTTGGGCATGCTCATCTGAGACTCCAGATGGAAATGCTCAGAGGATAGATTTTTCATCCTCTGAGCAGGGGGCTAAGAAAAGGTGCCAGAAAGAAATAGTAGCAATATGTGCCTGTCAGCTATCAGGAAGGCCTGTAAAGGGGGCGTCAGCTAGTAGTGCATAGGTGGCCTTTTATTTTGCTGCTTTTCCACACTGAGTTTAAATACAATTATCATGGATGACCCACAACCCTAGAATAGATCTGAACTCAATATATTTTAAATATAACTCAACTGGAAGCATGTTGTGACAGAATACTATATAGTTTTTCAGATGAAGAGCCTGAAAAGTAATTACTGACGTCGTGAGGGTTGGCTGTTGTATTATGAGGCTAGTGGGACAGTGTATTTGGCATTAGGTCTTATGAAATATGAGTTTGCAACACCATTGGTCTTCCCCTAGATTTGCAACTTACCCCAAGGACTTTGGGTTCTCCCTTCAAGAACTTCTCTTGCAATCCTTTCCACAGATGTGAATGTATGACAGCCATGTTTCCCAGCTGGGGCACACCAGGGCCAGCCCCTGGCATGGCCTGTTCCATTCCTTGCATGGTTGTCATGGCAGCAGAAAAGGTGCTACAATAAGAAATGTAATTTAGTATGATGTCCTGGAAATGGCAAAAGAGGACATGACACTTTGGGGCAGGTTCCTCCCTAAGGACAGAATCTGGTCTACATTCTCTTCCCATATCATAATAGCTGTTAGAGCTGGGGAAGTGGAATAGGCAACACATTAAGTGTGTGTGTGGGGCGGGGGCAGGTGGGAGAGAAACTAAATGTCATATGATATCAAGATGCTAGAAAATCCTGCAGAGAGGGACATGTTGACAGAAGCGAGGTAAACCTGTTGGACCTCTAAAATTAGAGAAATTTCTTTAAGTTCCAATTCCAAGTCGGCTCAGATTTTATTTCTATCCCTCTTACTGCCTAATCCCTTGATTACAGCCACTTACCCACAAAGGATTACTTTGTTTTTTAGTTTTGTTTTTTTGTTTTTTTTTTTTGAGATGGAGTCTCACGCTGTCACCAGGCTGCAATGCAGTGGCGCGATCTCGGCACACTGCAACCTCTGCCTCCTGGGTTCAAACGATTCTCCTGCCTCAGTCTCCCGAGTAGCTGTTACTACAGGCGCGTGCCACCATGCTGAGCCAATTTTTGTATTTTTAGTAGAGACAGAGTTTCACCATGTTGGCCAGTATGGTCTCCATCTCCTGACCTTGTGATCCGCCCGCCTCGGCCTCCCAAAGTGCTGGAATTACAGGTGTGAGCCACCGCACCCAGCTGAAGGATTACTTTTATAATAGTAATAAACTACACAAACTAATCTGCCTTCCAATTTATTGTATAGTATTGCATAGTTCCTCCTTTTCTAATCAGAGCACAGTTAAATTCACAGGGCTGAAAATCTTCCCATGTTCCTCCTTGCTGAGTGTGATTTATGTAACCTTGTATTTTGTGCCACAAACTCTGAACTTTGGGAATGAAACTTATGGCTCTCAGTCATATTCTTGGCACCACAAATCTAAATCTCTTGTCCTATTACATTGCTTTAAATCCTAACTTGCTGGTGCATAGCAAGGATCCATCAAATCATTTTTTGAGAATCTAAGCACAAACATATTACTCTTATATCTCTTTCTGTCCTCAGTATAATAACTCCAACCAAGTCATGTAGAGATAGGCTAAAGTCACATGGAAATTTTTATCTATGTAGTTGAATTCATATTCAGGTGTTTCATGATCAACTTCCATAAATTTTTAGGGAAATGAAGCTTGCTAATATCCTTCAAGTAATAGTTAATTTTGATACCACTTATTCTCCACTGAGCCCCTATAAAAGTCTCGTTTTGAGATGTGTGCCCTTTTATTGGTACCATAAATGAAAAAAAAATTGTTGTACTCCAAATTTGCTATGTTGAGAAAAAAATTAAGATTTCTCTGAAAAAATTATCATCCTGTATTTATTTTTGATACATCAATGGAAATAAATTATTAGCTATCTAACAATAAAACTGATTAAAGTCAGAAGAAGGGGGGTGAATTTCAGAGAAAGATAGAGGAGAAACGTTAAAATGAAAAGATTAATTATTTAGAACATTAATTTAACTTTAGTAATGTATATACTTAAAATTATGAAAAATAGTAAAATAAAAAGTACAAAATTACAAATTATAAAATAAGTATTTCTTTTAAAAAAGAAAGACAAATATAATAAATAAGAAATATATAATGTAAATGTGAATGAAGTAGTTAAGATAAGGAATTATATATAAGAATGTAACCAAAAAATCAATGTTCTTATTCTTTTCACTTTTAGAAAAGTTCCGAAAACAATTTGGACAAACAGAATTAGAACTCCATTTTTTTTATGAAAGTGGGAAACAACTAACATTTCTATAAATCAGGTGAAATGAGTGTTAGAAACAAAGATTACATGATGATAAATTTGGGGAGAAGTGTAGTGAGAGTATGAAAGAAACAGGACACCATGGCCACAGATTTCAGAGTATACTTATCAAGGATGAGAGGCCCCCCCTGAGGTGTACAACATAAATTACTGTTTATAATCCTGGGAATTAAATACATCAGTTGATAACTGTCACTTCCCTGGAAAAGTATAGTTCTGAGAATCATCGAAGTCAGTAGTAAAGGAGAAATCACCAAAAAGACACATATTTAGAAGGCAATCAGTCTCTGAATAAGTCCTCCATTGGAGTCCATAAAGAAGGAAGTAGATATCCTTGATACAAGCCTGCAAGAAGTCCCACAGATTAGGAGCATCTGGATATATATCACATATAGAATATGTAAAGAGTATAGATAACTTATTTAAATGAAAATTAAATCACAAACATGAAGTCAAAGATAAAGCACATAGAGTGACAGGACATATTTGGAACATAATCTCAAATTTCAAATACAAAATAGTGTTGACAGAAAACAATTGGCCAATGTGTTAAATAACAAGGAATAGCTGAAAATAGAATTAGTCAACTGGAAGAAAAATTTGAAGAAATCACCAAGAATTCTGTAGAGAAACAAGAAAATGGTCATAATAGAAGGGAGGTTAAAAGATTAGAAGTGTAGAATTAAAAGGTCTACAATATGTCTGATTAGAATTCTAAAGAATGTCACCAAGAAGGCCAACGAGAAGTTCCTAACCCTCATCATCATCAACACACACACACACACACACACACACACATACACACACACACACACACACTCCCCAAAACAATGAATAAACAAATGCATTCCAACTAAAGTAACTAAAGAAGAGCACCTGAAAACAGCAAAGGAGTAGCAGAAATCTTGTAGATCATAGAAACCCAGGATGGCTACATGAAGAAGGAGATAAAACACCTTTCTTCCACCACCCCTTCCCCCAGTTAGGACAATCTCTGAGTCAGCAGAGCCTTCTTCCTGCAGGGAGAAGGTAAGCGAGAGGACCCCAGCAGCTCCCATCACCACCATGGATACCTGTAATCTTACTACTGGAGACACTTAGAGTCTTCACAGGCTCTGAGCTCAGCTGATGGAGCTACCTGAAGTCCACATGTCTGTCCTATCCCAGAGGTGGTGCTGACACTATGCCCTGGCCTCCATGGCCTGAGCTGCTACTGTGTTGCCCCTTCTTGGAAACGAATCACTGCTACAGTGCATTCTGCTTCAGAAGTGAGTAGCTATTGCACACCTCTATCTCTGAGGCTTAACCACCACTACACCACACACACCTGGTAGCCATACCTGAGCCAAACTGCTGCTGTCTACTCTCTACCTGCTGAGGCCAGGCTGCCATGGAACTGCTCCATGCCCCCATCTTAGTTGCTGGTGCACACTGCCCCTCCAAATTCAAGCTGAAACTGTGGCCCACTCTCTGAGGACATATAGCTTTGATTGAGCTGTGTCACCCAACAATCCAGGCAAAATAACTGCAGTGCCCCACCTCCCTAGAACTGACTAGTTCCCTGGAGTCCAAGCTTCTGAGAAACCCTGGCTCCCCAGGGGGTCATTTCTATACTGCTTCAAGAAACCCAAGGACCAAGCCACAGACACGCTTAGTCATTCCTGAGGCCTTGCTGCTGCTACATCCAGCCTTACACAGCCTGGGATATTGCCATGCCCTACCATCCCAGTGTCTAGAGTTACCACTATGTGGCACTCCATCACCCAGGGATGGAGTTGCTGCAGTGTCCTAGTGGCTCTGGAACCAAAATTTCAACTGTAACCTGCTCCCCAGAGCTCAAGCCTCCAGAGCACCCCTCTTTCCCTGGAGCCATGCTGGTGTTGTGCACTGACCCCAGAATCAGTAACTCTTCCATCCCTGCCCCATGGGCTTGAGTTACTGAGGTTTGCTTCAAAGTTACAGCCTCAGCTTTGTGGGTAATCTGCATCCATCCATGCCTTGGTGAGTGAACCTGTGCCACAGTAGTTTTGCAAGACTCTGAGCCTAAGACCCCAGCTCCACAGCCACTATAATACTTGTGCCTAAAAAGTACAAGCTGTCAATCTCGATGGCAACCATGTGGTGTTAACTCTATAGGCTCACAGACTGCAAGAGTTGTAGGGGCATGGCTTTCGCCACCTAGTTTCAAAGGATGTCACAAATAGCTATGGGAGTGGAGCCACTTCAAAGAGCCTCCATCAGGGCAATGCTGAGTGGAAATATGGGGTCAGAGCCAACACAGAGTCCCAGTTAGGGATATGCCTAGTGTAGCCATGGTAGTGAGGCTACCTTTGAGATCTCGGAACTATAGGGCCACTAGCATGCAACGCCAACCTAACAGAGCTGAAGCATGGACTGAGCCCAGCAAAGATATGGGAGCAGGACTGTCTGAGGGCCCCAATCAGTGTCCCCAGGATTTAGGACATAGAATCAAAGGAAATTATTCTCCAGATTTAAAGCTTAATGCTGTTTTCTTGGTTGGGTTTTGGACTCACTTGAAACCACTTACACCTTTTTCTTGCCTAGTTATTTCTTTTGAACTGAGAAAGTCTATTCTGCACCTGTTTCACCATTATATTTTGAAGACAAATCACTTGTTTTGATTTCACAGGCTCACAGCTGGAAACATTTGCCTCCAGATAAATCATACCTTGAGTCTCATCCATATCTGCTTCTGATGTGACTCTGGACTTAGAACTTTAGAGTCAATGCTGGAATGGGTAAAAATTTTGAGGCTATTGAGACAGAAGTATTGTATTTTGTATGTGAGAAGAACATGAGTTTTGGAGGGTTGTAGATGAGATGCTATGGTTTCAATGTCCCCTCTAAAACTCATTTGAAAACTTAATTGCCATTTTAACAGTATTAAGAGGTGGGACCTTCAAGAGGTAATTACATCAGGAGACCTCTACCTGCATGAATGGATGAATGTCATTATCCTTGGAGAAGGTTAGTTATCACAGGAGTGGACTCCTGAAAAAAGAATAAATTTGGCCCCATCTCTCTCTCTGCTTTGTACGCTCACTTCCACTTTCCTTCATGGGATTATCCTCACTAGAGGTTTACACCATGCATGCCTTTAGACTTCCCAGCCTCTAGAGCTATAAGCAAAATACAATTTTATAATAAATTACCCAGTCTTCAATGGTTTTTTACAGCAGCAGAAAACAAAGATATCAAAAATTTAGTTTTGTGGGAGGACAGTACAAGTCTAGAGTTCTTGTTTCAACAAACATTGTTATTGTCACCTTAAAATAGTCAATTTATAAAACTACGTGGTTTTATGTAAGCCTAATGATGAGTACAAGGCAAAGAACTACAGCAGATACACAAACGTTAAAGAATTCAAAGCTTAGCAATTCATAAAATTACTAAATCACAAAGGTAGACCAGAGCACAAGAAAGAAACAAATATCTACAAAAACAAACCCCCCCAAAATAATAAAATGTCACTAGTAAATCCTTATCCATTAATGCTAACCTTAAATATAAATGAATTAAATCTTTGAACAAAAGTCAAAGAGCGGCTGGAAAATTTTTAAAAAACAAGATCTAACCAGATGCTGTAAGAGACTCACTTTAGCCTTAAGAAGAAACATAGTTGAAAGTTAAGGGATGGACTGTTCCATGCAAAGACTAGCCTAAAGAGAATAATTACCTGTACTTAGATCATGTAAAATAAACTTCAAGTCAAAAACTGTCAAAAGAGGCAAAGAAGGTCATCATTTAATGATTGACTGAGCATAGAGGGTGGGTAATAGAAGTCATTAATAACAAACTACTGTTGCGGGAAGTCAGGGACCCCGAACGGAGGGACCGGCTGAAGCCATGGCTGAAGAACATAAATTGTGAAGATTTCATGGACATTCATTAGTTCCCCAAATTAATACTTTTATAATATCTTATGCCTGTCTTTACTGCAATCTCTGAATATAAATTGTGAAGATTTCATGGACATTTATCACTTCCCCAATCAATACTTTTATAATTTCCTATGCCTGTCTTTACTTTAATTTCTTAATCCCGTCATCTTCGTAAGCTGAAGATGTACGTTGCCTCACGACCCTGTGATGCTTGCGTTAACTGCACAAATTGTAAAACATGTGTGTTTGAACAATATGAAATCTGGGCACCCTGAAAAAGAACAGGATAACAGCGATGTTCAGGAAACAAGGGAGATAACCATAAGGTCTGACTGCCTGCGGGGCCGGGCAGAACAAAGTCATATTTTTCTTATTGCAGAAAACAAGTAGGAGAAATATCACTGAATTCTTTTCCCAGTAAGGAATAACCCTGGGAAGAGAATGCATTCCCAGGGGGTGCCTATGGACAGCCGCTCTGGGGGTGTCTGCCTTATGCGATTGAAGATAAGGGATGAAATACACCCTGGTCTCCTGCAGCACCCTCAGGCTTGCTAGGATTAGGAAATTCCAGCCTGGTGAATTGTAGTCAGACTGGTTCTCTGCTCTTGAACCCTGTTTCCTGTTAAGATGTTTATCAATGACAATGTGTGCACAGCAGGACATGGAACCTCATTAGTAATTCTAATTTCACCCTGGCCTTGTGACCTTGCTCTGCCCTTCTGCCCTTGTGATCTTTTATTGCCATTTGAAGCATGTGATCTCTGTGACCCACTCCCTATTTGTACATTCCTCGTCTTTTGAAATCCCTAATAAAAACTTGCTGGTTTTGCAGCTCGGGGGCATCACGGTGCCTGCTGATATGTGATGTCACCCCCGGAGGCCTAGCTGTAAAATTTCTCTCTTTTGTACTCATTCTCTTTATTTCTCAGACTGGCTGACACTTAGGGAAAATAGAAAAGAACCTATGTTGAAATATTGGGGACTGGTTCCTCCAATAAACTACCAGACTTTTTTGAGACAGGGTCTCATTCTGTTGCCCAGGCTGGAGTACACTGGCACTATCGTGACTCACTGCAGCCTCGACCTCAGCCACCCAAGTAGCTGGGATTACAGGCCTGTGCCACCACACCCAGCTAATTTTTGTATTTTTTGTAGAGATGGGGTTTCTCTATGTTACCCAAGCTGGTCTCAAACTCCAGGGCTCAAGTGATCTTCCCGTCTCAGCATCCAGTAGTGCTGGGATTACAAGAGTGAGCCACCATGCCCAAACTTAAACTTACAGATTTTTAACACAGACAATGTAGTTAATTGCTGGGCCTTCCACCAAGAAAGGACACTTGCAGTCCCATAGCCCTCTTAGGGTTTCTGTTACGTTGAGTTCTTGCCACTCTTGATTAGAGGCTGCTTGTAGGGTTCTGAAATAATTTCCACATACTTTTCCTGTAACACCTTACTTTTTTGAAAGAGAAATTTTGAGGAAGGCCGAATATCTTCTATTTAGGTCTTCTAATGTTTGAAATAAAAATTACCTCTTCTCCCTTCTGGGGCAGTTGGTAAATTGTTAATTTATGGGCTTTATTAGAATGACTTTAAATTAAGCCCAGAGGGGGACAGTTCTCTGATGTTTAACAAAATTTGCGAGTACAAATTAAATTTAAGACAAAAAATAAGGCCTGCTATTTTATTTTACCCCTTTGATCCATATCTAAATTTTGTGTTCTGCTCAGAGGATGCTAAAGTGTCGATATAGGTCTGAATGTACCTACTCCATAGCATGTGAATGTAACCCACCTCATAAACTCCATTATCATTAGAACAGAGACTGCAAGAGGAAGAGGAGAGCCTCTAGGCCCGCCTCTGCATAGTCTTGTATCTAACTTACTGAGAGCAAAAAAGGAGGACAATCCTGACTCTTCTGACCAATCTTTGAGACAAACTGCAAAAGAGAGGAAGAGTCAACCTCTGACCACATGGTACCATGAAAAACATGCTCTCACCAATTATATAGACCCCTCTTATCTGCTTTTCTATTTTCCCCAAGACCGGAGAAGGTTGGAGCAGGGTCATGACAGGAGTAAAGTCCCTGTCTAGCATGTCCTTGAGTGGCAGGAAGTGTTAAAGGAAGTTTATGTTTTATACTTCAAGCCAGAAATGAGTAAGTGATAGTAGGAATACCAGTAATAATAGTCAATATGTATTTAGCATTTATTAAGTGACACGCACTGGTTTAAATGTTTTATATGTGTTATTTCATCATTAAATTCCCCTGAGAGATATATTCTATTATTCACAGGACAGAATTATAGAAACACAAGATTAAGTAACTTGAGTAAACAGTGGCAGGGCCAAAATTTAAATCCAGGTGATGTAATTCCAGAACTCCTTTGCTTAAGGGGATCCACTAAACTAGTCTGGTGAATGGAAGATCTCTTGTTTGCACAAAAACTTGTACAATTAATTTTCTTAGCAGCATTATCTATAATAGCTAAAAGGTAGAAACCACCCAATTTGGAATAAGTTAGATAACAAGACTACGTAGAGGTGGGCCAAGAGGCCCTTGTCTTCCTCTTGCAGTCTCTGTTCCAATGATAATGGAATTTGTGAGGTGGTTTGCATTTATATGCGATGGAGTAGGTATATTCAGACCTATATATACACTTTAGCACTTCCTAGACAGAACACAAAATTTAGATTTGGAGCATATGGCTAAAATAAAATAGGTCTTATTTTTGGTCTTACATTTAATCCACATCCTCAAATTTTGTTACACTTAAGGGAATTGTCCTTCTCTGGGCTTAATTTAAAGTCATTCTAATAAAGCCCATAAATTGACAATTTACCTACTTGTCCCAGAAGGGAGAAGAGGTTATTTTTATTTCAAACCTTAGAAGACCTAAATAGAAGACATCCAGTCTTCCTCAAAATTTCCCTTTCAAAAAAGTAAGGTGGCGCAAATCTTCCTATGTGGAGATTATTTCAGAGCCCTGTAAGTAGTTGCTAATCAAGAGTGGCAAGAGCTAAAGGGAACAGGAACCCTAAGAGGGCTATGAAATTACAAGTGTCCTTTCTTGGTGGAAGGTCCAGCAATTAACTACACTATCCATGTTAAAAATCTGGAAGTTTAAAGCTGGGCATTTTGACTCAATCCTGTAATCCCAGCAGTATAGGAGGCCAAGGTGGGAGGACCGCTGGAGCCCAGGAGTTTGAGATCAGACTGGGGAACATGGTGAAACCCCATCTCTACACAAAATGCAAAAATTAGCTGGGTGTGGTGGTGGGCGCCTGTAATCCCAGCTACTCAGGAGGCTGAGGCCCAGGCTGCAGTAAGCCACAATGGCATCAGGGTACTCCAGCCTGGGCAACACAGTGAGACCCTGTCTCAAAAATATCTGATAGTTTGTCATTGGTTCCTTCCATTGCCTACCCTCTATGCTCAATCAATCTCATTCTAATCCTACACAACCATTTTTCAACTCTGTGTATTTCTCCCATCTTCTCAAGGCAAGCCATTATTCTATTTTTATCAGAAGTATTCATTATAGCCTCTGAATGTTCCCTGTGTCCATTTGTGGCTTTGGATATTCAATCCACCACTGATGTTGTAGCCAGAATGATCAAATACAAAAACAATTGAGTCACCATCCCCTTTAAAAGCCTTCTTTTATATTTCACCACCCTTAGCATAAAGTTAAAATTTTTAATGTTGATAACAAAAGCTCGGCTACTTCAGCACAAATCTATTGTAGTCTTACCTCGAATCTCTCTCCTTTTAATTTTTAAAGCTCCAAGTATATTTGACTTATTTAAGTTGTTCCAAAGACGTAATTTCATTCCTATATTGA